>NC_000014.9:63854137-64157167 GCF_000001405.40 Homo sapiens
TCAAGCCGCTCCACACTTGGCATCACTTTTTTTTTTTTTTTTGAGTTTGTTTTATTTGAAGCAACTTTTGTGTGCTTTTCTAGAAGTCCGAAGGCTTCGTTGCAGATACTATTTGGCTATGCTAGGATGGGTTCGATCATTTTTAGAGTTGGGGAATACAATTAAACCATGCCGGGCTACACCTGGCCTTCTCACCACTCCAGTACCTGCCACTGAGACATCGTAAACATGTTCAGAGGAGAGTGTTCAGCTTTTATGGGATGAATATTTGGTGTGTTTTCATGCTTTAATGCATGACTCCTTCTCCAAGTTGTCTTTCTGGAAAGCTGTGGAGACTCTTAAGGGCTTTTCCTGAGATAATTACTGAACGGCTTTAGCCCGGCCAGCCCCCTGGGGCGGTGGGAACAGGTGTAATCCTCATTAAGTTTTTTCGTGGTGAAGAATGGAGATGTCAAAATAAGTAAAAAGTGGAAATGTTTAGGTCTTTGTCCACATGTTTGAATTAACAAAGCTTATCTGAATTTTTAAAAAATCAAACTCAAACCACTTTTGGTCAGCTAGCCTTAAAATTGTTTGAAAAATCATGTGAATAAATTTACCTAATTAGAAATTTTTTAGCATTTCAGTGGATTCGTGTTAATTGTGTTGTAGGATATTACAGAATGTTTAGAGAACTGAGTCACAATGAGGTTATTCTGAGTAGTGCTCTCACTAGCATAAGGTGAGAGTTAATGTAAAATTTAAAAACTGAATGAATCACATTTTAATAAGGGAACGGGTGAAAAGCAATTGGTTCATTTTTCATTATTATATTTTTCATTACTTATATGTTTTAAATATATATTTTCAATAATTTCACAAAGTTATTTATTCATTTACTCAAACTCCTACATATACCAGCCACTGTGCTGGCTTCTGGAGATCTGAATAATAATAGTTACTCCTTATAGAATGCTTATTTTATACCAGTAGATATTTTACATAGATTACCTTTTTACCTTTTTCATCTATAAGTATTTATTGAGTACCTACAATGTATTGTGCTGGGTGTTGGGGCGATAGTGGTGCACAAGACAGTCGTGATTCCTGCCCTTATCTAGGTGGGGAATCTAGGCAGGAAATAAAATATATTGCTAAACTAATAGCAGCTTTTGAAAGGTAAATCATATCACATCATTCTTCTGTTCAAAACCCTCCATTGGCTTCCTATGTCTCTCTGAGTGAATGGCAAAGACCTGACAGTGGCTCCCAGAACAACCTCTTTTGGCTTCCCTGCCTCTCCATGCTGTGACTTTCCTATCTTATCTGTTGCTCTCCTCCCTACTCGAGTGTCTACAGCCAAACCAGCTTTCTTGCTGCATGAGGGCCTTTGGACTTGTTGTGCGCTGCCTGGAATGACCCCCTGTCCCTAGCTCCCATATCTCTAATGGCTCTTGTTGATCTGACCCCCTTCACTTCTTTACTTGATGTTATTTTGTCAGTGAGCCTTCACTAACCTCCAAATTTAAAATCACAGCCATCCTCGCGACTCCCATTCCTCCTTTCATAAGTTGTTATTTTTCCTCCGTAGCACTTATGGCTATATCATATGTTGCTTGTTTATTGTCTGTCTTTTTCGGGAGATTTTATATCCTTCAGAACTGTATCACAGCTGTTTTATTCACTGTTACACCTTCAGAATCTGGAACGGTAACTGGCGTATAGCAGGTCCTCAATAACTTGAATGAGTGTTGAGTGGAAAGAAGGGTATAACAGAGTGCTGGGACATGGAATAACCAAGGCCTCCTAGAATACTGGTGAGAAGGCCTCTAGGTGGAAGTGACATTTAACTGAGACTTGAAGATGAGAAGGAGCTAGCCATGTTGTTGTGGCATAAGAGGTTGTAGAGAGGAGACAGGCATGGAAGAAGATCCGGCCGAGAGATAGGATGCTCAAAGGCCTCCAGGCAGGAAAGAGCTAGGTGGTGTGTGGATTTATTGGAACTGAGAGGTCATTGTGGCTGAGCACTGTCAAGTTAAGGGAGGGTAGGACTAAATGACAGGGTGGAAATCAGGTGTCAGATCATGCAGGGCCTTTCTGGAGAAATTAACATGGAATCCTCATATGTAGCCTATTAGCCCTTTTTATGGTTTAAGAAACTGGGCATCAGGGAGATTGAATAACTTTCTGAGATTATGCAGTAGGTGAGTGGCAGCGCCTAGAATACAAAGCCAGGCTCGCAGACTCTAACGAACCTGTATCTGACCACTATGTCAAAATCAAAAGACAGTCCCTGTCCTGGTGAAGCTGTTAGTCTAGTGGGAAGACAAGCTATTGCAGTATACACATGTGCTCCTGGGGGCTGTGGGAGGAGGGAAGCCCCTAGTTCTGCCTGGGAGTGGGACAGGCCAAATTGGAAACATACAATCATTTTTCCTTTTTTATTATTGTGAAATATTTCAGATTGGCAACATCTTAATTAAGAAATAATATTAAATACAATAGCCTATTCTCTGAGTCTTCACTGTATGTTCCCCTCCTTTTTTTCTTTTTAAAGACAAAATGCTTGCTTTCACATGTACAAAGGATCTGTGTCATAATGCCCCCTTTCCTACTTTCATCAAATAAAAGATTATGTCTGGAGTAGTGTAAATTCACTTATTTTATTTTTTTGAGACAAGGTCTCGTTCTATCACCCAGGCTGGAGTACAGTGGTGCGATCATGGCTCACTGTAGCCTCTACCTCCTGGGCCCAAGTGATTCTCCCACCCCGGCCTCCCAAGTAACTGACTACAGGTGCACACTACCATGCCTGGCCAACTGTGAATTTTTTTGTAGAGAAGAGGTCTCACCATGTTGCCTAGGCTGGTCTCCAACTCCTGGCCTCAAGTGATCCTCCCACCTCAGCCTCCCAAAGTGCTGGATTACAGGCATGAGTCTGCCCTTGGCCTCGTGTTTACATTTGAGAAGTTTTTGACTTATGTATAGACCTGTGGAACTGTCTCCCTGTAGCTCCTTGCTATACCCTGAATCCCTCTTCCTCATCCAGCCAATGATAGCTTTCTGTCTCTGTGGATTAGTTTGCGTTTTTTAGAATGTTATGTAAATGGAATCATGTAGTAAGTTCTCTTCTTTGCCTGGCTTTTGCTTAGCATAATTATTTTGAGACTCATCCACATTGTATCAATAGCTGATTTCTTTTTATTGTTAAGTAATACTCCATTGTACTGATAGACGCCAGTTCATGTATCTTTTCACCCATTGATAGACATTTAGGTTGTTTCTGGTTTTGGGCTATTAAAAATAAAGCTGCCATGAACATTATACACAGTCTTTGTATGCATATCTTTCATTTCCCCTGGGTAGATGTCTAGGAGTAGAATGACTAGATCCTATGGTAGGCATATGTTTAATTTTTCAAAGAACTACTATACTTTTCCAAAGTGGTTATATAATATAACCAAAATAGTCTATGAGGGTTCCAGTTGCCCCAGATCCTTGCCAACAGTTGGGGTGGTTAGGCTTTTATAGCCATTCTGTTGGGTGTGTAGTGACACCTCATTGTGGTTTTAATTTCCATTTCCCTGATGACTAATGATGTTGAGCATCATTTCATATGCTTATTTACCATCCATTTATCTTCTTTGTTGAAGTGTCTACTCAAATTTTTTGCCCGTTTTCTTGCATTGTTTTCCTTCTTATTGAGTTTTGAGAGTTCTTTGTGTATTCTGGATGCAAGTCATTTGTCACGTGTAAGATTTGCAAATATTTCCATTCAGTCTTATCTTAGTCCATTTTGTGCTGCCATTACAGAATACCATAGATTGGGTAATTTATAATGAACAGAAATTTATTGGCTCATGGTTCTAGAATCTGGGAAGTCTAAGATTGATGGGGCGACATCTGGTGAGAGCATTTTTGCTGTATCATTACATGACAGAAGGGCAAAGAGAGGGTGAGAAAGAAGCAAAATGGAGCTGTTTTATTATTTTTATTTTATTATTTATTTATTTATTTAAGACACAGTCTCACTCTGTCACCCAGGCTGGAGTGCAGTGACACAGTCTCAGCTCACTGCAACCTCTGCCTCCTGGGTTCTAGTGATTGTGGTACCTGGGATTACAGGTGTGCGTCTCCACACCGGCCTTTTTTTTTTTTTTTTTTTTTTTTTTTTTTTTGATTTTTAGTAGAGACAGGGTTTCACTGTGTTGGCCAGGATGGTCTTGAACTCCTGGCCTCAAGTGATCTGCCCACCTTGGCCTCCCAAAGTGCTGGGATTACAGGCATGAGCCACTGCACCCAGCCTATTTTTTTTTTTGAGACAGTATCTCGCTGTGTTGCCCAGGCTGGAGTGCAGTGGCTTGATCTCAGCTCACTGCAACCTCTGCCTCCCAGGTTCAAGCGATTCTCCTGCCTTAGCCTCCTGAGTAGCTGGGACTCCAGGTGCGTGCCACCACTCTCAGCCTGATTTATTCCTTTATAAGGAACCCACTCCTGCGATGATGGCATTAATCCATTAATGACAGCAGAGCCCTTATAACCTATCACCTGATAAAAGTTCCATCTCTTAATACTGTAATATTGTAACAGTATTGCCTCTTAATAATGTTACGATGGCGATTAAATTTCACCAGAGTTTTGGAGGGGACATTTAAACCATAGCAAATTTATTACATTCTCTTAACAATATCTTTTGAAGATACTGTTCTTAATTTTGATGAAGTACAATTTGTCAATTTATTCTTTATGGATTGTACTTTTGGTATTATTATCTAAGAAATCTGCCTAATTCAAAGTCAAAAAGGCTTTCTCCTATGATTTTTTTCTAAAATTTTTATAGGTTTTGGTTTAACATTTAGGTTCATGTACTTTAATTTTTGTTTATGGTGTGAATATGGGTGGAAGTTTACCCCACCTATGCCAGGAACATTTGGTAATTTTTGGAGACAGTGTCTGGAAACCATGTCTGGTGTAGGGACGAGGGGCATTTGTTCCCAGCCATCTACTGGGCAGAAGTCTAGGATGCTGCTAGATACCCTACAGTGGATAGGTGAGATCCTCTCAATAGAGAATTATTCAGCCAAAGTGTTAGTAGTGCCAGGGTTGAGACACTCTAGGCTTGAGGTTTATTAATTTTATTGAACTCCATGAACCAGCTGTTGGTTTCATTGATATTGTTTAATATTTTTCTATTTTCCCTTTGATTGATTTTCACTCAGATCTTTATTTTTCCCTTCTACTTTTGGGTTTAATTTGTTCTTATTCCAGTTTCCTTAGGTCATTGATTTGTGACTTTTCTTCTTTTCTGATATAGGTGTTTAGTCTTTTAAATTTATTCCTCAGTACTACTTTAGTGACATCTCACAAATTTTGATATGGTGTGATTTTATTTGTATTTAGTTAAAAATACTTTTAAAATTGGCTGGGCGTGGTGGCTCACACCTGTAATCCCAGCAGTTTGGGAGGCCAAGGCAGGCGGATCACGAGGTCAAGAGCTGGAGACCAGCCTGGCCAACATAGTGAAATCCCATCTCTACTAAAAATACAAAATTAGCTGGGTGTGGTGGCACATGCCTGTAATTCCAGCTACTTGGGAGGCTGAGGCAGGAGAATTGCTTGAACTCAGGGGGTGGAGGTTACAGTGAGCTGAGATCATGACGCTGCAGTCCAGCCTGGGCAACAGAGCAAGACTCTGCCTCGGGAAAAAGAGAAAACAAAGAAAGAAGCAAGTCACTATGTGCAGCCTGCACTAAAGGAGTGGACTCCACTCCTTTCCTCCCTCCTTTCTCTCTTTTCTTTCTCTCTCTCTTTCTCCCTTCTCCCCTTCCTTCCCTCCCTCCCTCCCTCCCTCCCTCCCTTCCTCCCTTCCTTCCTTCGTTCCTACCATCTGTCTGTCTGTCTAGCTTTGTTGCCCAGCTGGCTGGAGTGCAGTGGCACCATCTTGGCTCACTGCAACCTCTGCCTCTCTGGCCCAAGTGATCTGCCTGCTTTGGCCTCCCAAAGTACTAGGATTATAGGTGTGAGCCTCTGTGCCTGGCCTAGAAACTAATTTTCTTAAACTAAATCCACTAAATTATCATAGAGCAGACCATTGCTGTTATAGAAACATATTTTAGAATACTGCAGAGTATTACAATATTCAGAGCACCTGCACTTGGAGAACCCTCCCCTCCAGACAGGTTCTGCAGGGTGCACTGCCTCCTTTTCTTTCCTCTGGGCTGCATTAGGAGGAGGGAGGTGAATGGGGAGAAGGAATCAATCTTCCTGTGTTGACATTTTCCAGACCCTGAGAAACGTTGAGTTGAAAGATAAGTGTGAAAGCATCTCTTTCTTTTGATGGTGTGTGAGATGAAAAGCACTTGCTAATAGCCCCTCAGGTCAAAGTAACACATTTGACAAAAAGGAGCCTCAAGCTTTTGCTTGTCAGTGTCCATATTTGATTGGAAATTTCAATCTGAGATTTGGTGCTTGGATTTTCCTAGAATTTGCCAATTACTTGTTGCTCTGGTTCCAGCTGACTTTTAGTCTTCCTTTGGGTACTACCACTGGGTGCAGTTTGTTATCAGTGAGTAGCTCTTCTCTATCGGGCTGTGTAAATGTACCCCTATTTAATTCATTCAACAAATTATTTTTTAAATACTTATTGAATCTGGGCTCTGACACACAGGTAAAAGTCAATGTCTCTTGCCACTTGTAAGCTGTCTAGAAGCAGAAAGGCCCATAAGCAGAGGAACATGCAATCAGTGGGGTAATTGGTAGTCACTGCAGTGGAAACATGAGCAGGGCAAAGCATGGTCAGCTGGAGCAGTGGTTCTCAAAGTAGGGTCCAGGGACCAGGAGCAGCCAACCTATTGAGTATAACCTTGACAGTGGGGCCCAGCAATCTGTGTTTAATAAGCCTTCTAAGTGATTCTGATGCATGCTCCAGACTGTGAACCATGGGCATAGAGGATTAGACAATCTTTGAGATTTTTTCCAGCTCTTCAAGTCTATGCATATGGTTAAGAAATGTGATATTTACCACATTGTTTTTTTTTTTTTTTTTTGAGACGGAGTCTTACTCTGTTGCCCAGGCTGGAGTGCGGCGGCACAATCTCAGCTCACTGCAACCTTCGCCTCCTGGGTTCAAGCGATTATCCTACCTCAGACTCCTGAGTAGCTGGGATTACAGGTGCGCACCACCACGCCCAGCTAATTTTTGTATTTTTAGTAGAGACGGGGTTTCACCATGTTGGTCATGCTGGTCTCGAACTCCTGACCTCGTGATCCGCCCACCTCAGCCTCCCAAAGTGCTGGGATTACAGGCATGAGCCACCGTGCCTGGCCCTACCCCGTTGTATTTTAAGAGCATTAGTTGGCACTAATATCATATAAAACATTAATTGCAGTGTAGGCTGGGCACTGTAGCATATGCCTGTAATCCCAGCATTTTGGGAGGCTGAGGCGAGAGGATCACATGAGCCCAGGAGTTTGAGACCAGCCTGGGCAACATAGTGAGACCCCAATCTCAAAAAAAAAAATTAGCTGGGCTATGGTGGTGCATGTCTATAGTCCCAGGTACTAGGGAGGCTGAGGTGGGAGGATCGCCTGAGCCTGGGGGATTGAGGCTGCAGTGAGCCGTGAGAGACACAGTGAGACCCCGACTAAAAAGAAAAAAAGGAATGTAGGTAAAACAAATTCAATTTTACTATGTGTGTTGTTGAAGTGAGCACATAAAACAAATTCAAAATGATACAGTTATGTTTGACAGTGGAGCAATAGTAAATTGGACTTAAAAAACTTTATTATGAAAAATTTCAAATATATTCAAAAGCAGAGATAATAGTAAAATGTACTATTGCATAACGATTACCCAGAATGAATATTATTAAATCCTGTCAATCTGGTTTTACCCAGGTCCTCACATATCCCACCCGTGCTGGATTATTTTGAAGCAAATTTTATACATCATATCATTTTATCCTTAAATAATTGGATTTTAAATTATTTGAGATATTAAAGTGCTAGAAATGAATTTGAAACCAAATCATGTGTAGCCATTTCCTGGTTTCCCTTACATTATAGATAAAACTTATCTAGAGCTAATTTACACAAAAGTTGGATAAAACAAAACAACAGTTGGACACATGTACATATATTCGTATTTGCATAACATCTACTAAAAGTATACTTTTTTTGTTGTTGAGGCGAAGTCTCGCTCTGTCACCCAGGTGGGAGTGCAGCGTGGTGTGATTATGGCTTATTGCAGCCCTGACCTCCTTGGCTCAAGTGATCCTCCAGCCTCGTGTTTTGATATTTTGTAGAGACCGAGATCTCACTGTGTTGCCCAGGCTGGTCTCAAACTTCTGGGCTCAAGAAATCCTCCTGCTTTAGCCTCCTAAGGGGCTGGGATTAGAGGCGTGAACCACTGTGCCTGGCAAAAATAAGTATACTTGTCACTACCGTGAATACATTTTATTAAAACATTTTATTTACTGTCATTATGTTAGCAATATGTGCATTATACTTATAGATAATATTCTAGAATAGTAAGAAAGACTATACACGCATGCCCTGCCAAAATTGAATTGTTGCACTTGAAGGGGAAATTTTAATTTGAAAGGCAGGTTTTTAGGAAGGTAGATATTAGGTTTTGGGGCAGTTTTTATTAGAAGGTTTTGGGGCAGTTTTGTTTTTTTTTTGTTTTGTTTTGTTTTTTTGGAGACAGAGTCTCACTCTGTTGCCAGGCTGGAGTGCAGTGGCGTGATCTTGGCTCACTGCAGCCTCTGCCTCCTGGGTTCAAGTGATTCTACTGCCTCAGCCTCCTGAGTAGCTGGAGCTATAGGCATGCACCACCACACCTGGCTAATTTTTGTATTTTTAGTAGAGGTGGAATTTCACCATGTTGGCCAGGCTGATCTCAAACTCTTGGCCTCAAGTGACCTGCCCGCCTCAGCCTCCGAAAATGCTGGGATTATGGGCCTGAGCCACCGTGCCTGGCCTTGGGGCAGATTTTTAATATATGTAAATTAAGAATTCTCAGTACTCATTTCAGCAGTTATGTTGCCTCATTTGGAAAGAAAAGGTATTCAGCATGTGGGGATGCATAATACATTTTAAAAATCCGTTCGTCTTAGTCAATGTGCTCCATGGTGTCTTTTTTTCAAGGTTCGAGATGACACATTTAGTAGGAGATCAGGTTATGGGATAGTTCATGTTTGGAGAGGGGACAGAATTGATTTACAGACATACCACCTGTTTTCTCCTACTTTGGCTTTGGAGGACAAGTTGTAGTATCCTGAGGAAAAGCTGATTGTATCACTTATGACTGAGATTTTCATCTTTAGCCGCTTCTGTGTGATACATGAATTAATGGGTCATAACATAGGAGTTAGCTAATTTTCATTTTAAAATATTACTCAGAAGATATTTTTATCTTAATTGTACATTTCAACAACATAAATAAGCTGTTCAAGACTGTCTCCCATGCCTCCAAAACAAATAAAAACCCCCCACAACTCAAATGCATATAAGCTGTTACTATAGTATAATGGTGAGTTATAGCCAGTGTATGATGGGATTGTTGATAGAATAATGCATATTAGAGCTTTTAGTTCAAAAATTTGAGATAGTGATTCAGAAAGAAAAAAAGGAATGATTATCATGAATTCTGTTTATTAGAATTCTGTTTATTAAAGAGTTAAAGATATGTTTTATTTTTTTATCTTTATTATCATTATTTTTTCGAGATGGAGTTTCGCCCTTGTTGCCAGCGCTGGAGTGCAGTGGTGTGATCTTGGCTCACTGCAACCTCCACCTCCCGGGTTCAAGCAATTCTGCCTCAGCCTCCTGAATAGCTGGGATTACAGGCGCACGGCACCACGCTTGACTAATTTTTTGTATTTTTCGTAGAAACGGGGTTAGCCAGGCTGGTCTCGAACTCCTGACCTCAGGTGATCCACCCGCCTCAGCCTCCCAAAGTGCTGGGATTACAGGTGTGAGCCACGGCGCCTGGCCAAGATGTGTTTTATTATTTGCACTTGTGTAATGGCAAAGAAAATAGGTTACTAAGCTTGCTCTTGTTAGAATATCCTTTGTAGTCACTCATTTGATGATGTTGAGTAAGAATCTTTCCTCTGTTAATACGTCTTTGTTTAAAAGAAAATAAGTTACCTTTGTAGTCTTTGTACATTTTTCTTTGCAGAAAGTTTCCCCTCTGCTGGATAATAATTAATTTTATAAAAGTGTTTAATCCAGTACTGATTATATTCCCTTGTGAGCTGGATGAAAAGAAACTTCTGAATGTTTGTAACCACAGATTGATGATTTGGTTACAAAGACTCTCTGTTGGTGATGGTTTCTGAGAACTGGAAGGTAAGCTTGTTCCTTGGGTGAGTCATCATGTTGTCTTGCAGTCGGTCATGTGTTTTCTTAGCAACTGCTGTTGATTTCAGGTTTGAGCAGGGTGAGCATGTTTTGAAGTGATCCAACAGATTCTTTTAGGTTATATATGGCTGCTAAATCTTATACACTTACTGTTACTATTATGTGTCTTACAAGGAGTGAAAGATTGAATTCTTTTTTTATCTCTACCTTCCAAATCATTTCTTTTCTAATTTGTTTTTCAGGGGTAGTGAGGACTGGGAGTGGGGGTAAAAAAGGAGAAAAATAAATGAATCTGGGATATCATGAGTCTGCCTGTTTATGCCCCTGGACTAGAGCAGAACCAAAAGGACCTCCATGTGCTGATAGGGTTAAATATGATTTCCTGGGGTGTTGATCTTGAGTAATACTCCGTGTGCATACATTCTATAGGAACAAGTGAATTTTAGAAATGTCTGTGGTATAGTGTAGTGGTTAAAAGCTTGGGTTCTGAAATCAGTCTGACCCCTGGTTCAAATTCTAGCTTTGCCATATACTAGAGGTGTTATTTTGGGCAAATTACTTAACCTCTCTGAGTAGAGTTTCCTCATCTGTAAAAGTGAAACTAAAATCCCACGTACTTATATTACTGAGATAATACAGGTAACAGAAAGCATAGTACCTATAGAACACATGGTAACAAATGCTAGTTATTACATTCAGTTCAAGGGTGCAGTACACAAGGGGCTAGGTATCAGGTGTTTAGGGGACAGTCAGAAATGAATCATATATGAGCCCTAATTCTTCAGGAACTGGGGGAGATGGCCTTGTAAACAAGTCACTGTAGTATTATCTAGAATGGAAGAAGTGCCAACTGAAGTACAAGCAAGGTGCTGTGGGTGCATAAAGCAAGTGATGCCAACTTTGGGGAAGTTAGGGCTAATTTTGTAAAGCATTTGCCATTTGAGCTGAGGGTGTATTGCCAGGCCTAGAATGATGAGTAGGGCTTTTATGGGTGGAGAGTGGAGGAGAGTGATTCTCCTGCCTTAGCCTCCCAAGTAGCTGGAGGCTACTCCCAAGTGGAGGAGAGTAGATTTTGTATTTTTAGTAGAGATGGGGTTTCACCATGTTGAGCAGGCTGGTCTTGAACTCCTGACCTCAGGAGAATCACGTGAACCCAGGAGGTGGAAGTTGCAGTGAGCCGAGATCACGCCACTGCACTCCAGCCTGGGCAACAAGAGCAAAACTCTGTACCCACCCCCCCCCCAAAAAAAAAGAAAAGAAAAAAGAAATTTATCTGGCCTTTAAAAAAAAGAACACCAGGCTGGGCAACCAAGCAAGACCTTGTTTTTACAAATCAAAAACAAAAAACCTGTTTCCATCTACTTCTGAGATTCCTTTTTCTTTAGCATATCTTCTAGCTCATTAAAAAAGGATTTATGGATCTTCTTGGAAGATAACACTTCCAACAACAAAAATGTTCCTTCTGACCCTTTATCTCCAATGACTTGGATTACAAAATTCTTCAATTTTCTTTTCATGGAATTTCAGACTATAGTTTTGAGATTTCTAAGAAATATTTTTTTCCTTATCTCAAATCCTTCCCTGTAGAAATATCCCTGATATGTCCTCAGCCCCCAAAATACATATAATATGTTCTCAACCAACAAGAAACACCACTTAAGTTGTTTCCTCTCCGCTGGTGAACAATTAGAACACTGCTTTAAAAATGTCTTATGCATTCCACAACATTTTCCTGAGTAGAAACAAAACTCGAAACACCAAAGGAACTTGAGATGTCAGACTACTAAAACAAAAGAAAATCTCTGTGGTATTCTTTGGGTGAACTCTTTCAATTTACTTAAAAAGCTGGCCAACTAAGAGAGGTACTAAGATTTGCATCTGTTTTAAAACACTTATTTTGGCCAGGCATAGTTGCTCACACCTGTAATCCCACCACTCTGGAAGGCAAAGGTGGGAAAATCGCTTGAGCCCAGGAGTTCAAGACCAGCCTCAGCAACACAGCTAGACCCCATCTCTATTCTTTTTTTTAAAAAGCTTATCTCAGTATTTCTATATTCCTTTGGACAACCTACAGTGCAAAAAAAGTGAAATATCAGTGACACCTACTTTGTTATAGCTTAAAAGTGAGAACAGGTAAATTCTCTAACATACATGATCAAAATTGTAAGTTCTGTATTTGAAAATAATGATAAAACAGCAATAAGAATCACTGGCTGGGCGTGGTAGCTCATGTTGAAATCCCAGCACTTGGAGGCCAAGGCAGGAGAATCACTCGAGCCCAGGAATTCAAGACCAACCTAGGCAACATAGTGAGATCCCGTCTCTACAAAAAATTTAAAAATTAGCCAGGTGTGGTGGCACACAACTGTAGTTCCAGCTCCTCAGGAGACTGAGATGGGAGAATTGCTTGAGCCCAGAAGATGGAGATTGTGCCACTACACTTCAGCCTTGGCAATAGAGCGAGACCCTCTCTCCAACAAAAAAAGAAAAAATTGTTAATATTTATTTAGTACTCAATTGGTGCCAGACACTTTACATGCACCATCTCTTTGATCCTATGTTATAAGCCTATAACACAGAAACCATCTACCTCATTTAAGGAAACAGAGAGGTTAAATAACTTGTCCAAACCATACAGCAAGTTACTGGCAAGACTGGCTTGAACACAAGTCTGTTGGGCTCCAAAGCCCATGTCCTTAAACAGTACCATGAGAGAACTCTTAATGGACAAGATATATCCAGTCTACTCATTTACCCCATGATTCTGTACAGAAACTTAGCACAGCACATTTATATGAGCATTCAACATATGAAGTAGTTAACAGATTAATATAGTTACCAAACTAAAATTGGCCTATGTTAATTTCTATTCTCAGTTCTTCTGTGCCCTTCCTCCTCTTAAAAAAAAAAAAAAAAAGAGAGAGAGAGAGAAAGGGCCAGGTGTGGTGGCTCACGCCTGTAATCCCAGCACTTTGGGAGGCCGAGGCAGCTGGATCACCTGAGGTCAGGAATTCGACACCAGCCCGGCCAACAAGGCTAAACCTTGTCTCTACTAAAAATACAAAAATTAGCCAGGTGTGGTGGCACATACCTGTAGTCCCAGCTACTGAGGAGGCTGAGGCAGGAGAATCGCTTGAACCCAGGAGGTGAAGGTTGCAGTAAGCCGAGGTCACACCACTGCACTCCAGCCTGGATGACAGAGCGAGACTCTGTCTCAAAAAAAGAATAAAAAGAATAAAAAGAATGAAAGAATGAAAGAAAGAGAGAGAAAGAAAGCAAGCCAGCCAGCCAGCCAGCCAGCCAAGGTGGTTCATGCCTATAATCCCAGCCCTTTGGGAGGTTGTGGCAGGAGGATCACTTAAATCTGGGAGTTCAAAACCCACCTGGACAATATAGCAAGACCCCAACTCTTGAAAAAAAATTGCTTTAATTAGCTAGACGTGGTGGCATGAACCTGTGTTGGGAGACTAAGGTGGGAAGATCGCTCGAGCCCAGGAGTTTGAGGCTGCAGTAAGCTATAATCATGCCACTGCACTCTAGCATGGACTACAGAGTAAGACTGTCTAAAAAAAGAAAAAAAAGAAAAAGAAGCTTTTTGCCCACTGTTGCAGTTAACTGGCAAACTTGTGTAATAAATTAACTAACAGAACTGGTTTAGCAACAAATGAGATGCACAAGGTCTTTAAATTATAACCCTAGGTATGTTGGTGATTTGAAAGGTGACCTAACAGCATTTAAAGTAAGTTATATTTTATATTTATGGGGCTTTCAAAACCACAGTCAAAAATAAGAACCCAAGCCTGAGTAACATGGCAAAACCCCATCTGTACAGAAAACACAAAAATTAGCCAGGCGTGGTGGTGCACACCTGTAGTCCCAGCTGCTAAGGAAGCTGATGTGAGAGGATTGTTTCAGCTCAGGAGGCAGAAGGTACAGTGAGCCGAGATCATGCCACTGCACTCGAGCCTGGACAGCAGAGTGAGACCCTGCCTTAAAAAAAAAAAAAAGGAAGAACCCATATTGATGAAATCTTAGTAATAAACCCTGATATCAAATACCTAGGTGAAAAGGAAAAAGGTCAAATTCTAGCTACTTTGCCTAATTATTCCCAAGGTCCCAGGTGTCAGAAACATTTAAATAAGATAAACATAAAATTGTCCATAGCAATTATCTCTAGGAAGAGAGACTGCAAGAATGGAAAATGAAAGTAATATGGGGAAGGGCTTTTGCCTATGTGTGCATGTGTGCGTGTGTGTGTATGTGTGTGTGCTGGGGTTTTTGTAATAACAAAAATTCCTTAAAAGGCATTCAAAGTCTGATCAGACTTAATTTTTATCTGCATCCATGAGCTTGGCATAAGGATTACACATTTCATTATCTAATAAAGGGGACACCATTAAGGAAAAGAGCAACATTCTCTCTGCCCCTTTGGCCTCTCCAATTGAACTAAAACAAGACTTATTAAGTTTTTACCCACTCCAAAACAAATGTTTCCATTTCATCAGAAGCAAGAGAGAAAAATCTTAAAGGACATTAACCTTCAAGCAGCTCCGAAGGGAAAGGAATATTAGAACTTGAGAAATAAAATGGAGAATGAAACTCCCTTGACACTCTTCAGGTAACAAGGAGAACCACACAGTTAAAGAGCTATTCCCTCCTCATAGTGAAACCCTGAGGTGGAAACTGATGAAAAGTGTCCCAGAGAGCAGCCTGCTCGCTGCCTCTGGTACTCACTCATTTATCCATTCTTCTGAGCTTAAAGAGAAAAGATAAAAATGAGAAGTGCTTTAAAATTAAAGTTGATGTTTAAATATCACGTCTCTTCTGAGCCCCTACTTTTTCATCTTAAAAATACTATTTCCAGCCAGGCATGGTGGCTCATGTCTGTAATCCCAGCACTTTGGGAGGCCGAGGTGGATCTCCTGAAGTCAGGAGTTTGAGACCAGCCTGGTCAACATGGTGAAACCCCATCTCTACTAAAAATACAAAAATTAGCCGGGCGTGGTGGCGGGCACCTGTAATCCCAGCTACTCGGGAGGCTGAGGCAGGAGAATCGCTTGAAACGGAGGTGGTGGGGGAAGGGGGCAGAGGTTGCAGTGAGCTGAGATCGCGCCACTGCACTTGAGCCTGGGCAACAAGAGCGAAACTTTGTCTCAAAAAAAAAAAAAAAAAAAAAAACTGCTCCCAATAAATAATTTGCAAAGGTGCTTAGCATAAAACCTGAGACACAGTGGGTACACAATAAAATGTTAGCTTCCTTCTTTCAGAACTGAATTTCCAACTGCCGGATAGATCTCGCACTAATCTTTGAGTTCACAAGACCCATTAGCCCACCCCATTGCTGGAATATCCAATTTATCCCATACCTTCTCCTCCTGTATTTTCTCTCTCTCAAGTAATAGCATGAACATTGTCTTTGGCACCTAGTTTCGAATTGTCTGTCTTCTATCTCCTTTTAATCCCCTCTGACTCTGTTCTCCAAATGTCTTCATCACTCACCTGAATTTCTGAAACATCCTTGTAATTGGACTCCTGCCTCTCTAATACATCTTTCAAAACATTATTGCGAAACACAGCTCACACCAAACACCTGCTTTGGTTCCCCATTGGCCATGAGAATATAGTCTGAACACTTGTGTGTGAAAAACCCTCCAAAATATAACCACAAATCATCTATCCAGCCTTCTCTCCCACCACACCCTGCCATTAACCCTGTGCTTTTCTTCAGCCCACAATCTACTCTCCTCCACTCTCCACCCATAAAAGCCCTACTCATCATTCTAGGCCTGGCAATACACCCTCAGCTCAAATGGCAAATGCTTTACAAAATTAGCCCTAACTTCCCCAAAGTTGGCATCACTTGCTTTATGCACCCACAGCACCTTGCTTGTACTTCAGTTGGCACTTCTTCCATTCTAGATAATACTACAGTGACTTGTTTACAAGGCCATCTCCCCCAGTTCCTGAAGAATTAGGGCTCATATATGATTCATTTCTGACTGTCCCCTAAACACCTGATACCTAGCCCCTTGTGTACTGCACCCTTGAACTGAATGTAATAACTAGCATTTGTTACCATGTGTTCTATAGGTACTATGCTTTCTGTTACCTGTATTATCTCAGTAATATAAGTACGTGGGATTTTAGTTTCACTTTTACAGATGAGGAAACTCTACTCAGAGAGGTTAAGTAATTTGCCCAAAATAACACCTCTAGTATATGGCAAAGCTAGAATTTGAACCAGGGGTCAGACTGATTTCAGAACCCAAGCTTTTAACCACTACACTATACCACAGACATTTCTAAAATTCACTTGTTCCTTTAGAATGTATGCACACGGAGTATTACTCAAGATCAACACCCCAGGAAATCATATTTAACCCTATCAGCACATGGAGGTCCTTTTGGTTCTGCTCTAGTCCAGGGGCATAAACAGGCAGACTCATGATATCCCAGATTCATTTATTTTCCAGCTGTTTTTTTCTCATCTACTGTCATTTTACTTTTTTAAATTTAAATTTAAATTTTTAATTTTACTTTTTTGTCTTTAACCAGTTAGAATGCTAAGATTTGATGGTTAAATAAGACCAAGTATCAAATATTTAGTACGAACTCTCCATTTATCAATGCGGTTGCACAGAAATGGATGGTTCTTTGGAGGCAGAGTTAAAGAGTAATACAAACTCAAGAAGGACAGAAAGGAACTAATTTTGGGGAGATTTGAATTTTTTTTTTTTTTTTGAGACAGAGTTTCACTTTTGTTGCCCAGGCTGGAGTGCAATGGCTGGATCTCAGCTCACTGCAACCTCTGCCTCCTGGGTTCAAGCGATTCTCCTGCCTCAGCCTCCTGAGTAGCTGGGATTACAAGCATGGGCTGCCATGCCCGGCTAATTTTTTTGTATTTTTAGTAGAGACGGGGTTTCTCCATGTTGGTCAGGCTGGTCTCGAACTCCCAACCTCAGATGATCCGCCTGCCTCAGCCTCCCAAAGTGCTGGGATTACAGGCATGAGCCACCGTGCCTGGCGAGATTTGAATTTTTTAAAAAAATTCCACTAGAACAAGTATTTCCTTAACATTCTAGTATGAAAACCATTATCTAAAGTGGTTTTAAAAGAGATGTCATTTTTTTTTTTTTTAATCTTTCAGAGACAGGGTCTCACTGTGAGAACCCCAGCTAACTTTTATGTTTTTTGTAGAGATGGGGTTTCGCCATGTTGCCCAGGCTGGTCTCAAACTCCTGAGCTTAAGCTGCCTGCCTGCCTCAGCCTCCCAAAGTGTTAGGATTACAGGTGTGAGCCACTGCACCTGGCCAACTTAAATTATATCTATATATAGATATTGTTTAAAAATTACATAATATTTAGGACCTATGAAAAGGTATAAATGATTATACAGTAAGTATATACCTGCTTTAGCATCCTAGTTCAGAAATAAAATATTGCTAATTTGGTTGTGACCTCTTCCTCCTCCCCAGAGGAAGCTGCTGTACTGAATTTGGTATTTATCATGCTTATGTGTTGCTTAACAATTTTGTTGCATATGAATGTTAAGGTTGATTTTCAAAGTATTTGACAGCTGGTAGTGTGTGGGCCCGGCCGTGTCAAGTTGTACCAGCCTAATATTAGTCCTATCATGGATCCCTGGGAGATACTTTAAGATTCTATCCAGCTTGGTGCGGTGGCTCATGCCCGTAATCCAAGCACTTTGGGAGGCTGAGGCGGATGGATCTTGAGGTCAGGAGTTCGAGACCATCTTGGCTAACATGGTGAAACCCTGTCTCTACTAAAAATAAAAAAAATTAGCCAGGCATGGTGGCACACGCCTGTAATCCGAGCCACTTGGGAGGCTGAGGCAGGAGAATCACTTGAACCTGGGAGGTGGAGGTTGCAGTGAGCCAAGATGGTTTGTCACTGCACTCCACACCCTGGTGACAAAGCGAGACACCATCTCAAAAAAAAAAAAGACAAGAAAAATCCAACAAGAGTCTAATTGGCTGGGCATGGTGGCTCACACCTATAATCCCAGCACTTTGGGAGGCCGAGGCGAGTGGATCACCTGAGGTCAGGAGTTTGAGACCAGCCTGGCCAATATGGTGAAATCCCATCTCTACTAAAAATACAAAAATTAGCCGCACGTGGTGGTGGTGACGGGTGCCTGTAATCCCGGTTACTTGGGAATCTGAGGCAGGAGAATCGCTTGAAACCGGGAGGCAGAGGCTGCAGTGGCCTAAGATCACACCACTGTACTCCAGCCTGGGCAACAGAGTGAGACTCTGCCTCAAAAAAAAAAAAAAAAAAAAGATGATATGTAATTAATATTACAGTTTTACTGTATGTTGCACATTCTTCTGCAAGTTGCTATCTTTCCTCTCAACTGTGAGATTCATCCGTCTTGGTATATATGTAACTCTGATTCATTGATTTTCATTGTTTAATATTCCATTGTATTAGTATGTCTCAGTTTATCCATTCACTTATTGGTTGATATTTAGTTTTTTATGTCTCCTTCTAGGACCCACCTGTTCACGTCTTTTGCTTATTTTCCTGTTGGGTTGTTTGTCTTTTTCGTTTTGATTTGTAGGTGTATTGTTTTTGTAGTTTTCTGGAAACAGTTACTCATTAACATGCACATAAACCACATAATGACAGCTTTGCCTTTCCGATATTATTGGAGCTACATATAGCTACTCATATTTGAAAATGGGTATACTCTAATCAGACTGATGTGAAGTACATAAGTAGAATTGTCTGAGTGTTAATATGCCAGTGACTGTAGATATAAACATATTTCTTTATTTAGAATGGATATGACTTACTTTTTTTTTTGATAAAGATTAATTTCCCCATATTTCCATAGTCATGCAGGTGAAGGTGTGGACTCTACAGTACTCTAAAGTGTGAGTACTTACCTTTTTTGTTTTTTGTTTTTTTTTAGATGGAGTCTAGCTCTGTTGCCCAGGCTGGAGTATAATGGCACGATCTCGGCTCACTGTAACCTCCGCCTCCCGGGTTCAAGCGATTCTTTTGCCTCAGCCTCCCAAGTAGCTGGGAGTACAGGCGCCCAACACCACGCCTAGCCAATTTTTGTATTATAGAGATGGGGTTTCACTGTGTTAACCAGAATGGTCTTGATCTCCTGACCTCGTGATCCACCTGCCTCGGCCTCCCAAAGTGCTGGGATTACAGGCGTGAGCCACTGCACCCGGCCAAGTACTTACCTTTGTAAGAAATCATAAGATTCTCATTTTTTTCTCCATTAACTACATAAAGCAGGACAATGGTTGGCACCATTGCTTCCTCACTGAACTGTGGATGGGTCTCAGCATGCAAAGGAAGTAGAAAGTGAATGGGAGGACGGCGGCTGTTGCTCAGAAGTTCCTTCCATAATTTGATTTATTAACACTATTTGGGTTGTTCATGGCTTGGTTTTCCCTCCCTTTTTCCTCCAGTGAACGGTGACTTGACAGAGGTACATAGGAGGCTACTTGTTCTCTTGTTGGCTGCTTGTATTTGCTTTCTGGAAGGTTATTGTTTTCAAGGATCTTAAGCACCTGGATTAGGACAGTTAAAAACCATTTGTTAGCTTGGAAAATGTCATCTTCCTCTTTATCCTGCTGTCCTGGCTGTGTGCTTCCTTCTCTCCCTTCCTGTATCTCTCTTCCTTACAGATTGCTTGCATTACGTATCTATGAGATGTCCGTCTGTCAGAGTGTTTAACGTGTTGTTCATTGTAGTTCTTTAAAACCTTCTTATAGTTGCACAAAAAGACGTAAACATTTAAAAATACTTTTGGTACTGGAGGTTGCCTTTTCCTGGAGCATTGCATCTGATTTCCTTGTTATTTGTAGACTAAATCCTACTGAACGCTGTGGCTCTCCCTGCCTGCCCTCTGCTCCACTGTCTCTGCTTCTCACCTCCTGGCTCTGCAGGCCTCTTTTGTTGTTGGGAGCTAACAAAGTACCATAATTTGCTAGATGTCGCAGGAAGATGACAGGCCAAGGGGTTCCAGGAAGGATATCTATGTAACCTGCCTGAGCTCTCTTATCTTTAAAATTGCCACTAACTAGCCTTGTCTCTCTTGGGAATAGCCAGAACTTTAGAGTTAAGAATGTTGTTCAAAAGAAAGATGTTTATTTTTAGAGGCAGAAAATATTTTGAGCCTATTTGCCATAACTGCTTTTTTTTAAGAAACAAAAACTAATGGACTTTACAAGTGGGTAACCTCAAAGGGAAAACAAAAATCTTGCAAGAAGATTTAGCAATGTTTAAAAGTTTGGAAAACAAGCTTCATTAAGTAACTTTTTATGTTTGCTTAGTCAAAATTAATATTACTATAATTATTCTGAAATTCTCTTTTTCCTTGCATTTCTTGCCAAATAACCTGATTTAATGACATAGAAAATAAAAAATGTCAAAGGGGAAAAGTATTTAAAGACATTTTGTTGTTGGTACAAAGGGTGTGGTGTTATCACTAGGAGACAAGCAGAGTTCTCAGAGATGGTGTCATCTAAATTAATTTTATCTTCTTCATGATCACATGGATAAAAAAATTCAAACCTCTGATTTTTTTTTTTTAAATGGGGTGTTGCTATGTTGTCCAGGCTGGAGTGCAGTGGCTACTCACAGGTGTGATCATGGTGCACTAAGCTTTAAACCATTGGGCTCAAGTGATCCTCCTGCCTCAGCCTCCCAAGTATCTGGGACTACAGGTGTGCATCACTTTGCCAAACTTTCAAGTCTTTGATTTTTAAGGAATCCTGATTTTATTTTAGCAGGATAATTTTTACTTTATGAGGCCCAGTTTCATGTAATAATGCAGCATGTGATATAGATAAAAATCAAAGACCAGAGCTAACAGAATGGCCCTTCCTTCTCATAGCATCTTTATGAACAGTTGTGAGTAAAGGTGATTCCCAAAACCCTTTACAGATACTAAGTTCTATTTAAAGATTCACAATAACAATGACAACATTTTAGGGCTCTCTTCCAACACCATCACTTCCTCCTTCTCCTGGGAAGTTAAGCTTGGGGTGGAGGAGGTGCAGTGGTATTCCTGGACTAGCACGCCCATGCTGTTGCCTGCGTTTGTGGAAACAGAGACCTTTATGGGACACTGAGCAAGGGGATTGGTGATGTAGAAATATGTTGTTGGAGACTAACAGAATAGAAAAAAAAAATGAAGTGAGTAACACTTGTCAACCTCAGCCAGTCATGGGGGGAAATACCTTCACATATTAAACAATAACAAATAAAATGTTTGAAATGCCGATATTTATAGTAAATTGCTTTTTCTGTCTTTTGGCACGAATCTTAAGAGGTACATTTGAGGGACAACAGTGTATGGGCCGAAGGGAGGCGTCACTGCCCAGGTGGAAGAGCCTGCTCTTGCCCTCTGCAGTTCTTCAAGGTTCCCAGACCGGTGACTTGATGCGAGAAACCCCAGGGCAGAAGGGAGACTGGCCAAAGTGCATGTTGCAAGGGGTGCATCTTAAAGACCCCTCTGATTGACTTGGCTGTACTCTAGGGAGGTCTGTGGACCAGGATCACCCCAGCGATTCCAGTTTAAACTATGATGGACCTGTTTTATGAAGGTACAGGTATGAGTTTGGTGACTATGGATTGAGCTAGTTGTTTAAAACTTATTTAATCGGCTGGACGTGGTGGCTCACACTTGTAATCCTAGCACTTTGGAAGGCTGAGATGGGAGGATTGCTTGAGCCAAGGGGTTTGAGACCAGCCTGGGCAACACAGCGAGACTCTATCTCTACAAAAAAAAAAAAAAAAAGTTAGCGGGGTGTGTTGGCACACGCCTGTAATTCCAGCTACTTGGGAGGCTGAGGTGGAGCCAGAAGTTCAAGGCTGTAGTAAGCTATGATCATACTGCTAAACTCCAGCCTGGGTGACAGAGCAAGACCCTGTCTCAAAAAACAAACAAAATCTTATTTAATTGCAGTAGTGGATACCATTATATTTTTTTTAATTAAAAAAAACAAGCAACAAGCAAATATGTTCCTTTTTTTTTTTGAGACCGAGTCTCGCTCTGTTGCCCAGGCTGGAGTGCAGTGGCGTGATTTCCGCTCACTGCAAGCTCCGCCTCCCAGGTTCATGCCATTCTCCTGCCTCAGGCTCCCGAGTAGCTGGGACTACAGGCGCCCACCACCACGCCCGGCTAATTTTTGTGTTTTTAGTAGAGACGGGGTTTCACCGTGTTAGCCAGGATGGTCTCGATCTCCTGACCTTGTGATCCGCCCACCTCAGCCTCCCAAAGTGCTGGGATTACAGGCATGAGCCACTGCGCCTGGCCCCCAAATATGTTTCTTTTAACTGCATTGCTAATCGTATCAAATAAACCGAGAGAATACAGTGAGTTGTTCAGAGCCTCCCAGTGAGTCAGGGAACAAATAAGACAGATCAGAAACCACTGTCCGTGGATACTCAGCCTGTTACTTAGTCCAACAGACCTGTTATTGAGGATTAACATCCACTCAGAGCCAGAAATAGACCAATTGAGACTAAATCAGTTTTGATTGTTGGTCTCTAAGGATGAAAGGATGAGGGATACATTAATTTGCTGGGCAATTGATTTTCCCTTGGGATAAGAGAGAAACAAGACCAAAATTGTCAGTCATCAAAAATGGCACAGCCACTTTCGTTAATAAATTATGTTTGGGTTTGGAAAACTTCCAGCCCTATAAATAGATTATGGGAAGCCTTCAGGGAGAGACAAAAAGGTGCACCATGACTGCTTTCATATAAAAAAAATAGCAGGCCCATTGAACTTGGAGAAAAAAATGAGAGGCCTATAACCTAGAACTTTGGTCAAAATAGGAACTATGATTCATAGCTAAAACTTTACTTTCTAAGTTTGTTACCACTCACTTCCAAGTTTAGGAGGAATAGGTCAAAAGTTTGGCAGGAGGATTTTTGGGAACAATTTGTACCAACAGGAGATTTCTGAGCAGTTCCATTTTTCCTGCTGAGAGGTGGTTAATTTGGTTACTTACATTCTCATATTTTGCCGTAGTAGAGATTAAGAAAACCACTGGAGTGGAAATGAGAACCATCTCTACATTTTAATACTGTGATTGAAATAGAATTATGGAATGCTTCTGAAGATCTACACTGTTGTAAAGTGACACCATTCTGATTTTCTGGGCTTCTCATAGGAATGTTGAAAGTCAGCAAGTGGAGCTTGATATTTAACAGTGGAGTTGGGGATCAAAGCGGCGTTATCTTTCATGAGTAGATGTGTTCCCTATGTGTGTGTTCTTTGCTTTCTTAATCTCTGTGTCTGTGTCTTTTTTCCTGTGTTTCCCTGACAGTTCTACTTTATGACTGTCTATAAGGTGTGGCGTTCTGTATTTTATAGCCAAGGTCATTTGCATTAGCTACACTTTTTTTTTTTTAAGTTAAAACTTTTTTTTGAGACAGGGTCTCATTCTGTTGCCCAGGCTGGAGTGCAGTAGTATCATCATGGCTCATTGCAGCCTTGACCTCCTGGGCTCAAGTGATCCTCCCACCTTAGCCTCCCTTGAGTAGCTGGGACTACAGGTGTGTGCCACCACACCTGGTTAATTTTTTTCTTGGTAGAGATGAGGTCTTACTGTGTTACCCAGGCTGGTCTTGAACTCCTGGCCTTAAGTGATCCACCTGCCTTGGCCTCCCAAAGTGCTAGGATTACAGGCTTGAGCCATCACACCCAGCCTAACATGGTGTTCTTTGGATGGTGAGTGGGTGGGTGAATAAGAAATGGCACCTGTGGCAACGTGATCGTGATCTCCACCCTGTGGGACTGGCATGTCTAGATCTCCCTGGCCTGTACTTGGTACACCCACACAACCCAATAAAGCCTGTAGCCCTGGTAAGAGGCTTTCCTGTGGAGGCAGTGAACACCTTTACAGGGAGCTGGGGAGGATTGGTTGATTGTCTAGAGAAGTCGGTTAATATCTCATATTTGGGGCCACACAAGAATCAAGACAATCATTTGCTGACAGGCATTCTCCCTAGATTCTGGTCATTTTGTTTCTGCTGCTGAAGCCCCCTTTTATTTTTTTCTTTATTTTTATTTTTATTTTTTGTTTGAGACAGAGTCTCACTCTTACCCAGGCTGGAGTGCAGTGGTGCGATCTCAACTCACTGCAGCTTTCACCTCCCAGGTTGAAGCAATTCTCCTGCCTCAGCCTCCTGAGTAGCTGGGATTACAGGCATCTGCCATCAGGCCTGGCTAAATTTTGTATTTTTAGTAGAGATGAGGTTTCATCATGTTGGTTAGCCTGGTCTCGAACTCTCCTGATCTCAGGTGATCCACCCACCTTGGCCTCCCAAAGTGTTGGAATTACAGGTGTGAGCCACTGCGCTCGGCTTGAAGCCCGTTTTAAAAGTAGTGATCAAAAAAGAAAAAAATCTAGGCATAACTCTTAAATATCTGTCTGAAGCCATTAAATGATACAGTTTGGACAGGTGTGGTGGCTCATGCCTTGATCCCAGTGCTTTGCGAGGCTGAGGTGGGAGGCTTGCTTGAGGCCAAGACCAGACTGGGCAACATAGCAAGACCCTGTCTTTACCAAAAAAAGCTCAGTTGGGTGTGCTGGTATGTGCTAAGGAGTTTACAGGAGCACAAACTGCCTCATAAGCCAAGAAGACTGTAATGGGAGAAACTGAAGAACCATACCATGACCTACCCCAACCTTGAGTTGGGCTAATTTATCTCAATAACAAAAGGCATTGAAAAGTCTCCTTTTGTGCAAGTTTTATCAGAAGATTGATTTAAAAATCTTTTTTTGTTTTTGTAGAGAATGACTCCTCTAGCAAGGCAGGAAAAGAAGACTTGACCCTCTGAAAATTAACCTCTGTGTATTCTTCAGTAGAATCAGCCCCAGTGAACTTGAACTGTGGGTAGACTAAGGACTCAGGCAGAGATCCAGGAGGCCATGAATCCTTGGGAGAAGCAGTCGGAGCCCACAAAGGGTCTCCATCCCTTGAATTCTGACCGTTACCATAAATAGTGTGTAGCTGTTCATTTCTTCCAGGAAAGGCCCAGGTGGCTGGTGTATCCTATGAAGGAAGCTGGGAGGGTGGGAAAGCCGATCTGGCTGACTGTTAATTGTGCACAGATAGGAAAGAGAGAGTGGTAATATGTAACTTTAGTAAGGAACAAAGGGGCTTCCAAAAGTTCACTTGCCCCAGCCTGAGACAAAGGAGGAAAAGTAAATCTATTCAGATAAATAAGCAACAGAGGACAAAAGTATTTTTGCGTTTTCCCTTTGGTATCCACAGATAGCATATTTTACAAATACCGCAAGATTAAATTCTTCAATTAGTCTGAAAAAGCACACAAGAGCATTCAACAAATGAGCCAAGGTTATAGTGGGGATACTTGGGTTTATAGCACCAACCAGCAAAGGATATCGCAGTTGCGTAGAAATTAAATCTCTAAAGTTAGGTTTAGTCTTTTCATTAACCACAAGTCACATTCTTAAGAAAACATTTTCTTCTCTGGTTATGTTTTATTTTATGAATGAGAACTTTATAAATTTTATTTTATTTATTTTCTTATTTCACTTGATAGAAGGGTTGACATTAAGTGGTTTTATTTTATTTTATTTTATTCATTTATTTAATTTTTTTGAGACAGGATCTTACTCTGTTGCCCAGACTGGAGTGCAGTAGCACGATCTTGGCTCACTGCAACCTCCGCTTCCTAGGCTCAGGTGAGTCTCCTGCCTCAGCCTCCCAAGTAGCTGCGATTACACGTGTGTGCTGCTACCACCTGGCTAATGTTTGTATTTTTAGTAGAGACAGGGTTTCGCCATGTTGGCCAGGGTGGTCTTGAACTCCTGACCTCAAATGATCCACTCACCTCGGCCTCCCAAAGTGCTGGGATTACAGGCGTGAGCCACCATGCCTGGCTGAAGTAGTTTTAAAAAAATATGTGTGGGTTACATATTTTTCATTTAGAAGATGAGGTAGCAATAATGCTGTAAGACTTTGAATAAGAATTCTATGTTAAGAAAAAAAGAATTCTATGTTATATCAACTACCACAACTATTTTTATTTTTATTTTTGTACTTTATCTTTTAATGCTTGTTTATATGCATATATATTTATATGGTTACATTCCTATTGAATATCAACATCGGATTCTGTTGATCTTAGTATTTTCTTATTTAATATTTTCTATTGTCTTTAATTTTTTTTTTTTTTTTTTTAAGACAGGGTCTCACTCTGGTGCCCAGGCTGGAGTACAGTGGTGTAATCATGGCTCCCTGCAGCCTTGGCTTCCTGGTCTTAAGCAGTCCTCTAGGCTAAGCTTCCCAAGTAGTTGGGACTACAGGCATGTGCCACTGTGACTGGCTAATTTAAAAAAAATTTTTTTTTTTTTTGAGACGGAGTCTTGCTCTGTCGCCCAGGCTGGAGTGCAGTGGTGCGATGTCGGCTCACTGCAACCTCTCTCTCCCGAGTTCAAGCAATTTGTTGTGCCTCAGCCTCTCGAGTAGCTGGGATTACAGGAATGTACCACCACATCCGGCTAATTTTTTTGTATTTTGGGTAGAGATAGGGTTTCACCATATTGGCCAGGCTGGTCTCGAACCCCTGACCTTGTGATCTGCCCGCCTCGGCCTCCCAAAGTGCTGGGATTACAGGTGTGAGCCACTGTGCCCGGCAATTTTTTTTTTTGTAGAGACAGGTTTTCTGTGTGTTGGCTAGGCTGGTCCTGAACTCCTGGGCTCAAGCAGTCTGCCCGCCTTGGCTTCCCAGAATGTTGGGTTTGTAGGTGTGAGCCACCATACCCAGCCAAAGGAAACTTTTATGTTTTTGAATTACCTATGAAGCTATTACCAGGATGATTGTTTGTCTTCAGTTACTTTGTGGAATATTGCTATAGAATAAAAATTTGGGCCAGGCACAGTGGCTTACGGCTGTAATCCCAGCACTTTGGGAGGATCGTTTGAAGACAGGAGTTTGAGACCAGCCTAGGCAGCATAGTGAGACCCTGTCTCTACAATAAATAAACAAAACAAAACAATCTGATCTTTTGAGTTAGAGTTATAATACAGATTAATTTGTGTGTCATATATTTTTATATATACTTATATATTTATGGAAAATTTTATGTTTATATAAATATATAATTATAATTATATATATATTTCTAAAGAATTAGAAAAAAAACCCAAATTAATTTCTCCCTTAGTTAATTAATCTGCCACATCAGGAATCTGTTGCTTCATTTCATGCGGATGTCAGTGGATAAGATGTTGCTTATTCAACACCACTCGAAGAAACACAAGCTTTGCATAGCCTTAGTACTATGGCATTGCAGAAACCGTTAGAACAATGGCACTATTACTGATGTTTGTTATTGGAACCTGTAACATATTTCTGATTGACCAGCCAGATAGACTATTGAATTATGGAGACTGTTAGCCTTATGGGAATTTTATTACTCTTTAGAATAGTGTTTGAAAGGAAGAGTTTAAAATCCAAGCATTTCACTGAGGAGAGATAATAAGGCCTACAACCCTGCTGCAGTTTCCAGTTTATTGGTCGTGCTTTGTGTGAATTATTTGAGCCTTCTAGCAAGCTCTGTGATGCAGGTGGAGCCGTAGATCCTTGTGTAATAGCAGAGGAAGTGGAAAGTGGAAGCTCAGCCGCCTGCTTGTGGTCATGGTATGGGAACACGGAAAGGGGGATGAGAAGCAGTCAGCTCTTTCCATCCTGACAAATGTCAACTTGAATAATGTCATCATTAGGATGAATTGGTGAGCAGCTAAAATTCCATTTATGGTTTTAATTAGAGATGAGTATAGTAATTGATATTAATAATGGTGTTAAGTCGCCAAAGAAAACTTAAAACATATTCCATATGTTGTATTTATCAGGTCAAGGAATTTCTATCACTCTTGATTAAAAACAAGTAGTAATGTTACTGAATGAGTAACATGTGGAGGCCGGGTGAGCGGTGGCTCACACCAGTAATCCCAGCACTTTGAGAGGCCAAGGTGAAAGGATCACTTCAGTCCAGGAGTTCGAGACCAGCATGGATAACATAGGGAGAACTCATCTCTACACAAAGTAAAAAAAAAAAAAAAATTAGCTGGGTGTGGTGTCACACGCCTGTGGTCCCAGCTACTTGGGAGGCTGAGGTGGGAGGATTGGTTGCGTCTGGGATATGATGGTGCCACTGCACTCCAGTGTGTGTGACAGAGTGGGCCCCTATCTCAGAAAAACAAACAAACAAACAAAAACAAAAAAACAGTTACTTGTGGAAAGGTTACTTATCTTGATCATCCCATTTTGGTATTATATGAAATAGAGGTTGAGACTTTGGACTCAGGATGGAGCTCAGAGACACAGTGGCTGAGCCACTTAGGATAAAGCACTTCACTTCCATGAGCCTTGGTTTCATCTATAAATTGTTGATATGGTTATTATCCATGTCAGAGAAGTTTTATGAGGATTAAATGACATAATGTATATAAATGCTTAGTGCATAGTAAGCACTCTGTTTTTTTTTTTTTTAATGAATTAGGTGGTATTTATTGGCAAATATGCTTCAGTTCTTTCTTTTACATTTTATTTATTTATTTTTTTGAGATGGAACCTTGCTCTGTCGCCCAGGCTGGAGTGCAGTAGCATGATCTCAGCTGTCTGCAACCTCTGCCTCCCAGGTTCAAGTGATTCTCCTACCTCAGCCTCCTGAGTAGCTGGGACTACAGGCACATGCCACCACGCTTGGCTAATTTTTGTATTTTTAGTAGAGACGTGGTTTTGCCATGTTGACCAGGCTGGTCTTGAACTCCTGATGTCAAGTGATCCACCTGCCTTGGCCTCCCAAAGTGCTAGGATTACAGGCGTGACCCACGATGCTCGGCCTATTTATTCATTTATTAAAGTCAGGGTCTCGCTCTGTTACCCAGGCTAGAGTGCAGTGGTACAATCATGGCTCACTGCAGCCTTGATCACCAGGCTCAGATGATCCTACCTCAGCCTCCCAGGGATCTGGGACTACGTGCACCTCCACGCCTGGCTAACTTTTTTTGGTATTTTTTTTGTAGAGATGGGGTTTTGTTATGTTGTCCAGGCTGGTCTTGAACTCCTGGGCTCAAGCAATCCTCCCACCTTGGCCTCCCAAAGTGCTGAGATTACAGGCGTGCGCCACTGCGCCTGGCCTTTATTGTACTGTTGATGTGAGGAAATGCCTGTAAATCAAGGCTAAAAATACAAGAAAAATTACATTGGATGATAAGTTCCCTCCTCTACAGGGCTATTTTGAATTTGAATTTGGGAAAAATTGTTCCAGACACAAGCTTGAAGTTTTCTGAACTAAAATATAAATGTAGCCTTGGTTATATTGCTTATAATACAGAAGCTGGTGAATTTTTTTTTTTTTTTTTTTGCATGGGTGTGAGGGGAGTTGGGGAAGTGTGAACTCCTTTTGAAAGGAAAAAATATATTGTGCCCTCAGGAAGAAATTTTTTTTGTTCAGAGTCATTGGGTGGTGATGGGTGACCCAGGGAGAGCTGAGAAGCGGGCCCTTGGTGTGGCCCAGGAGATGAAGGAAAGCCGCTCAGGGCGAAGCTTAGAGAGGAGCCACAGCCTGGATGTCAGGGCCAGAGGGGCGCCCTAAGCTTCTTTTCCCTCCTGGAGTATCGAGGGTAAGTAAAATGGAGAAAGCAGGCCCTGTGGTAGACCACAGTGGAGAAGGTGGAATTTCTAGACTTAGCAGGCCAGCGCTGCTACAGAAGCCTTCCGGGGGCACTTGGAGCAGTTTCACTGGCATGACCTGAGTGCTGTAGGAAAGGCTTTTCTTCTGAAGACAGAAAAACTAAGAAAAGAGTAAAGGTAGGAGTTACTCGTTGAGAGTGCTTAATGATTCTATCCGTCCATCTGTCCAGTAACTCCTTGCACGTCTGCTTGGTACCTACTTTGCATCAGACTTGATGTTTGGAACTGGATACAAAGAAGAAAGCGGTACTGTAAGGAGCTTAGGTTGCAGTAAGGTGTCAGACATGGAGATGTGTCTGAGACAAGTGTGGTAGATACACTGAGATTGTGGCACGGGGTGTGTAGTGGGCACCAAGGCCAATCACCTCACTCTCCCTGGGTCAGTTGGAGTTGTCCACGTGGATGGAATAGGTGAGAGAGTGTGTGCAAAGACGGGAAGGTGAGAGAGAACCTGGGGCCTTAAGGAGAGCTTCGATTCTTTGGCCGTGTTTGTAGGCTTAGGGCCTATGTGAGAGTGTCAAAAGACAGTGATGAAGTAGGAAGGCCCCAGATGTTGAATTTTAAATGCAGTTGATAGGAAGCCTTTGAAACATATATATATATATATTTTTAGTAGAGATGGGGTTTCACCGGGTTAGCCAGGATGGTCTCGATCTCCTGACCTTGTGATCCGCCCGCCTCGGCCTCCCAAAGTGCTGGGATTACAGGCAGGAGCCACCGCACCCGGCCGCCTTTGAAATATTTTAAGCAGAGAAGTAGCCAGAGCAATAGTTTTCAGAGCTTAATGTGGTGGATGCTGTGTTTACTGTCAAGATTCGCTTCAAAGAAAGACTCGGTGCCCAGCCTCTTGGGAGTGACCGCTTTAGCCATTGCCTCAGCTGCAGTGAACCACCTTACTCAAAGGATGGAGATGGAGGGTCCCACATCCAGGGACTAATGAGGTGGGAATAGGAAGATTGAGCCATCTAGGCCCAACTTAGGACAACTCTGAGAGCCATGTTACCTCCAGAGCTCACCATGGGGTTAGTAGAGGCGATTATTGAGCCTGCTTTGCAACTCAACTTTCTCCTCTGCTCACTCCTGCTTCCTTCTCTACTCTGCAATCTGGGCCTTTCTCACTGTCTCTCTGTGAAGTTGGCGAGGCTCTATTTGGTGTCCCTTGATGTGCTTAGGTCTGGAAATTGTTTCCAGGTGGGGAGCACAGGCAATCATGGGGCTCACGTTGTCCATTTCCCTTCTCTGAAGGATGGCACTCTTGCATTGCCTGTTGCAGCCTCAACATAATTGTTTCCTATGTTTTTTCCAATTTTCTATTGTTTACAGAAGAACATTAATTCTGGACCATTTAACTCCCAAATGGCCAGAGCTGAAGTTACTTGTTCTATTTTTAATTTCGATATATTTTTTTTGAGACAGGGTTTTGCTCTGTCACCTAGGCTGGACTGCAGTGGCGTGATCATAGCTCACTGCAGCCTCAAACTCCTGGGCTCAAGCAATCCTGCCTCAGCATCCTGAGTAAACCTGTTTTATTTTGAATATGTTCAAGTGGGAGATGTTGAGGTAGTTATGCTGCTAGCTATATACGCATTCAACAATATTCAGCTTGCATTTATTGACTACTCGCTGTGTGCCAGGTTTTCGGTTAGGTACCAGGGTCATCGAGATGAAGGACAGTAGTCCTTTCCCATGGGGAGATAATAGTCTAATGAATTCTTAATTGAAGCTGAGGGAGACAGCTCGAGAATATGTGAGCTAAATAGATGCTGATTTTCTTAATTGGACCCGGCCTTCCTCCCTCCCTCTTTTGCCAGTATGGGATCTTGTTGTTTTATAGTAGAATGATTGAGCCCTACCCCACCTGTGTTGTGCTAACACAGATAATGATACCATTTCACAGAATGAAAGTAGTTTTAACATCCTTACTGCTTGTTTTTCAAACAGCATTCAAAATGCACTGTTGGGTGGACTCACTACCTACAAAAACATACATACAGGGAAACACACAAACTTATCACCTCTGATTACTATTCTTGGCCCAGGAGTGAGGACCCTAATGTACCAACAGGAAGATGTGTGCTTAGGTAATTGAGAGCTAATGGTCCTCTTTTGGCTTTATGATCTTCAGCTAGGTAATGACTTTTTATTAGAATAATTGATTATAATTTATATAAGACAGGGTGAAATGCATGCTTTGTTGTCCACTTGTTTATTATGTGGAATTTTCTTCCTTTTTTTAAATAATAGACTTTGATTTTAAGAGGTAGGTAAAACAATGTAATTTTAAGATACATTGTGTGATTATTAAGTGCAGAGTCAATTATTAGGTGCAAAGTTTATTTACTGGATGTATATCAATTTTATATTTTGTAATTAGATGTCTCAACTGACAGAATTTATCTTGTACTTATTGGAGTAGTAGCCTTATTAATTTTGTGTTTTAAATGATATGGACTATTCATTCTCTTTTGAGATGGAGTCTTGCACTGTTGCCCAGGCTGGAGTGTGGTGGTCAAATCTCGGCTCTCTGCAACCTCTTCCTTCTGGGTTCAAGTGATTCTCCTGCCTCAGCCTCCCGAGTAGCTGGGACTACAGGTGTGCTCCATCATGCCTGGCTAATTTTTGTATTTTTAGTAGTGACAGAGTTTCACCATGTTGGCCAGGCTGGTCTCAAACTCCTGGCACCAAGTGATCTGCCTGCCTTGGCTTCCTAAAGTGTTGGGATTATAGATGTGAGCCACTGGCCATCATTCTTTAATTAGTAATGAATTTATAAAGAAAAAAAGAATTTGTGACCAGGCATGGTGGCTCATGCCTGTAATCCCAGGACTTTGGGAGGCCAAGGTGGCTAGATCACGAGGTCAAGAGATCAAGACCGTCCTGGTCAACGTGGTGAAACCCCGTCTCTACTAAAAATACAAAAATTAGCTGGGCGTAGTGGCCTGTGCCTGTAGTCCCAGCTATTGGGGAGGCTGAGGCAGGAGAGTTGCTTGAACTGGGGAGGCGGAGGTTGCAGTGAGCCGAGATCGCACCACTGCATTCCAGCTGGGCAACAGAGTGAGACTCCATCTCAAAAAAAAAAATAGAATTTGTAAAGAAACCCTAAATGTATGGAAATAATAATCATTTGGAGAAAGAAATGATGTTTTTCAATACTAAAGAGAATTTTCCCTCTAGTTTCCATACCGTCAGAGAACATCACTTAACTTTTCCGGTAGGAAGCCAGGTTTGAACTGATCCTACACCCTCTGTGGGTCCCTGGGGAAGGTGTTCAGCCTGTGGCTGTGGAAGAGAGAGCCCAGCTGATTGTCCTTCAGGAGGATCCAGAGAGGCAACCCTCACCCTGGCCTTACTGACATTGCCAGCCAGACTGAAGATTTAGCACAACCCAGAAGAGCTTAGTAACTGAACTGGAAGATATGTAACTTCTAGAGCAGCAAGGAACTGGTTTTTTTTCCCCCCCATTCCTAGTATTTGAAATATGCTTTAATATTGGTGAGATGATTGGACTTGGTGCTTTTGTGGACTACTGTGAGTCCTGCTTTTTTTTTTTTTTTTTTTTTGAGATGGAGTCTTGCTCTGTCATCTAGGCTGGAGTGCATTGGTGCCATCTTGGCTCACTACAGCTTCCGCCTCCTGGGTTCAAGTGATTCTCCTGCCTCAGCCTCCTGAGTAGCTGGGATTACAGGAATGTGCCACCATGCCCGGCTAACTTTTATATTTTTTGCAGAGATGGAATTTCACCATGTTGGCCAGGCTTGTCTTGGGTTCTTGACCTCAAGTGATCTGCCCGCCTTGGCCTCCCAAAGTACTGGGATTACAGGCATGAGCCACCGTACCTGGCCGAGTCTTGGTTTTTATAGTGTCATAAAATTACACTTATTTAGCTGGAAGGGCTTGTAGTGTCTAGCTCCACCCTTATGTTATGGATGAGAAAACTAGGGACCAAGTATGTTCAGTACGTTCTGTACAAGCTTGGGACAGAATGAGGGCCCAAACTCGGGCCTGCTAAGCCACCAGTCCAGGAGTGATTCTACGACATGGTATTGCCCCCTCATAAGACTGTTCAGCTTCCCAGACTGCACTTGGTGTGGCTTTGGGTATCCCAGGCCTGGGTGGGGGGCACCGTCCTTCACTGGCTAGCCAGCCAGCAGCTGTGTGTGCTGGTCCCTGCTTCTCTCACCATGAGCTGGGATCTTGAGGCCAGGCTTGGTTATATTCTAGCCTGGATGAGCCTGGGTCCTTGTTACTGCTGCCTATTCACCATTCCTACCCTCCTGGAAATTAGCCTCATAGTATCACTTGCCTAATTATTTTATTTAATTTGCACAGCACAGAGCTAAAGCACAGTGGTGACAATGGCCGGGAATCAAGTAAGGTGAGGTACCCTATATCCCATCTTGCTGACTACCCAGTGTAGTGCCTGGAACATACAAACTGCACATTCATACTTTTTGGGTAAATTATTGACAAGTAAAAATGAATGAAAGCTAAACAGTAACAGAACATTTTCTACCCTTTGTCTTCTTGAGATGTTTTAGGAGACTAATCCTTGTTGTTCTTTTCCAATGTAAATTTTTATGAACCATCAAGATGTAATGCAGGCATTAAGATTATTTCTGTAGAGATTAAGAACATGAAAATACTGATGCTTAATATTTAGCAGAACCAAAAAAATTGTGGTATAATTACAACTCTGTAAAAACAAAGTAGGCCGGGCGCGGTGGCACACGCCTGTAATCCCAGCACTTTGGGAGGCCGAGGTGGGTGGATTGCTTGAGCTCAGGAGTTCAACACCACCCTGGGCAACATGGTGAAAACTTGTCTCTACTAAAATACAAAAAAAAAAAAAAAAAAAAAAAAAAGGGTAAAGACCTATGATACAGACAAAAATTATCTAAAAATTCACTGGTGGCATTTGGATGGTGAAGCTATGGGTATAGTTTTTTTTTTTGTAGTTTTCTGGAACATTAAAAATTACTTTTATAAGCTCCTCTTTTATTATAGTACAAAAATCCTCTTAAATACAATGTATATTCCATTTTGTAGAAAATAAATTGAATGACAGTTCGACTTTCTGTCCTTACAGTATATCTAACTTACAGTATTTTTAAAAATCCTCTAAAAATAGCTGGATACATTTCTTAACCACTGGCTCTGTTGTGGTGGTGGTGTAGGGGAGGAAAGGGGTTAACTAGAGAGAAGCATACTAAGCATTATTATTAAAGTATAATTAATAATTCTCCTATTAAAGTATTATTTTTATTTTAAAATATTTATATTTTGGAGTTAGGGTCTTGTTCTGTTGCCCAGGCTGGAGTGCAGTGGCACAATCGTAGCTCACTTTAGCCTCAAACTCCTGAGCTCAAGGGATTCTTTTTTTTTCAGCCTCTTGAGCAGCTGGAACCACAGATGCAGGCCATGACACCAGGCTAATTATTTCTATTTTTTGTAGAGAGAGGGTCTCCCTATGTTGCCTGGGCTGGTGTGAAACCCCTGGGCTCAAGTGATCCTCCCACCTTGGCCTCCTAAAATGCTGGGATTACGGATGTGAGCCACTGTGCCCGGCCCGTACTGCAGTATTTAGTCACAGTTTTACATGACATGAGAGTCTTCAGAATGAAGGCCCAAAGACTCAGGGTGAAGTATCCATTTTTATGCTGTGGTTTGATGCATGGACAACCGTGTATTAATATGATCAGACAAAAAGGATAGAATCTAGAAGAGATAGACTGAGGGGGAAATTCATTCAAATTCTTCTTGGCCTCTCTGTGTAGTATTCCTTCCATCCAGGTATGGGGCAGGGCCCCTTTCTGGAGTGGTTGGGTCTTGTCTTTCTTTCTTTCTTTTTTTTTTTTTTTTTTTTTGAGATAGGGTCTCGCTCTGTCACCTCGGCTGTATGGAGTCCAGTGGTGTGATCTTGGCTTACTGCAGCTTCGTCCTGCTGTGCTCTGGGGTGATCCTCCCACCTCAGGCTCCCAAGTAGCTGGGACTACAGGCGTGGGCCACCATGCCTGGCTAATTTTTATATTTTTAGTAGAGACAGGGTTTCACCATGTTGGCCAGGCTGATCTCGAACTCCTGAGCTCAAGTGATCCACCTGCCTCAGCCTCCCAAAGTGCTGGGATTACAGGTGTGAGCTACTGCGCTCGGCTATTAAGGGGTTTTAGGACTCACAATCAAACAAAGTAGGCCAGAGAATGTCTTTATGGCCAGTTCTTACACAGAAAAGCAAGGGGAAGTTTGTTGTAATGTTTTTAGGTTTTATTTCTGGCTTTAGGGAAATGGGGTTCTGATTTCTATGACCCACCTTGATGAAGAGGGATTCCAGTTTCCATGGCTTGCCTCTGGAGAGAATGAGGGGAGGGAGACAGGAGGGCAGGTGGTCAGAGAGAAACTTTGCTTCTGAGGCCTTCACTTGGGAGTACAGTTTTTTGAGCCCCAACAGTAGATTAGAGGAATGGACTTGTTTTTGTGCTTGTTAATGATTTCTAATTTGACTAGGCTCACTTATCCTGGCAGCCTTCCCATCCCCAAACTACATTTGCTAGGTCCTGTCTGCCTTAATGGGGAAATCTTGAGGTTAGGAAGATTGAAATTGCTCCTTTTCCTTTTATGCCTGTTATGACAAGCTTTGCTTTTTTGGACTTCTCCAGGCAGTTAGTTATTGCTGTTCATGCTCCTCTCTGTTCCTGTCTCTAGAAAGCATTTCCCGCTTATTCATCTTTGCACCCCAGTGCCTGATATAGTGCCTGGCAAGTCGTAAGCACTCAACTGGTATTTGTTAAATGAGAATGACTGATTGCTGTCACCCCTGGAACTCTCAGCTTTTCATGAATTTGGTTTATATTTTTATAATATTTATCTCACGCCCTCATGTTAGAATAAAATTGGGATGGAAAGCCTCTAAATTAAGCAAGAAGCTCAGCAATTGTAGGGGAGGAAAAACTTCTTTCCTGTACCCTCCTAGGTTCAGTGGCTGGAGGCCCTGCCAATTAAACTGTCAAAAGAGATTAACAAGAAAAAAAACAGTTTTAATTACTTACGTAGGCATGAAAGTTCACAAAGAAATGTGGCACGAGGAGGCGGTCAGAACTTGAAGGCTTATATACCAAAGGATGACGAAGTGTAGAGAAGAGGCCAGCCATAGGAAAAGGGGAGTCACTTATGGGAAGGTGACTAGGAAATGTGTGATATACAGGGGTTGTTAGTAAGGTTTGTCTTGGAGATTAAAGTGCCTTCTTCATTGATGGGAATTGTTAAGAGACATCCCCCTTTTCCTGGTGCAGCAGAGGGGGACACTTTACAAATGGAAATTTCCTTTATACATGTAAATTTCCTTTACAAAGAGAAAAAAGGTCTGTTTTTAGAGCTTGCTTGCTGTTCTCGGTTGTCTTCAGCTCAAAATAACCTTTATGTCAAAGAGGAATATTTTGGGGTGACATTCTGGCCCCCTTTACAATCATATATGTATATATATGATTCGGGGCTGTAGTGAGACTTGGACATGACAAGACAAAACAGACCTTATCTGAAAAAGATTGCTTTTGCTAATTTCCTCTGTAAGGGAACACAGTTAAAGAGAAAGAATGGGTCCCGGCCAAGCAGCAGCTGGTGCCTCTGTTGATAAAAGCACGTGTAATTTGGGTCGGTTATAGTAGTGTGGGCCAAAAGGAAAAAGCAAATCACTCTGCCTTTGCCCATTTGTAATAATAAATTAATTTCTGCATGTGAAAGCATCCCTGCAGCTGCCACGAAAATTGGCAAATATTTTTCTCAAGAAATAGTTTGTTTCAGAAACAAACTTCTGATTTTAACAGCTAACATATTTTTGGCTGTCATAAGTGTTTGCTGCCAAACATTTCAAATTTAGAGATATTTCTTTTAAATATCTTGGGGAGACTAGTGTTTGGAATTTTAAAATAACAATCCTTCATCAGTGGGAAAATGCTACACAACAGAAACGTGTAAAAATGCTCGTGCAGTTATATTATTCAAACGCTTGACAAACATACTGTTATAATTACAGTGAGATCCTGCATGATTTTCCCCGAGCATTTCTTATCTTCTCAGAATTTTGCCAGCTGTACTTGAAACCATTTTGACCACAGCTCAGAAGGACTAGTTCAACTTTGTAAATTTCACAGTTCCTCCATTCCCCCCAACCTTTTTTTTTCCCTCAGAGCAGTTTTTTCCAGAGTAGTTTCATGTTCTTCTTGAAAACCCAAGGAAAAAAAAACATTACAAGCAGAAATTGGCATTTTTACCTTAAAATACATCCAGGAAGATATTTGAAGTCAATTCAGTTTTCCATGGCTAAGAATTCCGGTCATTTGGGGAGAAAAAAAAAATGTCAAAAATGGAAGAAAGAGAAGCAATTCAAGTGAAGATATCCAAGGAAGGAATTGCAACTTCTTTTTTGTATTCTGTGACTCATGAAGACCCGAGGTTAAAAATTATTTTTAGTATTATTTCTGTTTTTATTTGTGTGTGTGTAAAAAATAAATCCTTGGTGTACTTTCTTTTTTTTTTTTTTTTTGTTGTAGAGACAGGGGTCTCACTATGTTGCACAGGCTGGCCTTGAACTCTGGGGCTTAAGCAGTCCTCCTGCCTCAGCCTCCCAAGTAGCTGGCCTATAGGCTAGGGCTACCATGCCTGGCTGTTTTATTTATTTAGTTTTTAAATTTATTCATTCTCTTTTATTCACAAAGGATTTAAGATGATCACAACAAATACATATAAGATCAGATATTATATGTCAGTCAAGAGTAAAAACAAAACATAATACAAAGGCCAGAGAAAAACAAATACAGTGAGGGTCTACACAGTTACTAGAGTTAGACCTCAAAGTTAGCCCTGTGTTTTGGGGCAGCCAAAGTGAAAAAGGAACATTAATTATATGATTCTTATTTTTAGAAAAGAAAACAACAACAGACACCCATTCTTCATTTCTCAAAGGAAATGAAGTATTTTCTAGCACTAAATTCTTTAAAAAAAAAGAAAAAGAAAAAAATTTAATAGAAGGGCTTCCTACACGGAGAAGCTGAAGGTTATAGAAATGGTGTCCTTGGCCAGGTGCGGTGGCTCGCACTTTTAATCGTAGCCGTTTGGGAGGCCAAAGCAGTCGGATCACTTGAGTCCGGGAGCTCGAGACCAGCCTGGGCAACATTGTGAGACCTATTTTTTTGTCACTACAAAAAAAATTAAGAAATTAGCTGGGCGTGGTGGCACACGCCTGTAGTCCCATCTACTCAGGAGGCTGAGGTGGATCACTTGAGCCTGGGAGGTTGAGGCTGCAGTAAGGTAAGATCGTGCCACTGTACTCCAGCCTGGGCAATAGAGCAAGTCCCTGTCTCAAAAAAAGAGAAACTTTCTTCAACAACATTGCTCAAGTTATTAATTTATTCTTTTTAAAAATCTTTTCTCAAACATCTATTATGTAGCAACTATATGGCATACACTATGCTACATAATAAAGATAAAACAGCAAGCAAAACAGCCCTTCTCACAGGACTAGAATCTGGAATCTGAAGAATCTGTTTCACAGGGCCAGGGTAGGCTCAGTGTGGAGAGTCTAAGGAGTGTGTTTCTCCTTGTTAGCTGGCCAAGCTAAACATTCAGGATGTACAGCCTCTAAGTGATGCAAGGATGTCCGTAGTATACTCCAGCTTAAAATGCCTGGAAGGGTCTAACGAGCTAGGCGATGGGAGTCAAGGCTCCAGCCAGCTTGGCTGGGATGCAGGGCTGAGATTATTCCTGGAGTAGGGAGCAGAGATGAGTGATCTGTTAGTTACTCAGTTACTTCTTTGGGGAAAAAGGCCAGTTCACCTCGAGCCAAGTTACCCAATGACAGACTGACCTAATTATTTGTTTCTTTTCAGTTCTATTTTAAAAGTTTAAACAGTTTGTATAAGATAAGATGGTTTTAACAGCTTTTTGAAGATGCATGTGATGTTTAAGATGGACTTTTTCTTTTTAATGTGCTGGCATTTTATGGATTTTTTTTTTTTTTTTGAGACAGGGCATTGTTCCTGTGCCCAGGCTGGAATGCAGTGGATGTGATCATAGGATCATAGCTCACTGCAGCCCTAATTAAGCTCCTGGGCTCAAACTGTCCTCCTGCCTCAGCGTCTTGAGCAGCTAGGACTATAGGCATGCTCCACCATGCCCTGCTAATTAAAAACAATTTTTTTTTCTAGAAATGGCATTTTGCTATGTTGCCCAGGCTGGTCTTGAACTCCTGGCCTCAGGGGATCCTCCTGCCGTGGCCTCCAAAGTGCTGGGATTGCAGGTGTGAGCCACTGCATCCGGCCATTATAAAATAACATGTGTTTGCATTGCTGGAACGGGAGTGTGCTGGGGCAGAGGTAGATAAAAATACACTGCAGAGCCTGGACTGCTGTTCTCCCAGAGAGGAGATTGAGGGGCAGAATGAGGGAATGGAGGGAAGGCAGAATAAGTATATTCACCAGGAGTATAATCATTACAAATATATTCTTTGATGTAAAGTGTCCTTAGGAATATATTTTTATTATGAATAATAATTCATTATGGCCCTCACTACGTTCTCTCTCTCCATTACTCTGTTCCATACTACCCTAGAAACATTGTTAATCTGTTGCTTGTAGGCAAGACTCTGTTGATTCAGGCTTTCTATGGGACTCCGGCTATTGGTGATACACGTTTAGTTCAAGAGTGATGGGACATAAATCTGGCAGAAATGATAGTAGGTCACAAAGTCATTCCTGTGTTTTCCGTAGGGATGCTTTAGCATGTTGTCTACAAATTAGGCCTCTTCCTAGAGCTTACAGCTGGGATCTAGCTGTCTTCAAGTGATATGGCATTGAGAAATATTAAGATAATCTCATTTATTGAAAGCACATAAATTTCCATTTTCTTTTCTTTTTTTTTTTTTTGAGATGAAGTCTCTCTCTGTTGCCTAGGTGGTGTGCAGTGGCATGATCTTGGCTCACTGCAACCTCCGCCTCCTGGGTTCAAGTGATTCTCCTGCCTCAGCCTCCAGAGTAGCTGGGACTACAGGCGCCCGCCACCACCCCTGGCTAATTTTTTTTTTTTTATTTTTAGTAGAGACAGGGTTTCACCATATTGGCCAGGCTGGTCTTGAACTCCTGACCTTGTGATCTGCCTGCCTTGGCCTCCCAAAGTGCTGGGATTACAGGCGTGAGCCACTGCACCTGGCCAAATTTCCATTTTCTACTACCAATTTTTTCTTTCTCACCAATGAATAACAATTTACATTTGTGGCCCAGGAAGGGTGGTTCACACCTGTAATCCTAGCACTTTGGAGGCCAAAGTGCATGGGTCACTTAAGCCTGGGAGTTTGAGACCAGCCTGGGCAACATGGCAAGATCCTGTCTCTATCAAAAAAAAAAAAAAAAAAAAATTCAGAAATTAGCTGGGCAGGTGGTGTGTGCCTATTGTCCCAGGTACTCAAGAGGCTGAGGTGGGAGGATGGCTTGAGTCCAGGAGGCAAAGGTGGCAGTGAGTTGAAATTGTGCACTGTACTCCAGCCTGGGTGACAGAGTGAGACCCTGTCTCCAAATCTCCAAAAAAAAAAAAAAAAAAAACCTAGAAAAAATTTACATTTTTGTAATTTCATTACAAAATTTCATTACAATTTTGTAATTTCAACATGCTACATACTAAATGAGATAATCATCTTGTCCTTACAGAAAGTCTGTGACTTAATTTATTTATATCCTCTCTTATTCCAGGGAAAAGTTTGAAGCACTTTATAGAGAAACATAAAATTCTATAGAAGAAAAAATAGATGAGGACATTGGAATGAAGGAAAAATAGGGATAGGTGGATGTAGACAGTGGTAAAGCAACTTATTTTCTATAAAGTCATTTGTAGTTGCTAGAGATCGGCTGTAGCAGCCAAAAAAGGGAGGGAAACCTTGTTTATAAAAATAACATGTTCATTAAATTAAAAGAATAGATGCCTAGGATCACAGTTTTTCTTGGTACTGAGACCTGAGAGAATTTTCCATAGCATGTTCTCATAAAAGGAACACTGGTTTATGGGCTGTGTACTCCCGAACTCCTGTAGAAAGAGTACAATGGTAGGTTTCTCTTGACTTTTTCCTATCATATCCTGCATAGTAAGGCTTGTGGGATCACACTGAAATACATTTTAATAAAAGCAGTTCTCTGAAGGGGTAGAACAATGCAGTTCAGGTTCATGGCTCCCTGGCAGCTGGACAGGATCCAAAGACAACATCCAGGAATGGGTGGACTCTGTTTCAGGCATTCCTCTATGAATATTGTTTCTTGTAATCCAGTGTTTGTAAATGCGTGGCGGAGAACTTTGGGTTAGATTCCTTGGCAGGAATCTGAAAGTCTGAATGTTGGCCTGGACAAAATCATTACCCTCATTTAACAGATGAAGAAACAGGACCTTGGAGAAGCTGATGATTGCCCAAGGCCGAGTGGTCAGTGGAGAAGCTGGGACTACAGCCGAGTTCTCCTGACTCTAAGTCTAGTGCTCTTTCAGCCATTTCCTCTCATTTCTCTAACTTACATAGAATTCTGTTAAAATTTTAAAGAGTTAATAATGACTATTTTAAACATTGATAATGGACTCCCTACTTAGATGTTTAACTAAGTAAACTATATAGCTGAAGTCTGTCCTCCCAGTCCTTTGCCCTCCACTCTGTGAAGTGGTGGGTATCCTGCCTTAGCATGTTTTTGTTCTTTTACTGTATATGTGTTCATGCGTGTGTTTAAAATGTATATAAATGGCCTGGCGCAGTGGCTCACACCTGTAATTCCAGCACTTTGGGAGGCCAAGGCAGGCAGATCACCTGTCATCAGGAGTTTGAGACCAGCCTGGCCAACATGGTGAAACCTTGTCTCTACCAAAAAATACAAAATTTAGCCAGGCATGGTGGTGCATACCTGTAATTTCAGCTACTTGGGAGGCTGAGGCAGGAGAATTGCTTGAACCCGGGAGGTGGAGATTGCAGTGAGCTGAGCTTGTGCCACTGCACTCCAGCCTGGGCGACAGAGTGAGACCCTATCTCTAAATAAATAAATAAATAAATAAATAAATTTACATAAAGGACATATGACTTCATAGCATGTCTATCCTTTGTGCTGGCTCGTTTCCCCACCTTTGTAGTTCTGATATCTATCCATGCTGATATTGGCTGTTCATTCATTTTAGCTGTGAATAGTCTTCACTTCTGCATGAATCAGCGACAGTTTATCTGTTTCTCTGCTGACAGTATTAGATTATTTCCACTTTTTTCCTTACAAACAGTTCTACCCTGATTATTCTTGAATGTGTCTCCTTGTGTATACATGCACTTTTACAGGATTTTTTAGTTGGCAGAAATGAGCATCAGGCAGATGTGAGAACATCTTTGCTGAGCCCTCCTGGGCCAACCTTGGACCCAGCATGCCATTTGGGTTCATTCGCAGCCGGTGCTGTTCTGGCCTCAGTGGGCCTTCAGCTGCCCTCACAATCCTTGTATGCTTCTTTGGTTGGTTGGTTTGTGTTCTTAACTGGCCTGTTCCAAGCATTGTTTATTCCTCAAGGACCCCACACCACCCATGCTCCCCCTGCTCCTGCTCCCAGGAGATGACCTCAGCTCTTATTTTCCTGAGAAAAATGAAGTCAGATGATGAGAGCTCCGTTCATTCTTCTCTACTTCAAAATTTCTCAGCATTCCTACCCAGAGGAACAGCGAGCATGTTTTGCAAACCACAAATTCTTCATGGAATGCATGGAGGAATACATTTTTTAAAAAAGTTTCTGAGATCCCAAATTGGAACTTTGTCTTATCATGAGCTGCTTTATGTTCAAAGCCACTCATTGAAATCTCTCTGAACACAGCCGCCAGCTCTTCTAGTGTATTTCCTAATGTATGCAAACCGTAATCATTCTTCAGCCTCACTGAGACAGCAGTCTGTACACTCTCTCATTTCATGGGTTCACTCCTGCCTGTAGTCACATCCCTCCTTCCCATGTAATCTTCCCCACAGCTTGCACCCCAAACCTCCCTCTCAGAGCCCTCCCTTTTCCTGCCTCAATCTGCTGCATCACTATCGTCCTGGGAACGTCCCTTTATTTCTTCTGTATTCAATGCCCAGTCCCTGTTTTTCTCACTTTTAGTTTAGTGTTCTATTTTGTTGGCATACTTTCGTTCATCTTGTTTTACCTTATTTTGTTGGTATAGTTTTATTTTTTTTTGAGACAGAGTTTCGCCATTGCCCAGGCTGGAGTGCTGTGTTGCCATCTTGGCCCACTGCAGTCTCTGCCTCCCTGGCTCAAGCGATCCACCCGCCACAGCCACCCGAGTAGCTGGGACTACAGGCGCATGCCACCGCACCTGGTTAATTTTTGTTTTTTTTTGTAGAGACGGGGTTTTGCTAGTTGCCCAGGCTGGTCTCGAACTCCTGGCCTCAAGCGATTCGCCCACCTTGGCCTCCCAGAGTGCTGAGATTACAGGCATGAATCACTGCACCTGGCCCTCACCAGTAGCTTTCTAAGAACAAGTGTTTAGGACATACATTTTTTTTGAGCTTTGTGTGTGAGGAAATTACTTTTTTCTACCCTAACACTTGATTCGTACTTTAGCTGGATATAAATTATAGGTTGAAAAGTTTTCTTTTAAAACTTTGTTCAATATACATATAACATAAAGTTTATCATCCTAACCATTTTTAAGTGGTATTAATTGCTGCTGGTGGATTCACATTGTTGTGTAACCATCACCACCATCCATTTCCAGAACTCTTTTCATTTTGTGAAACTGAAACTATATATTCATTAAACAATTAAAAGTTAATTAAAATAGTTAACTCTCCATTCCCTGGCAGCACCATTCTACTGTCTGTCTCTATAAAGTTTGATGACTGTAGGTACCTTATGTAAGTGGAATCAGACAGCATTTGTGGAAAATTTTCTGATTATGTGTTGATTTCACATTTGTGAATGTCAGGTTTTTTAGCTTTGGAAGTTTTCATCCTTAAGTTTTTTTTTTTTGAGATGGTGTCTTGCTCCGTGTGTGTAAGTGGAGTGCAGTGTCACGATCTCAGCTTACTGCAACCTCCGCCTCCTGGGTTCAAGCAATTCTTCTGTCTCAACCTCCCAAGTAGCTGGGACTATAGGCGCCTGCCACCACACCCAGCTAATTTTTGTATTTTTAGTAGAGACAGGGTTTCACCTTGTTGGCCAGGCTGGTCTTGAACTCCTGACCTCAGGTGATCCACCTGCCTTGGCCTCCCAAAGTGCTGGGATTACAGGCATGAGTCACTGTGCCTGGCCCTGTTTGTTAGTTTTTTTGAGACAGGGTCTTGCTCTGTCACCCAGGCTGGAGTGCCGTGGCGCAATCATGGCTTATTGCAGCCTTGACCTCCTGGGCTCGGGTGATCCTCCTGCCTCAGCCTCCCAAGTAGCTGGGACTACAGGCACACACCACCATGCCTAGCTAATTTTTGTATTTTTTGTAAAGATGGGGTTTTACCATGTTGCCTAGGCTGGTCTAGAACACCTGGTCTCAAGTGATCCTCTTGCCTTGGCTTCCCACAGTGCTGGGATTACAGGCGTGAGCCACTGTGCCTGAGTGTTTTCACTCTTTGTTCTAGTATGGTGACTAGCTTTTAATTTTTACTGCTGATTAAGAAATAGGATAATCCCTATAAATGTATTTCACAGATTATAATAAATACCATTTATATACTGTGTAGTATATTTCTTAATAGTATTTAATAAATGTTAATTGTTGTCATTTTTAGTTTCATGAGTGTTTTCCTTGAATTCCAGCAACCACCTTAAACAAGAAGTATTATTCCCATTCTACAGCAGTGGATACTGAAGTTCAGAGCATCTGGGACTAGGTCAGGGCCAGCGGAAGGCTCTTTTAGGGAAGTGGCTACATTTCCTCAGGATGTTCTGATCATGGGTTAAGTGGGTGGTTTCTCACCACAGTTGGTATTGGTTGGTGACACTGCTTTGTTGTGAGATTGCAAGCCCAGTGGCATCATGATTTGAGAATTGCTACATTTTTGTTTTCCAAAAGTGTAATGCATAGATAGGTGTATTAGTTTGTTTTCACGCTGCTGATAAAGACATACTTGAGACTGGGAAGAAAAAGAGGTTTAATGAACTTAAACTTCCACATGGCTGGGGAGGCCTCACAATCATGATGGAAGGGAAGGAGGAGCAAGTCACGACTTACATGGATGGCAGCAGGCAAAAAGAGAGCTTGTGCAGGAAAACTCCCCCAATAGTAACCATCAGATCTCATGAGACTCATTCACAATCATGAGAACAGTGCAGGAAAGACCCACCGCCATAATTCAATCACCCCCCACTAGGTTCCTCCCATGACACGTGGGAATTGTGGGAGTTAAAATTCAGGATGAGATTTGGGTGGGGACACAGCCAGACCATATCATAGGATTGGTTGTTCTGGCATTTGTGTGGTGTCATTAGAAGAATAAAGTGCCCAGGAGGAGGGAATAGAGTGGATCTTACAAATCACCTGACCTGGAAATATGCACCAGTTGCTTCTAGTCAAATGATGATTACAGGATAAATAATAAGGGGAAAAGTTAATGGGAAAAAGATGAACAAATTTATTGCAGTGTTTCACCAACTTTCTGCTGTGAGCTTGTAAGTGGACTGTCAATTGCTAGGAATAGCTCTACAATTTAACTGATAAAGGAGAAGATCCTTCCACATTCCTAGGTGGACTATAAATAACAGAGTACAGCTGAAGAATGGAAAAAGAACAGGAGAGACACCCCAGGGAAAATGCTGGCTTTAAAATCACTCTGTTAAAGAAATAACGTGAATGCTACATCTGTTATGATATACCTTCTGGTCAACCTTTAAAGATAGGACAGATGCTTCTTCCTCACCATTGACAGAGTGGTTTTTCAGTTAGACTGGCAGGGCTTGTTAACAAACTGTCTACTAATGAGAAAACGGAAAGCTGTTGAGCTACCAAAAAGACTTTGGGAGTAGTTTTTAGAAATTTCTGACACACTCAGAGAATTTAAAAAATATTTCATTTTTGTCAAGAGAGTATTTTTCTCCTTGTTATGAAGACATAGATGTACAGGTTCTATTGAATATGGAATGAAGAACTGAACCTGAACTAATAATACCTTATTCTCATTTTGCTGTCATTTCATTAAAATAAAAGCCAAATTGTTATTTCAGTAGAAATATGCATCTGTCATTTAAAATTTTAAAAACGCAGATAAAAAGAAAATAAAAATCACCCATAATCCCTTTCATTTCGGATACTCTCTATTAAAATTTCATCTTTTAGTTGAAAAAAACCAGAGTAAATGCCAAGATTTCTTTAAAAAAGGGAAACTCACTAGTGTTTTGAGGTTTTAATTGACACCACAGGATTATTGCATAAGCAAACCACAGTCATTTCAAAATAGTTTGTCAGCTGGCTGCAATTGCTCACATCTGTAATCCCAGGACTTTGGGAGGTGAGGCAGGAGGATGGCTTCAGTTCAGGAGTTTGAGACCAGCATGGGGAATATAGGGAGACCCTGCCTCTACAGAAAATTTAAAAATTAGCCAAGCGTGGTGGCGTGTGCCTGTAGTTCTAGCTACTTGGGAGGACGAGGTGGGAGGATGACTTGAGCCCAGGGAAGTTGAGGTTTCAGTGAGCCATGATAGCACCACTGTACTCCAGCCTGGGTGACAGAATGAAAACTTGTCTTCAACAACAACAAACCAAACAAAACCAAAACCCCCAAATAGCTTATGTCATTGGTAAAAGCATGTATATTAATTTACATGTATTTTAAAAACAATCCCACATTATTCCACTTCATTTTAGAAGCTTTAATGCCACTACATTCTTCACCCAACCTTTGGTTATGTTTCTGAAGATTTTATTCACTTTTAAGAGTAGTTTCATTTAAGGTCAGGCGTGGTGGCTCATGCCTGTAATCCCAGCACTTTGGGTGGCTGAGGCGGGCTGATTATCTGAGGTCAGGAGTTCAAGACCAGCCTGGCCAACATGGCAAAACTCCATCTCTACTAAAAGTACAAAAATTAGCCGTGTGTGGTGGTACGTGCCTGTAATCCCAGCTACTAGGGAGGCTGAGGCACAAGAATCACTGGAACCCGGGAAGCAGAGGTTGCAGTGAGCCGAGATTGCACCACTGCACTCCAGCCTGGGTGACAGAACGAGACTCCTCAAAAAAAAAAAAAAAAAAAAAAAGAATAGTTTTATTTATTTTAGTACTAAACCCTGGCTTTGTTACATAATTGTGGTAACTTTTATTTGAAAAGAAAAAGTAAGGCCAGAAGGAGTACCCAGGAAAGCTCTTCTGGGCTGGAATTTACCTGGGCACAGCCGCTGTGTTCTCCTTAGAGGAGTCAAAACACAGTGATAGATTTCGGTTGCTAGAGACCCGGGAGACTCAATCTAGCCCTTAGCTAAATCTAGCCCTTAGCCCTCACTCCTCTTTCTTTCCTTTTTGTTTTTTTCTTTTTTTTTTGGAGACAAGGTCTTGCTTTGTCACCCAGGCTGGAGTGCAGCGGCATGAACACGACTCACTGCAGCCTTGACCTCCTGGCCTCAAGTGAGGTGGGAACCTCAGCCTCTGGAGTAGCTAGGACTACAGGTGTATGCCACTATGCCCAGCTAATTTTTTTGATTTTTTTGTTGAGATGAAGGCTGGTTTCGAAGTCCTGGTCTCAAGCAGTCCTCCTGCCTCTGGCTTCCTAAGTGCTGGGATTACAGGTATGAGCCACTGCACCTGGCCTTTGACTCTTTCTTCTGCCTTCCTTTTTCAAAGCCTTTCTAGCTTCTGAATTCAAATCCTGAGAAGTTCCTTGGAACTTTTCTTTTCTACTCTGTTCCAGTTTTTCATGGGTCCTATTTGGTAAGTAAATTCCTCCCTAGAAATGTCAGCAGTTTCTCACCAAAAACAATTGTGTTGGAAATGTCATCAATAAGTCTCTTCAATTATATCCTCATGGCCTCTGTAGCATGTTTTGACAAATAATTGTGCTATGACAGTATTTGGGTTAATAATCTAACACTTCGAATTGATTCAGTCTTCAAAGTTTGGTTTTACTTTTGATAGACATTTCTAGAAGCTCTAAGAAATTGTCAAGGAAGTAAAAAATTATGAATATATCTTTTGCCTTGTTTGATAATAAATTTTCATGGTTAAAAACAGAAACTTCTTAGACATCCAGCTATTTTAAGGTCTTAATTGGTTTTTTTTGGGTGCTATGTTATCTAATTTTTTTCTGACACCTTTGTTATTTATTTATTTTTATTTATTTACTTTTTAGAGGTAGTCTGTCTATGTTGCCCAGGCTTGCCTCAAACTTCTGGGTTTGAACAATCCTCCCACCTCAGACTCCTGGGTAGCTAGGACTATAGGCATGTGCCTGGTCTTTTCCTACATCTTTAATATACAATACAGTGAATTCCACATGCCGGTTGAGGACAGGAATACTTCTTGGTTCTCCAGTTAACAACTTGTCTTTATTGTTTTGTTTTTATTTTTAATGTAAATACAACAAATGATTCTTTCCCCTACATTTGATACCTTATATTTGATTAATATTCAATGAAATGGCCATTCTTTTTTTTTTTTAATTTCAGAGACATTCTATATATTTTTTTAAATTTCAACTTTTATTTTAGATACAGAGGGCACATGTGCAGGTTTGTAACATGGGTATATTGTAACCAGGTGGTGAGCATAGTACCCAATAGGTTGTTTTTCAACCCATGCTCCCTTCCCTCCCTTCACCCCTCTGGAAGTCTGCAGTGTCTTTTGTTCCCATGTTTATGTCTATGTGTTCTCAATGTTTAGCTCCCACTTTTAAGTGAAAACATATATTATTGGTTTTCTGTTCCTGTGTTAATTCGCTTAGGATTATGGCCTCCAGCTCCATCCATGTTGCTGCAAAGGCTATGATTTTATTCTTTTTTATGGCTTGTAGTATTCCATGGTGTGTATGCACTACCTTTTCTTTATCAAATCCACTGTTGATGGGAACCCAGGCTGAATCCATGTCTTTGTTATTGTGAGTAACCTGGCAATAAACTTATGAGTGCATGTGTCTTTTTGGTAGCATGATCTGTTTTCCTTTGGGTATATATGCAGTAATAGGATTGCTGGGTTGAATGTTAACTCTGTTTTAAGTTCTTTGAGACATCTGCAAACTGCTTTCCACAGTGGCTGCACTAATTTACTTTCCCACTGACAGTTTATAAGCGCTCTTTTCTCTGCAGCCTCACCAGCATCTGCTGTTTTTTGACTTTTAGTAGTAGCCATTCTGACTGGTGTGAGATGGTGTATCTTGGTGGTTTTGATTTGTATTTCTCTGATAATTAGTGATGATAAGCATTTTTTCATGTTAGTTGGCCACTTCTAAGTCTCCTTTTAAGAAGTGTCTATTCATGTCCTTTGCCCATTTTTTAATGGGGTTGTCTTTTGCTTGTTGATTTCTTTAAGATCCTTATAGATTCTGAATATTAGGCCTTTGTCAGTGCATAGTTTGCAAATGTTTTCTTCCATTCTGTAGGTTGTTTACTTTGTTGATAGTTTCTTTTGCTGCGCAGGAACTCTTTAATTAGATCCCATTTGTCAATTTTTGTTTTTTGTTGCTTTTGCTTTTGGAGACTTAGCCAAAAGTTCTTTGTCACGGCTTATGTTGAGAAGGGTATTTCCTAGGTTTTCTTCCAGGATTTTTATAGTTTGAGGTCTTACATTTAAATCTTTTATCTATGTTGAGTTAATTTTTGTTTATGGTGAAAGATAAGGAAGGATTCAGTTTCATTCTTCAGCATATGGCTATACAGTTATCCCAGCATCATTTATTGAATAGGGAGTCATTTCCCCATTGCTTACTTTTGTCAGTCTTGTTAATATCAGATGGTTGGAAATGTGCAGCTTTATTTCTGAGTTTTCTATTTTGTTCTATTGGTCTTTGTGTCTGTTTTTGTATCAGTACCATACTGTTTTGGTTACTGTAGCCATAGAGTATATTTTGAAATTGGGTAGTGTGATGGCTCTGGCTTTGTTCTTTTTTCTTAGGATTGCTTTGACTATTTGGGCTCTTTTTTGGTTTTATATGAATTTTAGAGTTGTTTTTTCTAATTCTGTGAAGAATGTTCATAGTTTGATAGCAATGGCATTGAATTTGTAAATTGCTTTGATAGTATGGTCATTTCAATGATATTGATGCTCCTAATCCATGGGCATGGAACGTTTTTCCCTTTATTTGTCTCATCTCTGATTTCTTTCAGCAGTGTTTTATAATTCTCCTTGAGATCTTTCACCTCTTTGGTTAGCTGTGTTCCTAGATATTTCATCATCTTTGTGGCTATTGTAAACGGGATTATGTTCTTGACTCTCAGCCTGGATGTTACTGGTGTATAGAAATGTTACTAATTTTTGTACATTGATTTTACATCCTGAAACCCTTCTAAAATCACATATCAGTTCTAGTAGCCTTTTGGCAGAGTCTTTAGGGTTTTCTAGGTATAGAATCATATCATCAGCAAAGAGAGATTGTTTGACCTCTTCTTTTCCTATTTGGATGCCTTTTATTTCTTTCTCTTGCCTGATTGCTCTGGCGGGGGCTTCCAGTGCTATGTTGAATAGGAGTGGTGAGAGTGGACATCCTTGTCTTGTTCTGACTCTCAGGGGGAATTGTTCCAGCTTTTGCCCGTTGAATATGATGTTGGCTGTGGGTTTTTTCATAGATGGCTCTTATTATTTTGAGGTATGTTCCTTCAATGCCTAGTCTGTTGAGGGTTTTTTTAAATCATAAAGGGAAATGTTGGATTATATAAAAAGTTTTTCTGTGTCTATTGAGATGACATATGGTTTTTGCTTTTAATTCTGTTTATGTGGTGAATCACATTTATTGATTTGCATATGTTAGAACCAACCTTGCATCCCAGGAATAAAGCCTAATTGATCGTGATGAATTAACTTTTTTATGTGCTGCTGGATTCAGTTTGCTAGTATTTTGTTGAGAATTTTTGCATCTATGTTCATCAGGGATATTGGCCTGAAGTTTTCTTTTTTAGTTGTGTCTTTGCCAAATTTTGGTATTAGGCTGATGCTGGCTTCATAGTATGAGTTAGGGAGGAGTCCCTCCTCCTTGATTTTTTGGAATTGTTTCAGTAGGATTTGTACCAGTTCCTCTTTACACTTCTGGTAGAATTCAGCTGTGAATCCATCTGGTCCAGAGCTTTTTTTGGTTGGTAGGTTTTAAAAAAAATTATTATTGGTTCAACTTCGGAGTTTGATATTGGTCTACTCAAGATTTCAATCTCTTCCCAATTCAATCTTGGGAAATTGTGTTTCCAGGAATTTATCCATTTCCTCTAGATTTTCTAAGTTGTGTGCATAGAGTTGTTGTAGTGGATCTTTTGTATTTCTGAGGGATCAGCTGTAATATCTTTGTCATTTCTGATTATACTGATTTGGATCTTCTCAGAGACATTCTTACCAAATTCAAGGTACTGTCCAAATAATGCTAATTCTAATAGGACTATTTTGCATGAAATGCTATTTTGTAAAAAGTACACTCTTGTCTTGTTGAGTTGCTATAACAAAATACCATAAAATGGGTAGTTTGTAAATGACAGAAATCTAATCCAAGATCAAGTCCAGAAGATTCAATGTCTGATGAGGGCCTGTTTCCTCATAGATGGCCATCCTCTCAGTCTATCCTCACATGGTAGAACGGGTAAGGAGTCTCTCTTGGGCCTCTTTTATAAGGGGACTAATCCCATTAATGAGGATCACCTCCCAAAGGCCCCACCTCCTAATACCGTGACATTGGGGATTAGATTTCAACATATGGACTTTGGGGGACGTAAGAACTCAGTCCACTGCAGCTCCTGACAGTCACATCCATCTCCAGCTTTAAGTGATGGGGCATGCAGTCTCCTTTGCTCTCAGAGTACCTTCTGTACTTATTAGAGGATTTTGCTTAATATTCTGTTCATTTATCATTCTCAGAGGATTGAATCTCTTGAGAGTGGCATCCAGCTTATATAATTATTTGTTGTGCAAATGAATGAAAACAAAAATAAATGACATATGGCAAACTCTCACTCACCTTAGGAGACACCATCATGTGTTGGTTTAGAGCATGAACTCTGAAGCCCAAACCACCTGGATTCAAGTCTTGGCTCCATCATTTATTACCTGTGTGTCCTTAGACAATTGTGAATCATACTGGTGCATCTAAGCTTTGTCTTTTCAAATGTGGAGATAACTGTAGTTCCTAACTCTTACCATTGTTATAAAGATTAAATGAGGTTGTATATACAAAGTGCTTGTAACAGTGCCTGTATACAGTAAGTACTGTATAATATTGCTATTATCCTTTTTTTTTTTAAATAGCGATGACATGGAATAGTGTGTGCCCTTAGAAAATTCATTCTGGAATTCAAATCTTAGGGTGCCAAAATGAAGAAGTGCTTTATCTCCACTTTGGGTTCAGGAGCCCCAGAGTATGGGAAGGGGTGGTGGAGGTCCTCAGTATATCGCAAAGCTGAGGATGTTTGTATCTTTGTCACTCATCAGGCTGCCAAGGCTCATGGTGAACTAATAAACAGCCTTTCTTTTTGGTTAGAATCTCTCAATTCCATATAGCAACTCTTTTACCTCAGGCTGGTTGTGATTCATCTTAATTTGGAGGATAAACAAATTAATCATTAATTAGTCAAGTTAATTTGGTAGCTGAAATCTTTAACAACAGTGATCCATGCAAGAGCTAATAAAAGGGATATGGATGATAAACAGAGGGGGCAGGCAGGATTGAAAGATTTTTGAACTAGCAGGGACTGTTTAATGATTCTTATTCTTTGTATTTTTTGAAGTGTTCTGTTTAATATTTAATATGATTGACCGTATCTAGCTGTTGGCCTCATACTTATCTTTTAGTTCCACGCCGCCCCCTCCCCCAGCATTTTATTATGCAAAATTTCTAGTATACAGCAAAGTTAAAGGAATTTAAAAGTGAATACCTATAGGGTCAACACATAGATTCTAACATTAATATTTTGCAATGCTTGCTTGATCACAAAGCTGTACAATTATCCATCCCTATGTACACCCCCAATCTACTTTATATTTTTATATGCTTGGTTAGGTTTATTATTTGATCATCCATATGGGAGAAGTCGGTGTTTTATACTTATCCTCCAGAAACTAATAGTGGTAAATAAATACATGAAGCAATGCTTTTAAAGAGGTATGAAGTAAAAACTGCTCTCACTGGAAGGATTCTTTAAGAATCAAGGTGGGGCGAGGGGAAGAAATGTGTAGGTGAAAAAATAAGCCTTTGGGAAAATAATTCAATATATTAGATAACTCATTAAAATATTCTTTTTGATATATTAGATTTTTAGTTTCACTTTGCAAGCTATGCAGGCTCAGCTCTTATTGTTTCCAGTAAATGGCAACATAACTGGGGCAGAAAAGGAACTAAGTTCAAAAAAAGTTTTAAAGAAAATCCTTGAAGGTTGAAGGCTAACAATCACATAACACTAATGCCTAAGATATCAGTTTGTGTCAACTTTCCTTCCTCTAGACAAGTTATTACATCGAATTGCCTGGCCTTCCTTTTCACCACTGGTATAGAATCCACAATGCTAGTTCTTCTGGAGTTCTGAAAGCAGCTCCAAAGGGCATGAATAAGTCATAGGGCAAAATCTTGATTATGATTCAAAAAGAAGGCATAGTTACTTTGTTCTTCATGAACCATGGAAGCACATAGTAGAAAGCCATACTTGTTTTGGAGGACAGTTTTTGGTTGCTGCTGTTTTCTGGCAATGCATGTTTACTAGAAACAGAGCTGCAAAGTTACTAATGAACATTTATCCATTTCACTTTCAGTTCACTTCTTCAACTGAGATGGACATGATATAATCTCCATTGAGTCAAAGAATGGCATCTAGTCCTGAGCTTCCCACCGAAGATGAACAGGGTTCCTGGGGCATCGACGATCTCCATATTTCATTGCAAGGTAATTAAGATTGGGTGGGGGTAACACCCACAGAAACTGGGGAAACCTTACTTTTATCTAGTTGCAAGTCACACTGATTTTCGTCTCTCTTATGGAGATAAATATATCTGTATTTTTCCAACTGTAGAAACCTTTTAATATATTTAAATGTCTTTATTTCTGCCTTAGCTCTCTGGGAAAGTAAGGAATACCTGCAAGGAATTTGCTATCTCCAGTTTCTTACTGAGTGTATGCATTTTATTTGCAGTGAAAATTAAATAGTAAACTGTAGTTTGCTTGGCATTGTTTTTACTTCTTATCTTTTTGTGTAGCTTCTTTTAAATGCACATCCTTGCCAGGCACGGTGGCTCATGCCTGTAATCCCAGCACTATGGGAGGCCGAGGCGGGCGGATCACCCAAGGTCAGGAGTTCGAGACCAGCCTGACCAACATGGGGAAACCCTGTCTCTACTAAAAATACAAAATTAGCCAGGTGTTGTGGCACATGTCTGTAATCCCAGCTACTTGGGAGGCTGAAGCAGGAGAATTGTTTGAACCCGGGAGGCGGAGGTTGCAGTGAGCTGAGATTGTGCCATTGCATTCCAGCCTGGGCAACAAGAGCGAAACTCCATCTCAAATAAATGAATGAATGAATGCACATCCTTATTTTGTCCTGATAGGAAGAGAGGTAATATTATAAATGAATGACCTTTCAGTCATGTGAATCATGTGTGCATGTATATAAGTGCTGTCATTTTTTTAAAAGTGCTTCTTGTGGAGTTTGGCAATATTTTTGTTGTATTTTGAAAATTCACTAGCCACTAGACCTTCTACCTTTGTTGATAAAGCAAATTTTGGAGTTGAGTAAAGTAAGCTAGTATAAAAGAAATAAGGCTATAGCAGGCCTTTGAAAATATTTATGGAACTATGTGTTTTAAAGTAACTTTAAGATTATGGGCAGTATTATGCAGCATTTTTAGAATGTTACTCAAAGTCATAGATTCTGAGTCATTTATGGTAAAGATGCCAAAATTACTTTTTTTCTGATATTTTCCTTTAAATTAAAGATCTGTTTTGATGCCATATTGAGTGATTTGGCAAAATAAAATCTGTTTTGAATGATTTGCTTCTATATTTTGAGCTGAGATGGAAATCAATAGCTGTTAGAATAGACAGTATCTGTATATATCAGCCTTTTCAAAGTAATTATTGTATACTTTGTGTAGAGTAAGAAACATTTAAATTGTTGAGAGGTTATACTTGAGGTAAGAATTTTTAAAATTTTCAGTAAGGACTTAAAAATAATGTCTGAATATTCAGATGTAGATGGAATCAAGCTTTCATTTAACTGGAAAAAAATTATTGTTTTTCTATGATGTTTTGGTTGCATGTAACGTTTTGGCTGCAATAAGTAGGTAAATCAGATTTGTAATGCTGGCTCTGCCAGTCACTGATTCTTTGAACTTGGAGGAGAGATTTCATCTTTTGAGTCTCAGTTTCCTTATTTGTAAAATGTGAATCAGAGTTCCCACACTGCAGCTGCATTTTGAAGATGAACAGTAAGGGAGACAAAGGGGCTTAGCACAGTGCCTAACACAGACTAGGGACTCAGTATGTACATCACACTTTCTTTTTCTAGGTTTATGGCCAAAATCTTACTCTCAAAGTATTTCTTGTCCAAGAGCACATGGCTGGAGTAGAAACTTCATGATCTATAGGAAAAAATTGTAAACCAGATGTCTGGTTTTTTTCTGCTTTTTCTTTTGTTTGTTTTGTTTTAACATTTCTGTTCAATGGCTCCCTATCACATGTGGGATGAAGTCCAGACTTCTTGGCGTGGTTCAGGCTTTTACTGGTCCAGTGCTTGCCTTTCTCTCTGCTCTTATCTCCCACCATGCCCCATAAGCACTCTGTGCTCCAACCCCATGGTTCCTTAAGGGGCCATATTCTCCCTGGTCCGCCAGCCTGTGTGCTTTCATTCAGATTGTTTCCCTTGTAGCTCCCCCGGCCCCTCCTCCAGCAGCAGAAGTCATCCTCTCATCCATCCTTCATACATCCTTTATCCATCCCCAGGACGATTAGAATCAGTTTCCTGTGAGCTCTGCTCTCTCTTAGGCTGAGATAACGTGCTCCCTCCTCTGTTCTCCCGTAGTATCTCTTTGAGCACTTGGTAGTATTATTATTATTATACATATCAAGTAATATTTTCTTCCCCACAGCAGGGGACATTTTGACTTTTATGTAGCATGCTGTAACTTATGTAGCACTTTTGCATACATTATCTCATTTGATCCTCACAACCACATGATGAAGTAGATTTAAAAAAAATCTTTGACAATTGAGAAAGAGGCTGCAGCTCAGAAAGAATGAATTACTTGCCCAGAGTCCCGCAGCTAGTGAGCAGTGGAGCTGTGTTTTGACTAGGACAGTTTTCTTTGTATTGTACCATACCCTCTTTGTTACACTTCAAAGAACAGTTTGAAAGAGGGAGTTTCCTTAACAACTTTCACTGGAAAATTCATTAAATCTTAGCCTTAACCTATTCAATCCATAGCAAGTTTTCACATCCAGAATATGGAGGGCATCTTTAAGTAATATTAGTGATCTCAGGCTTATAAGTAGCTCAAAATAATTAGCAAATTACTGAGAAATGAGTGGTTTCTTATAGCATGTTTTGAATTATCGTAGGTTATACAATCTGTTTTACAATTGGAGAGTAGTATGGACTGTTTTGCAATGTAAATGTGATATACGTGCACTGGTCAGTCTGAATGATTTCCTTTAATGATGTATTTAGAGGAATCGTGGTGCTGGACACACTGCTGTCTTAGGGGGACTGGTAGAAAGCCAATACTATAATGTCAAGGTGACGCTGGGCAGTCTGTTCACATTAGCCAGGTACCCTCAAGAGATACCAACCAAGAAGTTCCCATACCTATAAGATGAAGGCTTTACGGCGAAATGAATAGATTTCCCAAAGTTAAGCTCCATATTGTTATCAGTGAATTTGTAATGATTCTTTCAGCCTAAGTTGTTGAAGGAAAGAAGGAAAGGAGGGAGGAAGGAAGAAAAGAAGGCAGACACTTGTATATATTTCTAAAGGCACCTTTGCTTTCATAGCAGGATTATTAGCTATTTGAGAAAAAAAAAAGATGGACAATATTATCTGCATGAAGTACTACTGAACCAAAGGCTGTTGGTGGTAGTCTTAAAGGCACTTGGCATTGTACACACAGCAAGCAGACTCGTATTTCACAGAATTCACATGTGCTTAATGATCCCTGGGGTAATATGAGAAAGAGATTTCATGTAATATAAGAGGCTCAGGATCCCTGCTCATAAGAAAGTTTTTATTTTTCTTTGTTTCAGAACCTTTTTTTAGAGGCAGATAGAGACAGTAGAATGGCCTAATTAACTTATAAAGCCTGCTTTATTTTAGCAAAAACTTAATCTAAGGTGAGACAATTGTGGCAACACCCTGACTCAGAATAACACACGCAAGAAAAGATTAAAATGTCTCAGTTGAAATGTAGTGCTTCATCATTAATATGCTATGAAAGCATATAGCCCGTATGTACAGGGCCTAAAAGGAATCAGCCCTGAAGATCAGGCAGTGCTTTGCCGAAATTCATAGAGCAGGACGATAAGCAAGTGACTTTATCTTTCTTTTCATTGATTTTTTTGTGTGCTCTTTGAGAAAATATCTTTGTAAAGCCAATTTGAGGGTACCCTCCCTCTTTTTTTTGAGAGAGGGTCTTGCTCTGTCACCCAGGCTGGAGTGCAGTGGCATGAACACGACTCACTGCAGCCTCAAACTCCTGGGCTCAAGTGATCTTCCCACCTCGGCCTCCCAAGTAGCTGGTACTACAGGTGCACATCACTGCGCCTGGCTAACGTTTTTATTTTTTGTAGAGATGGGAGTCTTGCTATGATACCCAGGCTGGTTTTGAACTCCTGGACTCAAGTGATCCTCCTACCTCAGCCTCCCAAAGTGCTGGGATTACAGGCGTAAGCCACCATACCTGGCCCTGAGAGTACCCTTTATGGGTAGATATTTATGTTTTCTGCATTTAGTGAAGAGGATGGTGTTGGACTGTTTGAATGGTTAGGAAGAGAAAGGAATGGTATTTATGAATTTGAGTGGGTTTCTATAAAACTGGAATTCATTTTAGTTTAGTGCATTCTATATTACTCTGGGCAGTACACATTTTATTTATTCATATATATATGTATTTTTTTCTTTTTCTTTTTCTTTCTTTCTTTTTTTTTTTTCTGAGACAGAATCTTGCTCTGTCACCCGGGCTGGAGTGCAGTGGTGTGACCTCGGTTCACTGCAACCTCCGCCTCCAGAGTTCAAGTGATTCTCCTGCCTTAGCCTCCTGAGTGGCTGGGATTACAGGTGCCTGCCACCACGTCTGGCTAATTTTTGTATTTTTAGTAGAGAGGGGATTTCACCATGTTGGCCAGGTTGGTCTCTAACTCCTGACCTCAAGTGATTTGCCTGCCTTGGCTCCCAAAGTGCTGGGATTATAGGCGTGAGCCACAACACCTGGCCAGCAGTCCATATTTTAAATGATTTTGCGATATGGAAATTCAGGCTATTAAAATGATAATAAATGGCTGTTTAAAATTTTTTAAATTTAATTTAATTTTAAATTTTTAAAATTAAAAAAATATATACGGGGGAAGTCTTGCTATTTTGCCCAGGCTGGTCTTGAACTCCTGGCCTCGAGCTATCCTCCCACCTTTGCCTCCCAGAGTGCTGGGATTACAGGCATGAGCCACTGTGCCTGGCCATAAATGGCTTCTTTAAAAATTATTTGCTTTACCAAAATGCCCATTATAGAATTCCTTTAATTCTTTCCATTTGGATTTCTTCCTTGGCAAAGTAATAGGTGCTTCCTTTTATTTGATCCTAAAAAAATAATAACCACATACTTTGTCAGAAACAACATCTGTGCTGAGCCCTTCGGGTGGGAAAGGTGTGCCCAGGGAACACTTTTTTGAAGTATTGGATAGATATGATTATGAAAGCAGTAGGGGTAATGTTGGATAAGTATCACAGGACTTTAAAGTTAAATGGGATTTTCTTTGCAATTCAGTGTAATTTGAGACCAAAGTAGGAATCCCTTCCGAAGTATTTCTGAGATTAAGATCCTTCATGGAGTTGAATTGAAACCCAAGGGTTTGGGGTTTTTGCTTTTAGGCAGTGCCTACCTATTGTGTCTTAAGAGTGACAGTTACATGGTCACATGTCAGGGTTGTGCCTTAAGGGATTAATCTGGCTTTGAGGTACAGGAAGGCTGGAAAAGGGTGGAAAGTAGTTGGAGAAACCTATTAGGAAGTATTAGCAAATATCTGGGTGTTGGGTACTGTTTGCCTGGGCCTGGGTTATAGCAGTGAGTGTGAAAGTATGGACAGATAAGAAAATCTTTAAGGTGGGAGACACTAGGAATTTGCAACTGTAAATATGGGTAAGGTAGAAAGGCTCCAAGGTTTTGAAGTTGAGCTGCTTGGGAAAATAGTAGTAGCATATTTAATGCCCACATTACTAACTTTATTTAGTGTGTTTTGTTTTGTTTTGTTTTGAAACAGAAGTCTTGCTCAGTTGCCCAGGCTGGAGTGCAGTGGTGCGATCTTGGCCCACTGCAGCCTCCACCTCCTGGGTTCAAGCAGTTCTTGTGTCTTAGCCACCTGAGTAGCTGGGATTACAGGCATGTGCCACCACGCCAAGCTATTTTTTACATTTTTAGTAGAGATGGGGTTTTGCCATGTTGCCCAGGCTTGTCTCAAAACTCCTGGGCTCCATAGATCCTCCCACCTTGGCCTTCCAAAGTGCTGGGATTACTGGCATGAGCCACTGTGCCTGGCCTATTTAGTGTGTTTTTATGAGGCAAGATAGCATCAAATATGAAGGCCATTAAATATTATTTATATCAATGTGCTTAAAATAAATTTTTATAGATAAAAGGTACTTTACAAAGAAACTCTTGAGAACTTCTCAGGTATAGAAAGATTAAAAGCATGATGCAGGTGGAGGATCTATTTGAAAGTCATAGTAACAAGCGAAATTGGCTGTGTAGGTGGACTCATCTTGAGAAATTTTAAATGGCAACTGTAGGCAATTTTGAACTGTTTTGGATACTTTATTTTAGATTTAAGTTATTTTTTAACAAGTAAGTATAACTTGTTGGTCATAAAGGACATATGAATTTCTGTAACAGGAGCAATTTACTTGGCTTTCAAAAACAACATAGGCCAATGCTCTAGAAAAACAGCATCCAGATACAGAATATTATCATTAATTAGGCACTGAACTAGGAATGAGTGTGGATTCTATTACCTTTGCCACCACACAGGAGTTAACTTGCAAGCAGTCCTACCAAGATGCTGATGAATGCTTAACCATCTGCACGAACCTCTATAAAATCATTCAGCCCAGTTACTGTGTCATTTCAAACAAGGCTCATATGTTTTATTTAATGCTGTTATTGTCTAGATGACATATTTTAAAAGATTAAAAAACCCTCTGTGTCTTCTCGGTAGGTATCCTTACTTCGTAGGGTTCAGTAGTGAAACGTGAGTCTCTGTAGTTAGGTTATTACTCCATTTAAATTTATTTATTATATACTGAGTATCCATCTGAAGGGAGGCTTTCAGTTTTTGTATTATTTTTAGAAGCATTAAAAATTATCCAAGCTTAGTGGGTTAGGTTACAAACATCGTAATGGAGATGCAATGTTTAATTTTATTCATTTACTCTGTAAATGGTGAACCCCAATCATGCACAGTGGTCTAGGTGTTAGGAGTACAAAGAAATAAATTGGGCACCTTCAAGAAGCATGTAGTCTAGATGTGCTTTTGCTTGTTGATGTCATGTGGAAGTGAAAAAATAGCCTGGGCCGCAAATATAATCATTCTTAGGAGATGAGTTGAAGTCTTTAACTTTAAAGGGTTATGTTTCTAATTGTGGTATCCATTGTACAAATTCAACCAAAATATGACCAAAAATGTTGTCTGGAATATCTTTTTATGTTTCATTTTTATGGAGGTGAAGAATAAAAAACGTACTGTATATAGCATTATTTGCAATGTGAGTTATAAATTCCTCTCACTGTAAAAATGAAACAGTTTGGTCAGAACTTCACTGGAGATTGTTGTCTTCTTACTGTTCTTACTCTTGAATTTCTTCTCATCTTTGGATATCACTTCCTGCAATAATCTTTCGGAGTTCCTCGAAGTATGTTGTAGGTACATATGATATTCCTGAGTTGTTATTGCCAATCAAGTTTCTGAATATTTTAGGTTTTCAATAAACAATTTTATTATGAGTGAGTGGCCATTTTCTATATTAAAAAAAGTTCTATGAAGTACCCCAAATTAGAAGAACTTTTGAATGTTCATGAAAATTGTCAGATAGGATGGAAACATGATTTCTTTAGGCTTCAGGCAGTGAAGTGTGTCTATGATGTTTAGGGGCTCAATAGTGCTTTCGTATTCTGTTTATGAGAGAAGACTCTGTTCTACCTTATAACTGTGAGTGAATGAAGCCATGTGAAGTCTTAGGAAGAGGAACACTATTAATAAAAGCTTCTCGGCTGGTGCAGTGGCTCACACCTGTAATCCCAGCACTTTGGGAGGCTGAAATGGGAGTACTGCTTGAGCCCAGGAGTTTGAGACCAGCCTGGGCAATGTAGTGAGACCCCTCTGGCTCCACAAAAAATAAAAAAAAAATTAGCTGGGCATGGCAACATTCCCCTGTACGTCCAGCTGCTTGGGAGGCTGAGGTGGGAGGACCTCTTGAGCCCAAGAGTTGAGCCTGCAGTAAGCTATGATCGTACCACTGTGCTCTAGGCTGGATGACAGAGTGAGACCCTGTCTTTAAAATAAATAATTAATTAATTTTTTAATAAAGGCTTCTGGGTGGAATTTCTACCCTTTTGTAGTAAAGTCCCCAGTGTGGGATTTTGAGGTTAATGATTAATGAAGAGTAAGAAAAGACATGTATTAGCAGGTAATATTTTTGCTTCTCTAACCAATTCAGATTACTCAGTTATGATAAATAAAAGCAAATTATCTTTGGCTGGTTAGATGCTTATTACACCAGAGAAAGCAATCAAGCTATAGTCCCTCACTGGCTATCAGTGTTTTACTATAACAATACAAAAGCTTCTAGAAAGTTCCTGTGATAGTAACTGATATTGTCTTTTGCTGTGTTTTCTTGGAAGTTTGTTTGCTTTGATATTAAGCTTTATAATCTTTTTATTTATTTATTTTTTTTGAGACGGAATTTCACTCTTATTGCCCAGGCTGGAGTGCAATGGCACAATCTTGGCTCACTGCAACCTCTGCCTCCCAGGTTCAAGTGATTCTCCTGCCTCAGACTCCCGAGTAGTTGGGATTACAGGCATGAGCCACCATACCCAGCTAATTTTGTATTTTTAGTAGAGACGGGGTTTCTCCATGTTGGTCAGGCTGGTCTCTAACCCCCAACCTCAGGTGATCTGCCTGCCTTGGCCTCCCAAAGTGCTGGGATTACAGGCATGAGTCACCGCACCTGGCCTCAAGCTTTATAATCTTAAAAATATTCTAATTAAATGAAAAATAAAATAAGAGCTTTTGTGGTATTTGCACTGCAAAGTGTTTTTCAAATTTTTTTTTTTTTTAGCTTTTATATACAGTTTTGGCTTCTGGGAACTTTGGTTCTGTTTTTGCCAGGAATTTGGGGATAAGCTTACTTTATTCTGGGTCAGTTACATTTTGAAAACTAGGGCAAGATAAATCCAGGGTCATTTAGAGTCTTGTTAAAGTGGGTTAACAAAGATCTCATTCATTCCTTATAGAAATAAAAATCCTTTTTAATTAGCCCCATGAGATACAAGATTTTCTGAGCTTTTCTGTATCCATGTATGTCGGGTGGGGGTGTAATTATTCAGAGCTTGAAGTAGTACATTAGAAAAACAAAACTTAAAATAACATCACCTTTAAGATAGAAAAACTAAGAAGTTAATATAGTATGTTAAATTGTAACCATTTGCTGGATTTAGTGTATGGTTTAACACTCTGAATTGGAGGTCATTCTAAATGTGCCTGTTCAAAACATTATTTCCCTTATCTAATTTCAACATTGGTGATTATAGTTTCCTGGAGTAACTCCCATTTTTCTAAATAATTCAGGGAATTTTGGTAAAAGGTAACTGCATTTCTGTTTCTCAATATGTATGAGAGCCACAGTTTACTACCACCAGGTATTTTTATAATCATTTAAAAGTGGCGGATAAAAGGATATGAATGATTTATCAGAGATGGAATGTCTGAAGTTCTGAATATGTGTCTCTTTGGGAGAGAGACGTCAGATGCCGGATGAATAATTTACTGTCGTTGAAGGTCTGTGCGGTGATGCATGTTGGGCGAGCATGGGAGGGAAAAGGCAGAAAGAGTAGCCACGCGCTTTTGCTGCTGTCTTGTCGGGTGGAGCAGCATTCACTGGTCGGGCACTGGATTTTTCCATCTTTACTGCACAGGGGATTTCATCAGTGGTGTTGTGTTTTCCATCTTTACTGCACAATTTCATCAGTGGTGTCGTGTTATAAGGTAAAGGGCACCTGGCTCAAAGGTGGAGCACAAAGAGCCCTTCTCAAATTTGAGAAACACTTAATATCTTTCCAAAACATTGGAATCGTTTGCCTTTTCTTCAGTTAAATAGGATTTTTCATAGTGGGAACTAGGTTTGCTGTATATCTCCGTCTGCCTCCATCTGAATGCTTTGTCGGCAAACTTCCAGGGGGTTTTGATGTCTTCAAAATAGCATATTTCAAAAGTCCAGGTGAATTCACATTTCCCACTTCATCACATAATTATAATTTTTATGAGCACAGGTAAAACTGCTCTCTGATTCATTCATGCAGCAAATGTTTCCTGTGACCCTACCTTGTATCAGGCACTATTTTGGGTAAGAGAATATTGAGGTAAATAACTTCAATAAGCTTCATGTGCCCATGGTGCTTATATTTAAGCCAGACTAGATTATAATCAAGAAGTACATCAGCGTATGGTAAAGGCTGTGCAGAAGATTTAAGTGAGTTTATATCATAGAGCTTGGGTGACTTCTTTAGATCAGAGAAGGCCTCTTTGAGAAGGGACAGTTTAGGAGCGATCGAATAACAAGGAACTGCCTGCAAAGTGCAGCATGGAAGCGGGTCCAATCTGAGGTAGCAGGGCAAAGAAAAGCTCTAGGATAGAAGCAAGGTTGTTGAATTCATGGAGCCAAAGAAGTCTAGTGTGGCTGGATTGTGGTGGGCAAGGGGTGGCCTGACCTGGTGGTGGACTGAATGAGATCACCTTTGGAGCGTGTAGCAAGAGCAGACCTTTGGGTCTTTCCGTGTTTAGAGGTCAAGTGGAAGAGGAGGAACAAGGAAAGGACACTGAGAAGGAGTAGCCAGTGACAAGGAAGGAAAAGCAGGTGAACGCAATGGCATGGAAACCCCTAGATGAACGTGTTTCAGGAAGGTGGTATGGTAAAGCATAATAAATGCCACACAGCAGTCAAGTAAGGTCAGTACAGAGAGGAGCCCACTGGATTGCGCTCCTAAGATTTGTTGTGATGGCTCTGACAAGCTTAGCCACTGTCAAGAGGTGGAAATGGAAGCCTGACTCTGCATTGAGGAGAGAATAGGAGAACGAGGAAGTGGAGAGAGTCACTTGATTTATACTTTCAAGAAACTTTGCTGTAAAACAGAGATATCAGGCACATGATAAAAGGTAAGTTTTTTTTTTTTTTTTTTTAAGGTAAGAGGTACTATTTCATTTCTTGTTACGCTTTTCTTAGGTATAGGTCGGTTTACTCTGAAAGCCCCATTCATTTATTTGTTCATTCATTATTCAACAAATATTTTTGAACACTTACTGTGTATAAGGACTGTGCTGAGCACACGGGTTAGTACATGGCACATCCTCTTCTAAAATGTATCCTCTGATTACAGAGATACACACAAGCGCGTAAACTATCACAGTATCATGGGGTATGTGCTCCAAGTGAGGCAAGACTTGGTACTACGGAAGTATGGAGTGGGAGTACCTAACCCAGACCTGAGGAAGGCTCCCCAGAGAAAATGATTCCTAAGCTGTTACCTAAAAGATGGTAGCACATGAGCAGTGTGAAGATGAGAAGATGCTGCGGGCAGGAGAGGCCAGAAGATGAGCTGAATGTGGTACATTCAACGAAATGGATGTTCAGTGAGACTGAGGATTTAAAGGAGAATTAAAATTTGAAGGAGAATGTGAAGAGATGAGGGGTCATATAAACATATAGGGGTCTGGAATTTTTCCTAAGACCAAGCAGAAGCAATGGAGAGATTGTGAGCAGTCACAAAACTTGTTTTAGAAATTCCCCCAGGCTTCAGTGTGGCGTCTAGTCTTTAAGGGAGTGAGGGTGGAGGCAGAAAGACCAGCATAAGTCTGTTAGGGTGGTCCACCCGAGAAAGAATGGTGTCCTGATGTAGAGGTGGCCGTGGAGATGGAGAGAAATAGGTGTTCAAGAGATATCATCTAATTGGTATCAGGGCTTTTTGATTGACTTGGTATGGGAGAAGGAGAGGGAAGGATGTATCAAAGATGATAGGTTTTGGCCGGGTATGGTGGCTCATGCCTGTAATTCCAGCACTTTGGGAGGCAGAGGCGGGTGGATCACTTGAGGCCAGGAGTTCGAGACCAGCCTGGCCAACATGGCAAAACCCTGTCTCTACTAAAAAATACAAAAATTAGCTGGGCGTGTTGGCATGCACCTGTAATCTCAGCTACTCTGGAGGCCGAGACAGGAGAATAGCTTGAACCTGGGAGGTGGAAGCTGCAGTGAGCTGAGATCATGCCATTGCATACCAGCCTGGGGGACAGAGCGAGACTCTGTCTCAAAAATAAATAAATAGAAAAAATGATAGATTTATTCTTGGGCAAATCAGTAGATGATAGAACCATTTACTGAAAAAAAAAAAGTGCAGGAGAACAACTTTGGTTGGGAAGGGAGTTGGTTAGACATGATGACTCAGTTCTGGAAATGTTGAGTTCGAGATGTCTATGGAATAACCACATGGAAATATCCAGACAACAATGGGATATATAGGAGAGATGACAACTGGGCTGAAGGTAAATACTTGGGAGTCCTTAGTGTGTAAATGGCAATTTGTTCCATTGGAGTAGATGAAAATATCTAGAAAAAGAGAAGGGTCTAGGCAGAACATCACACAGATAGAAAAAGCAACACAAGCCCGTAGCAGAGCTTGAGAAGGGATGTCCAGAGAAGTAGGAAGAGACCCAACTGAGTGTGGTATCATGGACCCCAGAGAAGGAGAGTATTTAAAAAAGGAGAGGGTAGGAAACAGTGTCAGAAGTTTTAAGATATCCTATAAGTACCAAGAAGTATCCATTAGGTTCAACAATGGAAATACGTAAGTGGCCTAGGTGAGAATTAGGTAGTGTTTGGGGCAGCCCGAAATATATAAGTGGCCTAGGTGAGAATTAGGTAGTGTTTGGGGCAGCCCAGTTTATAGTGGGTTGAGACATGAGTGGTAGGTAAGGAAGTAAAAATAGCCAGTGTAGACAACTCTTTCAAGAAGTTTGGATTTGAAGGGGAGGTGAGAGATAGGGTAGTAGCCATGGATTTGGCATTTCAGCTGATTTTGAACTATAATGAAAAGAACATGGATTTTGAATCAGACACATCTGGATTTGAATTTCTCCTCCACCAGATGTGAGATCCAGAGCATATTATCCAAGACATAGTAGGCTTTCAATAGATGTTTTGTTTTATTTTATTTTTTGAGACAGGGTCTCACTTTGTCTTCCAGGCTAGAGTACAGTGGCACGATCACGGCTCACTGTGGCCTTGACCTCCCAGGTTCAGGTGCTTCTCCTACCTCAGTCTCTTGAATAGTTGGGACTATAGCTGTGCGCCACCATGCCTGGCTAAATTTTTGTGCTCTTTTTAGAGACAGGGTCTCACCTGGTTGCCCAGGCTGGTATCGAACTCCTGGGCTCAAGTGAACCTCCCACCTCAGCCTCCCAAAGTGCTGAGATTACAGGCACAAGCCCCCAGACCCAGCTTAGATGTTTTATTGAATGAGCAAATAAAATATCCTCCATCTTCTGGGAGGAAGTTTTCTCGTTTATAAAATGCTTACCTGACTACTTTATTGGTAGCCCTTAATGAAATAGTGTCATAGTTCCTTACCTGTGACATTCCACTTATTCCCGGGCCTGACTTGCTTCAGCAAGCCGTCTGAGCCCCTCCAAGTGTTTCTTAAGATAGCCATGTGTTAGGGCTAGGTGCAGTGGCTCACGTGTATAATCCTAGCACTGTGGGAGGATAGCTTGAGCTCAGGAGTTTGAGACTAGCCTGGGCAACATGGCAAGACCCCATCTCTATAAAAAATACTCATGTGTTATAATATTTATTTTGAGATATATTAATATCTCAGAGTTTATCATTTCATCGCTATTTTTTGCCAGGCCCTTCTTATTCCCTGTTGTTTCAAGAGTAAGTCATACATGTAAATTGTCCGATCTATTTAGACAAGTATTTCACAAAGTGAGATATGTGAAGCCCTGAATCAGAATCTCTGGGAGTTGGGATCCAGAAACCTGCACTTAAACAATAACCCTGAGTAATTTGCTGGCATTCCAAAATGTAAGAACCCTGGATTTATAATCACAGCACAGCTCTGTTTAGTGCAGTCTGGTTCTTTTGCACTCAGAAGTCAGAGGTGCTTGGACTGCTGCCCCAGTAGAAAGTGTTCAGGCTCACATACCTTGATTTTTCAAAAGAAAAGTGTTCAGTTTTATGTGGTAGTTAAAAGGTAGCAAGGAGTAACAAATATGTGTTAAAATAAATGTAGTCATTTCTTTATTTCTTCATTCCGTAGATATTTATTGAGCAACTTAGATGAATCAGAAGAGTGTGAGAAGGAGGAGAGACAAATAGCACCCAACTTCTAGACTTTTATCAGTATTGTGGGCTTATTTTCATGTGCTAAAAATACAAGACTTGCTTACGCAGAGAGCCGGGAGCTATGTTCCAGTGAGGGTGGAAACAAAAGCCTCAGTATAAGACTGTCAGGTGTTTACACAAGGGTGTGGTTTGCTCATGTGGCAACACGAGGTTGCTGGACTCCACATGCTGAGGCTCAAAGTAGAAATCACTGATCTTATGTCACATATTTTCCCAACAAACTAAGTACTTAAATCTGTATGTTGATTGAGGAAAAATAACAAACTCCTGCTCCCTCCTTCCCTAGCCATTTAATCATTAATTCAATAAATGTTTTCTAAATTCCTATAGCATGAAAGCTCTGGGGTAGGTGCTGCAGGCAAAATGAGGAGCAAACTCAGACATGGGTCATGTACTGTTGGAGCCCATAAGCTAATGAGGAGGCAGAAGTTGATCAAATAATCTTATAGATATTAGCTAATATTTTATTAAGCTTTATTAAGATATAATTTGACATCAAATTCACATACAATGCAATTCACCCATTTAAAGCATATGATTTAGTAGTTTTCAGTATACTCACAGAGTTGAGCAGTCATCACATTGGATTTTAGAACTTTTTTTTTTTTTTGAGACAGTGTCTCACTGTCACCCAGGCTGGAGTGCAGTGGTGCCATTTCAGCTCACTGCAATCTCTGCCTCCTGGGCTCAAGCAATCCTTTCACTTCAGCTTCCTGAGTAGCCGGGACTACAGGTGTGTGCCACCACACCTGGTTAATTTTTTGTTTTTTTTTATTTTTGTAGAGACACGGTTTCACCATGTTGTCCAGGCTGGTCTTGAACTCCTGGGCTCAAGCAATCCACTCACCTCAGCCTCCCAAATGTTGGGATTACAGGCATCAGCCACTGTGCCTGGTCAAAAAAAGTATTCTTTTCCTACTGACTTTTCTTGGCATGCCTGTCAGAAATCAATTGCCCATAAGTGGAAGAATTTACTTCTAGATTTTCAGTGCTATTCCATTCTTCTATTATATAGATCAACCCATGTGCCAATATTGCACTATCTTGATTACTGTAGCTTTTAGTAAATTTTGAAATTCGAATTGTGTGTCTTCCAACTTAATTCTTTTCAACATTGCTTTAGCTATCCTGAGTCACTTGCATTTCCATATGAATTTTAGGATTAGCTTGTCCAATTCTGAAAAAAAAAATGGCAGCTAAGATTTGATAGGAATTGCATTGAGTCTGTAGATCAAGTTGGAAAGTATTGCCATCTTAACAATATTAAGTATTCTAGTCCATGAATATAGGCTATCTTTATATTTACCTAGATCTTTAAATTTCTTTCAACAATGTTTTGTAGTTTTCATTGAATAAGTCTTGCAGTTCTTTTGTTAAATCTATTGGTAAGTAGTTTATTTGTTTTGATGCCATTATGAATGATATTTTCAAATAGCAATTTCTTGATTTTTTCATTGGCAGTATATAGAAGTACAATTAATTTTTGTATATTTAGCTTGTATCTTGCAGCCTTGCTAAACACATTAGTTTTGGTATATTTTTTGTAGATACAGTAGGATATTCTGCATAAAAGTTCATGTCATTGCCATTAAAGACAATTTAACTTTTTTCCTTCCAGCCTTGGTGTTTTTTTTTTTTTTTTTTTTTTTTTTTTTGCCTTACTCCAGTGCAATGTTGAATGGAAGTGATGGAAGTATACATCCTTGCTTTGTTCCTGATCTTAGAGAGAAAGCATTTAGTTTCTTGTTATTAAATATGTTATTAGTATTTTTTTCTTCATCAGTGTTCTTCATCACATTAAGAAAGTTTTCGGCCAGGTGCAGTGGCTCATGCCCATGATCCCAGCACTTTGGGAGGCTGAGGCTGGTGGATCGCTTGAGCCCAGGAGTTCAAGACCAGCTTGGGCGACATGGTAAAAACCTGTCTCTAAAAATAAATAGATAGATAGATAGACAGATAGCCAGCCAGCCAGGTGTGGTGGCTCATGCCTGTAGTCCCAGCTACTTGGGAAGCTGAGGTGGGAGGATTGCTTGAGCCCAGGAGGCAGAGGTTGCACTGAGCTGAGATCATGCCACTGCACTCCAGCCTGGGTGACGAGTGAGACCCTGTCTCAAACAAAACAAAACTAAACTAAACTAAAAAGTTTTCATCATTCCCTTTTTATTTTTTATTTTTGTGAATACGTAGTAGTTGTATATATTTATGAGTTACATGAGATATTTTGAGATAGACATGCAATGCATAATAATCATATCTGTATCCATTACCCCAAGCATTTATCCTTTGTGTTTCAAACAATCCAGTTATACTCTGTAAGTTATTTTAAACTGAGCAATTGCATTGTTTTTTTTACCATAGTCACCCTGTTGTGCTAGCAAATACTAGGTCTTCTTTATTCTTTGTAACCATTTTTGCACCCATTAACTATCTACTCTTCCCCTCTACCTGCACCTCCAACTACCCTTCCCAGCCGCTGGTAACCATTCTTCTACTCTCTATCTCTATGAGTTCAGTTGTTTTAATTTTTAGCTTCCACAGATAAGTGAAATCATGTGACGTTCTTTCTGTGCCTAGGTTATTTCACTTAACGTAATTACCTTCAGTTCCATCCATGTTGTTACAAATGACAGACTCTCATCCTTTTTTTTCTTTCCTTCTTTTTTGGGATAGGGTCTCACTTTGTCACCCAGGCTGGAGTGCAGTGATGTGATCTCGGCTCACTGCATCCTCTGCCTCCTGGGCTCAAGCGATCCTCCCACCTCAGCCCCCCAAACAGGTGCGCGCCATGACACCTGGCTAATTTTTCATATTTTTTTGTGGAGACCTGGTTTCACCATGTTGCCCAGACTGGTCTTGAACTCCTGAGCTCAAGCGATCTGCCCACCTCAGCCTCCCAAAGTGTTAGGATTACAGGTGTGAGCCACCGCACCTGGCTAGGATTTTAGAACATTTTTGTCACCCCAAAAAGAAACCCCATACCTTTTAACTGTCACCCCTCCCCAATCCCACCCCCATCTCCACCTCCAATCTCACCCCCAGCCCTAGGCAATCAATTAATCTACTTTCTGTCTCTACGAATTTCCCTATTTTGGGCATGTCACATAAATGGACTCATATAATATGTGGTGTTTTGTGACTGGTTTCTTTGACTTAGGATAATGTTTTCAAGATTCAGCCATATTTATTTGTGTAGACTAAACGTAGTCTATGCCAGGGATTGACAAACTTTTTCTGTAAAGGGCCAGGTAGTAAATATTTCAGTCTGTGAATGCCATGTGGTCTCTCTTACAACTACTAACTCTGCCATTGTAGCATGAAAGCACCCACAGGCAATGCACAATCAAGCATGTGGCTGTTCCAATAAAACTGTATTTACAAAAGCAAGCAGCAGGTCAAATTTGGCTTGTGGGCAATAGTTTGCTGACCTCTGGTCTAAGTCAGTAGGGGTACTTAATCCTCCTAGTAACCCGATGAAGTAGATACTATTGTCCCCATTTTCAAATAAGACTGAGGCACACAGCTAGTAAGTGGGAGATAAGGGGGTCCCACACAAGTAGTCTGTCTCCACAGCCAGTGTTCTTAACCTTGTCATTGATTACAGATTGAGCTAAGTGCTAAATAGTGGGGAAATCCCCCCATGACTCTATGAAAGCAAATGAAAGACTTAGATTGACTTAGGTTTTCTTCTGGATGCAACACTTGAGCTCAGACCTAAGCATGACTAGAAGTTAACTGGTGAAGTGAATAGGGGTGGGGTGCTACAAATGCCTGTGGCAGGTGGGAACATAGCTTGTAAAGGTCCTGAAAGAAGGCGGGAGTGGCTGGAGCCAGGGGTGTAGGAGAGAGTAAGATGCCTGAGGCTAGAGAGGTGCTCTGGGGCCCACACAGCGCCTCCTAGGCTCTGTTAAGGATTTTGCTCATGTTGCTAAGAGCAGAGAGAAACCATCTAACAATCGAGTAATTCGGGTAAGTTTGGGACAGATTGGAATGGCGCAGGCAGACTTGGTTGGCCATGGAAGCATTCCAGGGTAGAGTTGATGGTAGATTGAAGAGGAGAGGCCAGATGCAGTGGCTCATGCCTGTAATCCCAGCACTGTGGATGGCTGAGGCAGGAGGATAACTTGAACCCAGGAGTTGGAGACTAGCCTGGGCAACAAAGTGAGACCCCATCTGATATGGTTTGGCCATGTCCCCACCCAAATCTCATCTTGAATTGCGCTCCCGTAATTCCCACGTGTTGTGGGAGGGACCCAGTGGGAGATAATTGAATTGTAGGTGCAGCTTCCCCCATACTATTCTCGTGATAATGAATAAGTCTCATGAGATCTGATGTTTTTATAAGGAGTTTCACTTTTGCTTGTCTCTCATTCTCTCTTGTCTGCCACCATATAAGACATGCCTTTCGGCCGGCGCTGTGGCTCATGCCTGTAATCATAGCGCTTTGGGAGGCCGAGGAGGACGGATCACGAGGTCAGGAGATTGAGACCAGCCTGGCCAACATGGTGAAACCCCGCCTCTACTAAAAATACAAAAATTAGCCAGGTGTGGGGTCGCGCGCCTGCAGTCCCAGCTACTCGGGAGCCTGAGGCAGGAGAATTGCTTGAACCTGGGAGGCAGAGGTTGCAGTGAGCCGAGATCACACCACTGCACTCCAGCCTGGGCGACAGAGCGAGACTCCATCTGAAAAAAAAAAACATGCCTTTCGCCTTCTGCCATGATTGTTAGGCCTCCTCAGCCATGTGGAACTGTGAGTCCATTAAACCTCTTTTTCTTTATAAATTACCTAGTCTTAGGCATGTCTTTATCAGCAGCATGAGAATGGACTAATATACCATCTCTATAAAAAGTAGGAAAAAAAAAAAGACTCAGCAGTAGGGCTGGGGGGCCAAGATGTATAGAGAAGGAAGTAGATACCAGAGCTATGAGGGGGCAAATTTGGCAGGATTTGGTGGTAGGTTATATTTGAGAATGATAAAGGTTGGGGGTGTCCAACCCATGTGATGGGAACATGGGCAAGGACTGGACTGGGGAGAGATAGGGCGGTAGAGTATGATTTTAGTCTTGGAATGCTGAAGTTGACAGGCACGTACTTTTTTCCCATAGTGATAACGTAAATTCTTCAGAGGGGGACATGTGTGACATAAAGTAATTGTGAGGTTGAGAAATGGTTGCTCACTGTGTTTATCAGTTATGTTAGCCAGGAGTTACCTCCTAAACTCATTCTATTGATTCAATAAGTGAGAGCTTAGTCTTGGTACTATTTGTTTTTGTTTCTTACTGTTTGTCTGTTTATGGTTGGTTGCAAGAAAATTGTGTTGTAAATTATCCCTTGCTTTCTCTATTAGTTAATAGCCTTCCCCTTCTGTAGTAAAGTAACAGGCTTTTTCCTGTTCAAATATTTTAGGCTTGTTTTTTGTTTTGATTGTACATGCCTGTGTGTTTTTATTCCTTAATTTGTTTCTTTATTTATTTCTGTTTGTTATCTCCAAGAGAAACAATAGAAGAGGTGGCTTTATATTTTTAGTTCTCTTTCTGTCAGATGACAGCTTGATTAAGATTTTTTGGGTGGGCTGTTGGAACACATGGCTAAAATATGTTGCATTATTGTCTGAATTTAATTATCATCCTTACCGTGTCCGTCCTAGCTAACAGTGAGTTGGCAGTATTGTTGTGGGGAATGGCAACAGGGTCTCATTAGCACATGCCTGTGACATAATAAGAAATATATATTTGGTCTCTGCCCCTGGTTCCTGGCACAGAGCTCCTAAAACCCTTGTAATTTCCTGAACCACAGGGATGTTAGGAACATCTTTTGTTCTAATATTTGATCTTGGCTCTGGTTCCTGACACAGAGCTCCGAAAGCCCTTGGAATTTCCTGGGTGATAGGACCATCTTTTGTTCTAATGAGGCCACTCTTGATGGGCTCCTAGATAGCTTCAGGATGGAGTCTGGTTACCAGAAAGACCAAGCCATGATTAGAAATTTGGAACTCTTCCCACCTCCATCTTCTAGAGGGGTGAGAAGAGCTGGAGATTGAATTAATAATTCATTATGTTTATGTGATGAAGCCTCCATAAAAATCTCTAAAGTGCAGAGCTAAAAAAATCTGTATCCTATGGAAATTCTAGTGGGAAAGCCATACAATATACCAATAACAAATAAGTAATATAGTATCATTTACACATTGTAAATCTAAAGAAGAAAGTAAATAGGATAATATGATAAAGAGTAATTGGATGGAGGGTATTTTGGATAATGTGTCTGAAAAATTTTCTCTGAGGCCAGCCGCTGTGGCTCATGCCTATAATCCCAGCACTTTGGGAGGCCAAGGCGGGTGGATCACCTGAGGTCAGGAGTTCAAGACCATCCTGGCCAACATGGTGAAACCCCGTCTCTACTAAAAATCCAAAAATTAGCTGGGCGTGGGGGTGGGCGCCTGTAATCCCAGCTACTCGGGAGGCTGAAGCAGGAGAATTGCATGAACACGGGAGGCGGAGGTTGCAGTGAGCCGAGATCGCGCCGTTGCACTCTGGCCTGGGCGACAAGAGTGAAACTGTCTCAAAAAAAAAAAAAAATTTTTTTTTTCTCTGTAGAGATATTCGACTGAAGGCATCAGGATGAGCCAGCCATATGAAATGCAAGTAGAAAATGTATTCCAGAATTCCAGGTTAAGGAAACAGCAATTACAGAGGCAAACATGTCATGAAATGAAGTTTTAGAGGTAGGCAGGAGCCAGATTACATAAAGCTATGGGCCATGATTATGGTTTGGATTTTAAAATACAATGAGATGGGGTCAGACATGGTGGCTCATGTCTGTAATCCTAGTGCTTTGAGAGGCTAAGTTGGGAAGATTGCTTGAGGCCAGGATTTCGAGACCAGCCTGGATGACATAGGTAGAACCCTGTCTCTACAAAAAATGAAACAAGTTAGCTGGGCATGGTGGCATTTGCCTATGGTCCAGCTACTCAGGAGGCTGAGGTGGGAGGATCACTTGAGCCTCGGAGGTTGAGGCTGCAGTGAGCCATGGTCGCACCACTGCATTCCAGCCTGGGCCATACGGTGAGACCCTGTCTCAAAAAAAAAAAAAAAAGCAATGAGATGGTTGTACAGCTTTGTGAATTATACACTTTAAAAAGTGAATTTTATGGTACATGAGTTATATTTCAATAAAACAGTTGTTAATTTTTAAAAAAAATTCTCCAAAGTGTAGTTTGGAGACCTTCTGGGTTTGTGAACACATTCATGTGCTGGGACCCTTCCAGACCTTGCCCTCTGTACACCTTCATCTGGCTGCTCATCACTATCCTTTATCATTATCCTTCTTTTTTTTTTTTTTTTTAAAGACAGAGTCCTGCTCTCCTGCCCAGGCTGGAGCGTAGTGGTGCAATCATAGCTCACTGCAAACCTTCGCCTCCCAAGTTCAAGTGATTCTCCTTCTTCAGCCTCCCAAGTAGCTGGGATTACAGGTGCCCACCACCACGCCTGGCTAACTTTTTGTATTTTTAGTAGAGACAGGGTTTCACCATGTTGACCAGGCTGGTCTCAAACTCCTGACCTCAGGTGATCTGCCCACCTTGGCCTCCCAAAGTGTTGGGATTACAGGCGTGAGCCACCACACCATATAATAAACAAGCAAACATAAGTGTTTCCTTGAGTTCTGTGAGAGCCATTATAGCAAATTATTGAACCTGAGGAGGGGATCCGGGGAACCCCTGATTTATAGCCAAGTCAAACAGAAATTTGGGTAACCTGGAGATCAACTACCTGTGATTGGCATCTGAAGTAGGGGAGAGTCTTGTGGGACTGAGCCCTTAACGTGTGGGGTCTGCACTAACTCCAGGCAGTCATTGTCATCATAGAATAGAGGACACCCACTTGGTATCTGGAGAGCTGGAGAATTGCTTAGCGTTAGGGAAAAACTCACACATTTGGTATCATAAGTGAAGTATTAAGAGTTGTAATACAGAAAAAGAGTGCTTTTCTTCCATAATGCCTTTTGTTCAAGACGTTTTATTAGTAGAAGAAACAAATTGCCTAGGGGTTATTAAAATAAGGATTGGCCAGGCGCAGTGGCTCACGCCTGTAATCCCAGCACTTTGGGAGACCGAGGCAGGTGGATCATGAGGTCAGGAGTTTGAGACCAGCCTGGCCAACATGGTGAAACCCCGTCTGTACTAAAAATACAAAAATTAGCCGGGCGTGGTGGAGGGCACCTGTAATCCCAGCTACTCAGGAGGCTGCGGCAGGAGAATCACTTGAACCTGGGAGGCGGAGGTTGCAGTGAGCCGAAATCATACCATTACACTCCAGCCTGGGCTACAAAGCGAGACTCTGTCTCAAAAAAAAAAAAAAAGAAAGAAAGAAAGAAACAAAAAGAGAAGACATAGGCCTAGTATAACTGTTGCCAATAAATTCTTTTCCTCCATCTAATAAGTAAGTTTTATCCTTAATACCTTTAGTATTTCGTAAGTCTTTCAATCAGCAAATATTTATTGAGGATGTTTTTTTCTACATTACACTGCTGAGGGGAAGCAAAAACACAAAAGCACAAAGGTTTAACTCCAAGTTCTCATGTTGAGTAGGAGGGAAACCTATAACTTATGTACCAGAAGTTCAAGTTATAGTCTTGAACTCCTCCTGGACTCCACTGATCCTCCCACTTCAGTTTCCAGAGTAGCTGGGTCTATAGGCATTTACCACCATGCCTGGCTCTAAGATTAGCTTTTAATTTCTATCTTATATCCCTTTTACTGTTTGAAAAATTTTTGTAAGCATTACAGATTACTTTGTAATAGTAATAAGCGGAAAAGATTCAACAAAGTATTGTCAGAGGCCAGAGCCAGAGTGGATTATTTCTATTAATTTTAAGAAAGGGGATTTTGGGGCCAGTTGCAGTGGCACACACCTGTAATCCCAGCACTTGGGAGGCCAAGGCAGGTGGAGCACCTCACCTGAGGTCAGGAGTTCAAGACCAGCCTGGCCAACGTAGTGAAACCCCCGTCTCTACTAAAAATACAAAAATTAGCTGGGCGTGGTGATGAGTGCCTGTAATCCCAGCTACTTGGGAAGCTGAGGCAGGAGAATCACTTAAACCCGGAAGGCGGAGGTTGCAGTGAGCCGAGATCGTGCCATTGCACTCCAGCCTGGGTGACAAGAGTGAAACTCCATCTCAAAGAAAAAAACAAAACAAAACAAAAAAGAAAGGGGACTTTTGGCTGTCTGCAGTGGCTCATGCCTGTAATCCCAACACTTTGGGAGCCTCAGGTGGGTGGATCGCCTGAGCCCAGGAGTTCAAGACCAGCCTGGGCAACATGGCAAAACCCCGCCTCCATAAAAAAATACGAAAATTAGGTGTGGTGGCACACACCTGTAGTCCCAGCTACTGGGGAGGCTGAGATGGGAGGATCACTTGAGCCGTGGAGTTCCAGGCTGCAGTGAGCTGTGATTGTGCCACTGCACACTCCAGCCTTGGTGACAGAGTTGAGACCCTATCTCCAAAGCAAAAAAGGGGTGTGGAACTTTTAAACTGGTTATGTCCAATTATAATAAATGATGATAGAATGCCCACATGTGCTGGGTGCCGGCGTTTCTATGAACGCAGAGAGATGGGGAAGAGTGGCCATTCCATAGAGTATGTAGAGTGGCGATGCAGAAAAGGGTGAAACGTCGTTGGCGAATTGTAGCTATCCTAGTTTAGCCAGAGAAATAGGATATGGGTAGAGAAGTCGTGGAGCCAAGTTACAAATGACCTGGAATGTTAGGCTAAGAATTGATCATTTTTTCAGTAAGGAATTAGGGAATGATCAAACAATTTTCATAAGGAGAGTGAAAGATCAAAGTAATGAATCTAGGGCCACATGCAGTAAACCTGTTATTAATAATCCAATCATAGGAGGAGAAGAAGAGAAATTCTTTGATGAGAAGAGGTCGCAAGGCTTCCTCATAGAGTAGAGAACACTCTTGGAGATGCCACATTTTAATCCTGCATCGCTCTGCATTTAAGTGAAACTGAAAGCTAGTGATTCTTAGCCTCAGGTAACTGCTTCTGAACTCTTACTACCAGGGAGGACTCCTGGAGTCAGCATTTTAAACCAACTTTTGGGAAATGACCTTGCTGAGACTTAGTAGCCATGGTAGTTTCATAATGAGCTTTAAAATGAAAATCCACACCCTTTAATTAGCTTAACTCACTTTGCTTTCAGTTTAGTTCCCTTCTGGCTAAGGATATGAGTTGCCCGCTCACAAAAGCAGACTGAATCAGAACAAACTCAGGGATTAAATGTATTTTTATGGTAATGACACCTAGAGAAAAATCTTTGCCTTCTGTGCCTCATTTCTCAAATTCAGGCAAATATTTTTCAAGGATGATAATTAAGGATACTCATATGGGCCTGAATAAAATTCACTGACCACATTTTCCTACATTATGTATATATATTTGCCTGAAAAATCAAGATAGAGAATTTCTTATTCTCTATTCCCTTAGCTTTTTTACAGAATTCATCATTGTAGTAGATTGTATTATTCTCTTTATTTCTTTGCTTTTTCTATCCCTAACATCTGCTGATTAAAAGGTCCTATTCTCTACATGCCATTCTAAGAAGAGTTTTATTAAGTTGCTATAAGCACGTGGCTCTCAATTACTTTTTCCCCAATGGGTCAGCCTTTGAAAAGAACAAAAGGTTCCTTATCCTGCCATAGGGTGAGCTATTTGGCGCTGGTTCCCATTGAATACTGCCATTCAGGGATAAAGCAGTATGAAAACGTGAGAAAAGTGTGTCAGGGGATAAATGGAATGGCACATATGAAACCATTTAATTGAGCTGCTATAAAGGTGTTTAATTGCACCTGGGATGTCTTTGTTTGCCATTAAGCAAAGGTTCTTTATTGCATTTAGAGGGTTCTGATTTCCAGGATGAAGAGGCATTCTCTAAGTTCGGACAATGAGTTTAAAAGCCATGCAGATTTCTTTCCAAATCTTTTTTTCTGAAGATTTCATTTGTGCACTGTCTCCTTTGCTAACTGGAGAATACCTGTGGGGATTTGTTCTGGCTGCTCCTCTTAGTGTTTTTTCCCTTGTTTTATTAGAGTTTAATCAGATTAGGACAGAGGTAACTTCTACTTTTCCTTAGAAAAGTTTTGATTATTTTAAATTCAAGTTTATGTCTCTGTCAGGGGATGTTCCTCAGTTTACTCTCCGATTATGTGCTCCATTTGAACAATCCAGTTAGAGCCCTGATTTTGCTGCCACTTTTCTCAGCTAGGAAAGCTCATAGTCACAGGTTGCTTAGTATAAGACCCCTTTTATCTAGTATCATGTGCAAATGAAATGACCCCTCATCTTATTTGGAAATAGCTCAAAATGGCCGAGGTTTCCAGGTGGGCATGGATTGGGAAGACTCCGTGGGCACACAGTGGTCTTATTCACTCAGTTTCACGCTGCATTTCACCTCCTCTGAGGTTGTTGAGTTGTGCTCCTCCTTCCTGCCATAACTCCCCTCAAGTCAGTGCATACTCTGTCTCTTGGACCTGATACTATTGCTGATTAGTTTCTTTTTTACACCTTATCATCTAGATGGAAAAATCTCTCTTGGTCCCTTAAAAATAAGGAAGAGAGTAATCTTTGTTTTTGTTGTTGTTTGTTTTCATTTTGAATGTCTGCTCTATTGCTAGGAATGGATAGGGCCCTCTCTGCTTTTACATGTGACCCCGATTAGTGTACAGTGTGTGCATATAACTTGATCTTGGAATCACAAAAACTTGTTCTCTGGTTTTTTTCTATTAAGATATAAAATTAGCCTTTGATGCTTTTTTTTTTTGGGAAGTGGCAATACATGTTTAAAAGTTATTCTCTTCTCATGCTAGGGGACAAAACAATGAAAACATTGCTCAGAGATTCTAGGAGATTTAGTATAGTTTTGAATTATAGGACAAAATTGTGGTGCTCTGGAATTACTTCGTTGAGAGAAATTTATATAAGACAGGAATAACTCTCAAAAGCCTGAATTATCCAGTTGGCTAATCAGAACTCAATTTAGTTCAGTTAGCAATTATTGAGCACCCTATAAAGTGTATATCAGTAGTCTATAACTAATTTAAACTGGTAATGCATAAAAAATGGAATGGATTAAAAAGGAAAAAAATTCCAGTGAGGCTTGGTGCATCTTTAATCTCTAATCAGTTGCAATATTTACTAGGCAGTTGGAAACACCACAAAATTCCATTTATGCTGCTAGGCCTTTTAATTCTTCAACCAGAGCTCTTGTCTACTTCAAAATTTTTCTAGAACTTAAATTAGATGTCATACTTTTGCACATATTGCAGGCCAAATACCAACAATTTCAATTCACTATGACTATTAGATAGAGATTAATAAGGTAGAGAAAAGTCCAAGGAAAACAATGTAGTAGAAGGTAGAACAGACAACCTTAAGAGAAAGGACTGTGAACTCATAAAGGTAGATTTGCTTCAATATAGTAAAATATAACAACCACAGTGATAATTAAAAACATTATTATTAGGTTGAGTGTGGTGGCTCACACTTGTAATTCCAGCGCTTCGGGAGGCCAACGTGGGAAGATCACTTCAGTCCAGGAGTTCAAGACCAGCCTGGGCAACGTAGTCAGACCTCATCTCTACTAAATTAAAAAAAGAAAACAAAACATTATTATTATTATTATTGAGACGGAGTCTCGCTCTGTCACCCGGGCTGGAGTGCAGTGGCACAATCTTGGCTCACTGCAACCTCTCCCTGCCACATTCAAGCGATTCTCCTGCTTCAGCCTCCTGAGTAGCTGGGATTACAGGTGCCCACCACCATGCCTGGCTAATTTTTGTATTTTTAATAGAGATGGGGTTTCACCATGTTGGCCACGCTGGTCTCGAACTTCTGACCTTGTGATCCGCCCACCTTGGCCTCCCAAAGTGCTGGGATTACAGGCGTGAGCCACCGTGCCCAGCCCAAAATATTCTTATTATTTCAGAAAATATTTATTTAGGGCCTACACTGGGCCAAGCTTTTCTAGGCACTTGGGACATAGCACAGACAAAGCATCTTTGCCTGTGTTGTGGTGCGTAAATTCTGTTGAGAGGAGAGTGAGACATTAACAATAAACTTACTGCATAAGTAATTTATCTGGAGTGTTAAAAGAGATAAGTACCCTAGGGAAAGAGAATAGAGCAGGACAAGAGGGATCGGGAGTTGGGGGTGTTACAATTTTAGATCGGACAGTCAGGGTAGACCTCTTAGATGAGGTGTTGTCTGAGCCAGGATTTGAAGGAGGTGAGGGAATTCACCTGTGGATAACAGTAGAAAGAACATTCCTAGAAGAAAGAACAGCTGGTGCCAAAGCCTAAGGTGGGAATGGGCCTGGGGAGTTTGAGGAATACAGGAGGCCAGAGTGGTTGGAGCAGAAGCAGCAGGTGGGAAGCAGGGAAGGGCAGATGGTGCTGGGGCTTGTAGCCATCATGAGGAGTGAAGGGAGGAGCCCTTGCAGGGTTTTGAGCAAAGGAGTTTCCTGATCTGAGTGAACATTTTAGCAACATCACTGCCTGCTGTGCTGAGCATAGTATTTTGGGGCAAAGCTGGAGGGAAGATCTGTTAGGAATCTGTCGCAGTAACCCAGGTGGAGGTGATGGTGACTTGGGCCAGGGTGGTGGTGATGGAGGTGGTGAGAAGTGGTCATATCCTGAATATATTGTGAGGGTGGACCTAACAGGATATCTGGAGGCATTAGATATGAAACGTGAGAGAAAGGGAGGAGGCAACCTTGATGAAGGAGGAAAATCAGGAGTCTGGTTCCTGGAAGCAGGAGAGGAGAATGATCATCTATATCAGATGCTGCTGATGGGTCCAGCAGGATGAAGGTTGAGAATAGACCATTGGTTTTCATGAGAGTGTGTCATCGAGGACCTTGATTCAAGTGACCATGATGAGAAGCTGTTTCAGTCGAATGGCAGGGACCTAATCGGTATGGGTTCAGTTAAGAGTGAGGGAGGAGAAGACCTGGAGACAGTAAACACAAACTATTTGAGGCATTTTGCCGCAAAGGAGCAGACAAATGAAGCGATGGCTGGTTGGGAACTGGCGTCAAGAGGTTTGTTTTTGGATGGGAGAATTAACAGTATGGCTGTATACTCATGGGAATTGTTTAAGAGAGTGGGGGAAGACGATGATACGGAAGAGGTAGGAACAGAATGTTCTTGCGTTGGAGCACAGGGATGGGATATAGTGTACAAGTGAAAGGATTGGCTTTAGTTCTGAGCAAGGCTAGTTCATCTGTGCTGATAGGTTGGAAGCAGAGCACTTTTGCAGGTTGTTAGATGAGTGGGTGGGAAGCAAGGTTTCAGCTGAGTTTAATGATGAGGGAGGAGGTATTGGATGTTTGTGGAAGAAGAAAAGGGGTTAAGTTGCCATCTGGGGACAGGGAGAGGGCCATATAGTGTGAGATTACTGGGCAGCTTTTAGGGCCCACTGGGGCTGCTGGTGAGACCAGTGAGCACTGTTGAGTGGGTTTCTCCAGCCACATTCAGCAACCTGTTTGTAGGATGAAGTGCACAGAGTAGTCATGAAGTGTCAAAGCAAATAGAACAAAATAGGTGAAATGCAAGGAGTGTTGGTAATAATTGATCATGGAACTTAAAATGGATAAGAATGAAAGGTAGGATATCCTGGGGGTGAGGGACACTGAAAAACTGGCAGAGTCAATGGCTTGGAGTTGTTGATGAACTGAAATGATTGCTGGAGTTGGGGCACTAGAGTGAGTGAACTGAATGGAGATGCATGAACTTGAGATCATGGAGGAGTTGTTATTAGTAATGACAAAGTCTGGAGTATGACCACGACAGCAAGGTGATTGACGCAGGGCAGAAGACAAGTGTATTGGAGAGGAGGAATTCGAGAAACTGAGGGGCCAGGACATTGGAAAGTTCATTGCTGTGTATATTGAAATTGCCAAGAATAAGGCCAGGTGTGATGGCTCACGCCTGTAATCCCAGCACTTTGGGAGGTGAGTTGGGAGGATTGCTTGAGCCTAGGAGTTTGAGACCAGCCTGGGTAACGTGGTGACACCCATCTCTACAAAAAATTTAAAAAATTAGCTGGACATGGCAGTACACGCCTGTAGTCCCAGCTACTTGGGAGCCTGGGAGGTCAAGGCTGCAGTGAGTCATGATCACACCCCTGCACTCCAGCTTGAGCAACAGAGTGAGACCTTGTCTATAAATAAGTAAATTAGAAAGTACTAAGAATTAGACTATTGGACAGAGTGACAGTGGAGAAGGAGCAGAAAGGGTGGGAAATGATAGAGGTAGGTAACAATTGTGATAGCAAGGATAGTCTAATGACGTGAGATTCAAAGCTAGGGGATTTCAGGGACAAAGAGGGTAGAGGATGAACTGGAGGTGGCCATGAGGAGGGAGGAAATAGTGGTACGAGGGCTGCAAGAGAAAGCAAAGCTGCCACTTGAGAGGGCTGCAGGGGAAGTGGTATTCTCAGAGGAGAGCCAGGTTTCCATGAAAGCAGGAAGGGAAAGCCTCAACACCAGAGAGGGTATTGGGCATGGAGGGGATTTTGCTGATGGCACACCACGGGTTTCATCATCCGTGGAAGCACTTTAGGACTTAAGGAGAGGTGGGAGATGAGAAAAGTTGGGGGGATATGCAGAGTCTTAACAGGAATTAGAAAGAAATGAGAGAGACCTGAGAGTCTAGAGTGCATGTGCGTGTGTGTGCGTGTGTGCATGTGTGCGCTTGCATGTGTGCATGTGAGTGTCTGCATGTGTGCATGCACTGGCTGATATAAGCAAGGATAAAGGGTATAGTGAGATGAGGCCTGGTGAACTGGAGGTTGATGGTGGCAAGGCCGTAAGCATTGGGCACAGGGTGCCATGGGTGTCTGGGCCTGTGCTTATCTCTGCCCATCCAGGTGAGGAGATGTGGGGAGATGGAAGCTCAGTTGTTGAGTGCAGGGCTAACCCTTAACCCTGGTGTTGAGAATGTCTGCTGAAAATCAGGGGGTAGAGGGCTAAGGGAGGCATGGTGTCAGTGTGGGGCCCACTCCTGCTCAGAGGGGCAAGAAGGGCTGTACTCTGAGGGTTCAGGTCTTCCCCTTGACTCCTACCTGGATTTTTTTTTTCTTTTTTTTTTTTTTTTTTGAGACGAAGTCTCGCATTGTCACCCAGGCTGGAGTGCAGTGTCACAATCTCAGCTCACTGCAACCTCCGCCTCCTCGGTTCAAATGATTCTCCGGCCTCAGCCTCCCAAGTAGCTGGGACTACAGGCGTGTGCCACCACGCCTGGCTAATTTTCACATTTTTAGTAGAAATGGGGTTTCCCCATGTTGTCCAGGCTGGTCTTGAACTCTTGACCTCAGGTGATCCACCGGCCTCAGCCTCCCAAAGTGCTGAGATTACAGGCGTGAACCACCACATCCGACCCCTACCTGTTTAATAAGAGTAATAGCCAACACTTCTTATGTGCCAGAGTCTATGCTAATCACTTTAAGTGAATCATTAGATTCTTATAATAATCTCTAGAGACAAATGCGTATTACTTTTTTATTAAACAAGGACACTGCTCAAGGTCACACAGCTACCCCATAACAGAAACAGGATTTGAACACAGTTCTCTCTGACTAATTACAGCCCATTTACAGTTAATTCAGTGGCGATATATTCTCCATGATAAATGTTAAGACTAAACCTTAATGATTTCATGTGCCATTTAAAACATCTTCTTATGTTCTGGGGTCATCTTTACTAAACGGTTTGGGCTTAAACTTAAAGTCTAGGTTAGGAACTCCTGTTGCTGCTCACAGTTCTTTGTACAGTACTGTCAAGGTGGTATAGGGTCTCAGTTCATTTTTTTTTTTTTTTTTTCTTTCATGAAACAGAGTCTTGCCGTGTTGACCAGGCTGCAGTGCAGGGGCATGATCACGACTCACTGCAGCCTTGACTTCCTGGGCTCAAGCCATCTTCCCCCCTCACAGGTTCATGCCACCATGCCTAGCTAATTTTTGTATTTTTTGTAAAGATGGGATTTCTGTATGTTGTCCAGGCTGGTCTCAAACTCCTGAGCTCACACGATCTGCTTACCTCGGCCTCCCAAGTGCTGGGATTACAGGTGTGAACCACAGCACCGTGGTCCTAATTCTTTTATCAGTAAAAAATATTAAAAACCATTGTCTCGTCAACAAACCCATGGTTTTAAAAAAATATCGTATCAACATGGTTTTTCTAAAACACTACTTGGACAAACATCTACAGTTTAGACTAAATCCTGGAAAGTTTGTAAGCTTGTGAAACAGGCACACACCTAGCGTGACAGACCTTTGAAGCTCTGATATGTGCAGGAGGTTTCTGAGGCTTCTGGTTTTATAACTGCTGTTGTTCTTTCTTTGATAGCTGAACAGGAAGACACCCAGAAGAAAGCCTTCACGTGCTGGATAAACTCACAGTTGGCCAGGGTAAGCAAATGAAGACCAAATTAGTTTATAAATCTATTTATTACTCCCCCTACTCCTTCTGTTTTGACCCCAAGGAGGCCATTAAAAAATGGTACTGGTGATGACAGGGAAAAGGTTGTGGAATGTCTTTTCTTGAAAGAATGTGCTAAAAGTTGTCTTGATCTTGTTTTGATGTATTTGTTACTCTTTCTCACACAGAAAAAAAGGGACTTTTGTTGAGGATATGGGACAGTGCTATAAAAATATTTAATCACATCTCTTTCATCAAGTGAAGTAATAGTAATACTGATTTGCATATAATAAATGTTATATATTAGAAACTGTCCTAAACTCTTTAAGTGTAATGATTATGACAACTCCTGACAAATAATTTCACGACATCCCTATGAAATAGATAGTAATATACCTTTTTAAAGGTCAAGGAAACTTCAGTACAGAGAAGTTTTGTGACTTGCATGTGGTCACACAGCTTAAAAGTGATAGTGCTGGGATATGAACCCAGACAGTCTGGACTCAGTGGCCTTGATCATAATCACTGTGCCATCCTACCACACTGATGCTGAGTGTCTAGAGTAACCTAGATACACAATGAATGAGCCTCTTCTCACAGACCACACACTGTTTTTTTCTCTGTCCATTTCAACACGATGCTTGTAATTCTAAGAAAGGGTAAATACATAAGCAGGTTACTCCAGAAATGTAATCTGCTTTCCAGATGGGTCACTAGCGACTGATTCTAAAAGTCTTTAATGCCACTTGTGTGCACAGGTTTTAAGCTCTCAGTGAAAGCTCCACGCAGAAAGGGTGTTGTGTTACAGGAAATTAGCCATAAGATAAATTAAATTCGCTACTTTTCTTACGTTTTGATATGAATCTTTGCATGTTCTCTCTCATTCTCTTAATTAAGAAGAAAGTCATTACTGAATTTTAGTTTTTCACAAAGCACATTTATGAGATTCTTAAAGGTATTCTTTTTGGACCAAAGTTTGAATGATTATTTTTCTTGTGACCTTCTGCAGCACACTTCTCCCTCAGTTATATCCGACCTATTCACAGACATTAAAAAGGGGCATGTCCTCCTGGATCTGCTAGAAGTACTTTCTGGGCAACAGTTGGTAAGATTTTTAAATGACACTGAGAAACTTTCTGTTGACTTAAAAAATATGTATTTCATTTTTTCTGAGTAATATATTTGCTTGAATTTCACAGCCTCGGGATAAAGGATCTAATACCTTCCAGTGTAGAATCAATATAGAACATGCCTTGACATTCCTAAGAAACCGATCAGTAAGTATAAATTTTTCTTAAAAATTCACAGGAGAGATTAATGCTCTGGGATATTTCCTCCTTTTAACCTGCACTTTTTGTTTTCCAGATTAAGCTAATAAATATTCATGTTACTGATATCATTGATGGAAACCCATCCATTATCCTTGGCCTAATTTGGACAATTATCCTGCACTTTCATGTAAGTAGTTTGATGATATAAAAATTATTTCTACCCTACCACAGTATAAAATAAATGTAATGCAATAAGTGTGAGTGGACTAGATTCAGTCCTGAGCTTCTCCTATAAATAGGACCTCTGAAAATCTTGAAGAGGTAGAAAATAATAGCAGACTTTTTGCCATTTCTGTTATTGGTTTTTTTCTCTTCTTTTTGAGATGGAGTCTCGCTCTGTCGGCCAGGCTGGAGTGCCGTGGCGCAGTCTTAACTCACAGTAACCTCCACTTCCTGAGTTCAAGTGATTCTTCTGTCTCAGCCTCCTGAGTGGTTGGGACTACAGATGCGCGCCACCATGCCTGGCTAATTTTCGTATTTTTTTTTTCTTTTTTTTGAGGTGGAGTTTTGCTCTCGTTGCCCAGGCTGGAGTGCAGTGGTGCAGTCTTGGCTCACTGCAACTTCCACCTCCCAGGTTCGAGTGATTCTTCTGCCTCAGCCTCCCGAGTAGCTGGGATTACAGACATGCACCATCACGCCCAGCCAATTTTGTATTTTTAGTAGAGATGAGGTTTCTCCATGTTGGTCAGGCTGGACTTGAACTCCTGACCTCAGGTGATCCGTCCACCTCTGCCTCCCAAAGTGCTGAGATTACAGGTGTGAGCCACCATGCCCGGCCTAATTTTTGTATATTTTGTAGAGATGGGGTTTCATCATGTTGGCCAGGGTGGTCTCACATTCCTGACCTCAGGTGATCTGCCTGCCTCGACCTCCCAAAGTGCAGGGATTACAGGCATGAGCCACCGTGCCTGTCCTGTTGCTATTTTTCAATTGAAAGTTGAATGCTGAATTATCATGATATCCTGCATTATCCATAATATCAGCACCAGTCTGAACAGAACCTGCCATGGTAAATGTTTGCTTCTTATTGTTTACTATGGCAGGGGAGAGGGTAGGAAGCTTCTGGAGTAAATGCTTGAAATCTAACCACTAAAGTTTGTAAAGCCTCCCCATTTTGGGGGACTCCTGTCCTATCTGACTGTGAATAATCCCACAACATCCAGTTCTATCCCAAGACTGAGTTGTGGATGCATTTCGTTTCACAGATATTTTTGAACACTTACTGTATGCTAGCTCTTATGCGAGGACATCAAGATTTAGTGATGGTTATAGTTCTGACTTTATAAAACATATGATTGATATGTTTTTTCAGGCCTGGAATTCTGACATAGTGCAGGGTTTCTGCACTACCTAAAATGTTGCATTTTCTGTATCTCCATAATTATTTTAAAAATAACTTAGGAAAAATATTTATTTTAGAAAAACTAGAAAAATAGCATAACTAACATATAAAATTTAAAACATGCAGAGACAGACTATATATTATTTCTGGATACGTGCATTTGTAATTACAATGGAATAATATGCATGAGATTATGAAAACTAAATTTAAGTTGTGTGTTTTTTTTCTGGGAAAGGATAAAATGGGATTGGAGAGAGAAAGAGGCTTAAATTGTATCTGTGTTTTATTTATTTTTATTTTTTTATTACTTATTATTATTATTTTTTTTTTGAGACAGAGTCTTGCTCTGTCGCCCAGGCTGGAGTGCAGTGGCACGATCTCGGCTCACTGCAACCTCCGCCTCCTGGGTTCAAGAGGTTCTCCTGCCTCAGCCTCCTGAGTAGCTGGGATTACAGGTGCGCGCCACCACGCCCAGCTAATTTTTGTATTTTTAGTAGAGACAGGGTTTTTCCATGTTGCTCAGGCTGGTATTGAACTCCTGACCTTGTGATCCACCTGCCTCAGCCTCCAAAAGTGCTGGGATTACAGGTGTGAGCCAGCACGCCTGGCCTGTGTTTTATTTCTTTAAGAAAATCTAAACCAAATATGGTAAAATGTTAAAATTTGATAGTTCATGGTCATTTATTATTTTTTCCTATAGTTTTCTGGTATTTGAAATATAATTAAAAATTTTAATATAGATAATAAAATTATCTGTAATCTACCACTCACTATAACTGCTATAAATAATTTAGTGTATAGTCTTTATGATATTTACATCAATAATTAATGTATGTTCATATGTATATATTTTAACAAAATGGGGGTCATGTTATCCATACTGTTTTCAGCATGCTCTGATGAACAGCTTTCTGAATTTTTATATATATATATATATATATATATATATAAATAAATAAATGGAGGCATGATGTTTGTTGTAAAGTACTATATTTCACTAATGGATAGTCAGAAAGCTCATGATCATTTGTAATTATAGGTAATTTCAGATAAGAATGCCCTTAAGGTAAAACCTTTGCGATACAATCTTAATTATTTCCACAGGTCAAATTCTTAGAAGTGGCATTGTGCCATAGGGTTTGCAAACTTAAAGCCTTTCTTTTTTTTTTTTTTTTTTTTTTTTGAGACAGAGTCTCGCTCTGTTGCCCAGGCTGGAGTGCAGTGGCAGGATCTTGGCTCACTGCAACCTCCACCTCCTGGGTGCAACTGATTCTGCCTTAGCCTCCCAAGTAGCTGGGACTACAGGTGTGCACCACCACATCTGCCTAATTTTTGTATTTTTAGAAGAGATGGGGTTTCACCATATTGGCCAGGCTGGTCTCGAACTCCTGACCTCATGATCTTCCTGCCTTGGCCTCCCAAAGTGCTGGGATTACAGGCGTGAGCCACCGTGCTGGGCTTAAAGCTTTTTTTTTTTTTTTTTTTTTTTTTGAAACTTCTGTATTGCTGAGGCTGGAGTGCAGTGGCGTGATTTTGGCTCCTGAATTCAAGTGATTCTCATGCCTCAGCCCCCTGAGTAGCTGGGATTACAGGTGCCCACCACCATGCCTGGCTAATTTTTGTAGTTTTAGTAGAGACTGAGTTTCACCATGTTGGCCAGGCTAGCCTTGAACTCCTGACCTCAAATCCACGCACCTCGGCCTCCCAAAATATTGGGTTTATAGGCATGAGCCACCACACCTGGCCTTTTTTTTTTTTTTTTTTTTTTAATTAAAAAATTTTAAGTAAACTTTTGTTGATGTATATGTAATACACACAGATAAAAATGAACAGGTCTTAAGTATAGAGTTTGATGAATATTTATAAATGAAACACACCCATATAATCACCCTGCCAGATAAAAATATAGAACTTTGCCAGCATCCCTAAGTGCCCCAGGTCCTTCTCCCAATCACTGCCCTCCTTTCCTAAAGGTGAGCACCGCTTTGAGCTCTGTGGATAAGTGTAGAGTCTTTAACACCATACAAATGGAATTATAAATGTCTTCTCTTATGTACACTATGTACTCTTTCGTGTTTGACTTATTTCATTTTATATCATGTCTGTGAGATTTACCTTATTGTAGCAAGTATCAGTAAGTCTTTCTTGTTCATTGCTCTGCATGAATATCCAATTGTATGAATATACCGTAACATATTTACCATTGTATTGTTGGTGCACATTTCTTTTGCTGCCAGTTTTTTTATTTGTTTGTTTTTTATTTTGTTCTGTTTTGTTTTTTTGAGACAGAGTCTCGCTCTGTCGCCCAGGCTGGAGTGCAGTGGGGCACGATCTTGGCTCACTGTAACCTCTGCCTCCTGGGTTCAAGTGATTCTCCGACCTCAGCCTCCTGAGTAGCTGGAATTACAGGTGTGTGTCACTATGCCCAGCTAATTCTGTATTTTTACTAGAGATGGGGTTTCACAGTGTTGGCCAGGCTGGTCAAGCTGTTGCCAGTTTTTAGCTGCTATGAGTAAAGCTGCTCAGAACGTTCTTGTATATACCTTGTATAAATCCTGATTTCCATCCTGCATGTACCTAGGAATGGAACTGATGGTGTCAGAACATATGATCTTTAGCTTTAGTATATACTGCCAAACAGTTAATCAAAGTGGTTGTTCCAATTTATACTCACCAGAGTTTCTTGCTCCAATCCCTGTTGCTAATACTTGGCATTTAAAATTTATTATTTAAGCCTTGATGTTATGTGTAATGATTTATAGACTTTTAAAATATATTCTAGGCTGGGTGCAGCGGCTCATGGCTGTAATCCCAGCACTTTGATAGGCTGAGGCAGGAGGATTGCTTGAGCCCAGCAATATAATACTAGCCTGGGCAACATAAGGAGACCCCATCTCTGCAAAAATAAAAATAAAAATAATTAGCTGGGAATGGTGGTACCTGCCTGTGGTCCCAGCTTCTCTGGAGACTGAGGTGGGAGAAGCACTTGAGTCTGGGAGGTTGAGACTGCAGTGAGCCGTGACTGGGCTACTGCACTCTAGCCTGGGCAACAGAGCAAGACCCTGTCTCCAAAAAACATACACATACACATATATACTGGAGATATAGATATAGATACACAGACATACACATATATACTGGAGATCATATATATGTATATATATGATCTCCAGTATATACATTATATATATTTATATATATTCTACAAAGAACTTTTGTCCAGTATATATTATATATATACTGTAATATATAACTTTTGTCCAGTATATATTATATACTGTAATATATATGATATAATATATATACTATAATATAACATATATTACAGTATAACATAATATATACTGGACAAAAGTCCTTTGTAGAATATATATATAAATTGCAAATAATTCTGACTCTGTGGCTTGCTTTTTCAATCTTTTAATGAAGAAGCATTCATAATTTTAATATAGTTTGAATTTATCAACTTCTTTTGTGGCTTATACTTTTATATTCCTTTTTTTTTTATTGAGACAGAATCCTGCTCTGTTGCCCAGGCTGGAGTGCAGTGGCACAATCTTGACTCACTGCAATGTCTGTCTCCTGGGTTCAAGTGATTCTTCTGCCTCAGCCTCCTGAGTATCTGGGGCTACAGGTGTACACCACCATGTCTAGCTAATTTTTGTGTTTTTAGTAGAGATGGGGTTTCGCCATGTTGGTCAGGCTGGTCTTGAATTCTTGACCTCAGGTGATTCACCTGCCTTGGCCTCCCAAAGTGCTGGGATTGCAGGTGTGAGCCACCATGCCTGGCCTGTTATATTCTTTAACGACCTCTTTTTACTATGAAGGTATTCTCTTACATTATTTTCCAGAAAAATTTTGTCCAATAGGATTTTCTGCAGTGATGGAACTGTTCCATAGCTACATTGTACAAAACAGTGACCACTAGCCACTTGTGCTATTGAACACTTGAGATGTGGCTAGTATGGCAGAGGAAATAAATTATTCAATTAATTTGAATTTAAATCTCACATGTGCCTAGTGGCTGTCATACTGAACAGCCCAGTTCTGAAAATGTAGTTGTTTTAAATTTTATATTTAGATCTACCGTCTTTCAAGAATGAATCAATTTTGTATGTTATGTTGAAACAATCAAAATTTACTTTTTTCATATGGCTATCCAGTTGACTCAATAGTTTATTGAAAAGCTCACCATGGCCCAGCACAGTGGCTCATGCCTGTAATCCCAGCACTTTGGGAGGCCGAGGCAGGTGGACCACCTGAGGTTGGGAGTTCGAGACCAACCTGACCAACATGGAGAAACCCCGTCTCCACTAAAAATACAAAAAATTAGCCGGGCATGGTGGTGCATGCCTGTAATTCCAGCTACTCGAGAGGCTGAGGCAGGAGAATCGCTTGAACCTGGGAGGCGGAGGTTGCGGTGAGCCGAGATCGTGCCATTGCCCTCCAGACGGGGCAACAAGAGTGAAACTCTGTCTAAAAAAAAAAGAAAGAAAAGCTCACCATGTTCCTACTGTGCTGTAGTGTCACCTTCACACGTGAAGTCGACATGAAGTCGCCCTATATGTGAAGCTCCATTTTCAAATGACCTATTTTGTTTCATCACTTCTCTTTGCACCAGTACTATACTTTGTAATTTTGGTAACTATATAGTAAGTCTTGATATCCGACAGTGTAAGTTGTCCAACTTATTCTTTAAGAAAGTCTTCATTATTATTTGCTTTTTGCATTTTTATATAAATTTTATGAATAACTTGTCAGTTTTCACACGTGTGCGTGCGCGCACATACACACACAGACACACACATACACACACACACACACACACACACACACACACTCCTGCTGGAATTTTTATTAGGATTGCATGGCATATATGAAACATTTTAGAAAAAAATTGACATTTAAAAAATATTGCATCTTTCAATCTATGAGTATAACATTTTAATCTGTTCAAAATATTTTCTAATTTTTATTACTATTTCTCATTTGACCCATGGGCCATATAAAAATATATTGCTTAGGCCGGGTGCGGTGGCTCACGCCTGTAATCCCAGCATTTTGGGAGGCTGAGGCAGGCAGATCACAAGGTGAGGAGTTCGAGACCAACCTGACCGACATGGTGGAACCCTGTCTCTACTAAAAATACAAAAATTAGCCGGGAGTGGTGGCGTGCGCCTGTAATCCGAGCTACTCAGGAGGCTGAGGCAGGAGAATCACTTGAACCGGGAGGCGGAGGTTGCAGTGAGCCGAGATTGCACCACTGCCCTCCAGCGTGGGCGACGGAGCGAGACTCCATCTCAAAAAAAAAAAAATTATATATATATGTGTGTATATATATATATATGTATATATATATGTGTGTATATATATGTGTATAGATATGTGTGTGTATATATATGTATATATATGTATGTGTGTGTGTATATATATATATATATATATATATATATATATATATATATGTAGCTTAATTTCCGAATATTTGGAGATTTTGTCTGTTATATCTTTGCTGCTGACTAGAATTTCAGTGTGGTCAGAGAGCATACTCTGAATGATTTCAGTCTTTCACAATTGCTGCAGCTTGATTTATGGTGCAGCATGGTCAGTGTCAGTAAATGTTCTGTACGCTCGTGAAAGGAATGTTGGTAGTGCTTGCCAGATCAGTGCTAATCAGATCAAGTTTGTTAATTGTGTTGTTGACATCTGTTATTATGGATTGTCTGATTAGTCTGTCATTTGTTGAGAGAAATGTATTAAATACTTTTACGTTTATGGATTTATCTTTTAATGTTTTGGGTAGATACCATATCGCCCTCCAAAAAAATTGAGCCAATTTGTACATTTACTAGCAATATAAGAATATCTAGTTTCTCATACTTTCACCATCACTGGGTATTGCCTTTACATTTACTTTGCCTGTATAATATAATAAAAGCTATTCTTTTGCTGTATACATTTAAATTTCTTAAATTATTAATGCAATTGTTTTTCATAGATTTAATGGCAATTTTATTTGTTTCCTCTGGACTTGTCTATCCATGTGTTTGACTATCTTTTTTTCTATGTGTACATTTGTTCATAATGGATGCATTTCACTTGATCCAGTCTCTAAAGATACTCTAGGAGCTCAATTTGGTTCAGTTCGATTTATTTGACAGGTGTTAAACTACAGTGAAGTGCTCCATAAGCACTTCAGGTGGATGAATTGGTGAGGGACATCCCTCAATGTGGGACAGCATGCCTGGGTGAGGGTAAGGAATGACCCAAGTCATTCCTTAGGAAGCAAAAGTGCAGCCCCCATGGCAGATGCTGTTATTCAAGGATTTGCCCAGTATTCATTTCACCAGGAGTAAACTATGACTGTCACAGGATGCTTTTTAGGTCTCTATTTTGACTGGAAATTTTGGCCCAATGCTGGTAACTTATGCTTTTATAAACGTTAAGTCTACTTTGCCTTCCTTAGATTGAGAAGCTTGCCCAGACTCTTTCTTGCAATTACAATCAGCCTTCCCTGGATGATGTGAGTGTGGTTGACTCATCTCCTGCCTCAAGTCCTCCAGCTAAGAAATGCTCTAAAGTGCAAGCAAGATGGCAAATGTCTGCAAGAAAGGCCCTTCTTTTGTGGGCTCAGGAACAATGCGCCACGTAAGTAGTTTGCTATGACCCTAAGAGACACACAGGGCAGCTGTATCAACCAACACCACCTCACCACCCAAACACCTCCCTCACTTAACATGAAAATTCTCACTATCCCCCTTCCTCTCTGTGCTTCTTCCATACGTGGAAGCCCAAGAGCTCAGCCACGTTTGGTTTCAAAGTCTGGAAGGTGGTATCACCTGGGTAAACGAACTCATCCCACCTGCTGTGTTTAGGTGGCATATTATTACATGGAAATAAAGTGGTATTTAAATGCCAGGCAAGATGGCTCACTCCTATAATCCCAGCACTTTGGGAGGCTGAGGCGGGTAGATCACTTGAGGTCAGGAGTTCGAGACCAGCCTGGCTAACATGGTGAAACCCCGTCTCTATGAAAAATACAAAAAATTAGCCTGGCGTGGTGGCATGTGCCTGTAATCCCAGCTACTTGGGAGGCTGAGGCAGGAGAATCGCTTGAACCTGGGAGGCGGAGGTTGCGGTGAGCTGAGATCAAGCTATTTCACTCCAGCCTGGGCAACAAGAGCGAAACTCTTGTCACACACACACACATACAACAAAACTTATCTCTTGAATATGTATATGAGTATATTAAGAGACCTCAGAGTTTAGAAACGTAGCTCAATTAGGAAGCACAGAGACCAGACAGTATGCATTCTGAGACAGGGTCTCACTTTGTCACCCAGGCTGGAGTGCAGTGGTGCGATTGTGGCTCACTACAGCCTTGACCTCCCAGGCTCAATTGATCCTTCCACCTTAGCCTCCTGAGTAGCTGGGACTACAGGTGCACACCACCATGTCTGGCTAATTTTTGTATTTTTTGTAGAGATGGGGTTTTGCCGTGTTGCCCAGGCTGGTCTCAAATTCCTGAGCTCAAGCAATTCACCTGCCTCCGTCTTCGAAAGTGCTGGGATTACAGGTGTGAGCTACCACACCAGCCTGGAGAATGCCCAATTAAAAATTGGGGATAATGAAGGAAAGTTAGTGCTCATATCTTTTTTTTTTTTTAAACAAAGAAAAATGTTTTTTGCTCTTGGTAGACAATTTACTTTTCCATTTTAAGCAGTGTCTGAGATGGAGCTTAGGAAAAATAAGGACTGTAGATTCAGGAGATCTCTCTACTAGAACAGCTGTCGAGTTCAAAAGGCATTTCTTGTCACATCATAGCATTGTTAGGTAAATAGGGTCATAAATATGTTGCTAAGCCCTTTCAAATGCAGGACTTCAGAGTAAGTCCTTTCTGCTGAAAGGCCAAGATAGAGCTGAAGTTCTGCTTTCAGCCTTACTTTTCTTTTCTTTTTTTTGAGAGAGAGTTTCGCTCTTGTCGCCCAGGCTGGAGTGCAGTGGCACGATCTCAACTCACTGCAACCTGCACCTCCTGGGTTCAAGCAATTCTCCTGCCTCAGCCTCCCCTGTAGCTGGCATTACAGCTGTGCACCACCATGCCCAGCTAATTTTGTATTTTTAGTAGAGATGAGGTTTCATCAGGTTGGCCCAGGCTGGTCTCAAACTCCTGACCTCAGGTGATCTGCCCACCTCGGCCTCCCAAAGTGCTGTGATTACAGGGGTGAGCCGCTGCTCCCGGCCCAGCCTTACTTTTCTTTAATTGTCATTCGTTCTCTATATTTTATGAGAGCCATAAACATACATAACCTTATATAGAGGTTTAAAGTACATTAAATGAACTGTTTCTTGAATCTCCTAGAGATAATTTGTACTCCAGTTTTCTATATTTTAAAAATCCCAAACAGTATTTGTGAAAAGCATTATTATGTCATACTCAGATTTATTTCATTTATGCATAAATAACCTTAAAGTCCTTTCAAAGCCCCATATATTTTACAACAGTTTATCTTTTCTTCACGTCTCCCCATCTTTCTTAGTTTTCAACTGTAGAGCTTATGCTAAGCTTATGAAAATGTAGCACATCTTCTTAAGTAATTCATCATGGGTTTATCCTAGTTTTGGCCATCATTGGTGGTATTATTAGATAACTTTTATTTCAATATCCTGTGTTTTATTGTTTCAATATTTGTGTTTCATTTCAATAAGACTGTTTTGTAAGTAATATGTTGTATTTTCTCATTTGTGAAACAGATGAATCAGGCCCCGTTCTCCACATCTAAATGAGTGTAGGTTCTGCCAACCAGGAGCCTAATTCCACCCTCTAAGGTCTGGCAGCACCGTCTTTGTGGTATTGGCTTTGGCTCATCAGTGCAGAGCTGACCTACACAGTATTAAGTACAGTGCCTGCCAGTCAGTGCAGTGCTGGTTCAACACTCAAGGTGCTGAGGTCTGGCCCTGCCCTCAGCTGCAGCCGCCATCCTTTAGTTATTATTAGGTTGGTGCAAAAGTGATTGCAGCTTTTGCCATTACTTTTAATTACTTAAAAGTAATTGCATTACTTTTGCCATTGCATTACAATTTGCCATTACTTTTAATGGTAAAAGCCACAATTACTTTTGCACCCACCTAATGGTTTACCTTAGTCTTACACACTCTAAAGTCAGAGTACCCGGATTTGAAGTGCTGGCGCCCTGTACTTTCTAACTGGTGACTTTGAACACTTAATCTCTTTGTGTTCCAATTTCTTCAGTCATAAAATGTGAACAGTAATATGTCATAGGTTGTTATATGCATAAGAATTTTTTTTAAAGCATTTAGAACAGTTTCTGGATGAAGTAGATACCACAAACATATTTGTTAGACAACACAAAAATCACTGACTGCTATGTAGTTTATTACAGTCATAGTTTTAAGCTTTTTTTCCCGTAAGTAAACAGGAAAACCCAGGTCATCTGGAGCAGACTATTTCCTGAGTAGCTTTTATCATTTGATTCAGACCTTAAAATAGTCTCTTGAATTTTTTCATGCTTTTTGTGGGATATGAAAGGACACTATAGTTGTTCTAGAATATATCCCAAGTGTTGCAGACAACTGTACTCTTTTGCAAGACTTTCCCTGATCCCTTATGAAGCACAGAATAGTGATGGAGTGATTTTTTTAAAAATATGTGTCTTAAGCCCTGGTGATATGCCAGGCATTGTTTGGGGAATGAGTCTACAGTGGTGAACAAGAAGGGCAAAGCCCTTGCTCTCAAAGGCTTGCATCCTGATGGGGAAAGCAGGAATTATCATGAAGAAATATGATAATTACAGTTGGCAAGCAGATTAGGAAGGACTTTTTTTATGGTCAAGAAGGTTGAGGGCAGGGAGAGTGTCTCCTTTAGTGCAGGTGGTAAGGCAGGGCTTTGCTGCGGAGAGACTTTAAGCTGACTCCTCAAGTGGGAGGCTTTATGAAGATCTGTGAGAAGGAGCGTCCAAGGACAGTGACTAGGAGGGTGGCTTTGAGAAACAGGAACAAGGCTGGTGTGACTGCAACTCTGTAAGAGAGGGGAGATACAAAGATGAGAGAAGCAGGCAGGGGCCAAATCACTTAGGGTCTGTGGACCAGGGTGAGAGATGTTATTCTAAATACAATGGCTAGCTAATGATGTTGATTGATAAATAGATAGATAGAGAGAGAGAGAGATAGATAGATAGATAGATAGATAGATGTAGATATTATTGTGATAAAATATACATAACTTAAAATCTGCCACTTTGACCATTTTTAAGTGTACAGTTCAGTGGCACTAACTACATTCATATTGTTGTGTAACCATCACCACTCTCTGTCACCAGAACTTTTTTCCTTTTGCGAAACTGTACCTGTTAAACTAGAACTCCCCATCATCCCCCAAACCCTGGCCTCTGGCAATGACCATTCTACTTCTCTATGAATTTGACTACTCTACATACCTCATATGAGTGGAGTCATGTGGTATTTGTCCTTTTGTGACTGGCTTATTTCACTTGGCATGGTTTTTAAGGTTCCTTCATGTTGTAGCATGTGTCAGAATTTCCCTCCTTTTTTTTTGAGGCAGTCTCATTCTGTCACCCAGGCTGGAGTGCAGTGGTGCGATTGTAGCTCACTGCAGCTTCAATCTCCCATTGTCAAGTGATCCTCCCGCCTCAGCCTCCCAAAGTGCTGGGATTGCAGGCATGTGCCAACGTCCCCAGCCAGAATTTCCCTTCTTTTTAAGGATGAATAATATTCATTGTATGTATATACCACATTTTGTTTATCCATTCATCTGTCATGATGGGTTTTAAGCAGAGGAGTGACAAGGTCTATCTATCTAGTGAGCTACTGGCCATTAATTACACACAATGTATCATTTAATTTGTCCCACTGAAAAAGGAAATCATTTCCTCTAGTTAGGAACCTTGACCTTCCCTGTATGTAGAAGTTTAAAGGCAGACTTAAGCCAACAGATTTGGTAATGAAGGGCATCAATCTTGAGTGAATATCATTATCTCCTGGAGGGCTTTTAAAGGCACAGATTTCAGGCCCACCTCCAGAGTTTGATTCAGTAGGTATGGGATTCGGCCTGAGAATTTACATTTCTAACACCTGCACCCCATGTGATACTGATGCTGCTGGCTCAGGAAACAAATTTTGAGAATCAGTGTTCTGTGGTATTTTGAGTTTCATCAAACTTGGCATTTTCCTTTAATTTGGTCACAAGATAAAAAATTTTATCTAGCATGATGTATCTAATTTACTTGATTTGCCAAATTTTAATTACTATTGAATATAGTGGAGGGGGGTGTTACGTTCTTTTTAATGGTATTTGTCATGTTTTTGTCTTTTTATGATAGCTATGAGTCTGTCAATGTGACCGATTTTAAGTCAAGTTGGAGAAATGGGATGGCTTTTTTGGCCATCATTCATGCCTTGCGACCAGACCTAATTGACATGAAGAGTGTGAAGCATAGATCCAACAAAGACAATCTGAGAGAGGCCTTCAGAATTGCAGAACAAGAATTAAAAATCCCCAGATTGCTGGAACCAGAAGGTAAAGAAGCTTCTTTGTTTTTAAAACAATCTTTAAGGCTTAGCATGAAGTTGATTTCAAAATAGTATCTATACATGAATAAACATAGTGGCACTCTATTTTAGTCCTGGAGGGTTTAACTTAAGCTCTTTATCGAATTTGATGCAATCAAACAATTCCTACCAATTTGTTAACTTCAGTAATTATAGGGGAAGCCACAGCTGAAAGCAAACAGTGCTGTTATTGGGAATAATTTGAGCCTGTCTTGATTTTCTTCTATTATGTTCTGTGTTTTTTTCTTCTTGATTCTGTTATTCTATTCTAAATCTCTTTTGTAAGATGTTTCTCTGAGTCTTGAATTAAAGTTGTTTATATGTCTCTCCTTCCTCCCTCCCTCTGAGTTAAAGCTGAACCTCTGTGAGAACAGAAACTGCTGCCTTCCCGTCTGTCCCTATGTGGTTGGTCATTGATTCTGCTCAGTCATGTTGGATTGTTAACAACAACATCCTAAGTACTGGGTAGTTTTAGAGATCATCATCAAATTATAATTTAACTTTATAAAATTAAGATTTAAAAATTTTACTTCTTTCTCAAAAGCACTTTACTTTGAATTGTAATGTTTCATAATGTAACCAAAGCTATTAAAAAAACATTAAGGTCATAATAGAGGTATATGGGATTAGTGAAAATTATGATGAACGAATAGGTCAAGCACGTATGAATTCTAGTCTCAGCTCTATTACTGGGGTGTGTATACAAATGTTTAGTGACTGGCTCTCCCAAACAATGGGAAATGTACACACATTTACACTATTATAGATTTTACTGATATTAAGGAATATGTATTATTTTATAAATAATTATAACGTTTATGATACGCTTTCTTATAGATTTCATATAGCTCCAAAATGCTTCTGTTCATTTTTGCCAAACTCTGTATCCATCTGTAACTAACTTAGGGTTGTATTTGCTGAAGAAGTATAGTTCTGACATGAATGTTAGTTTAGAATTTCCTTTATGTTAATAAGTAAGTGTAATAAGAGGTATATCAGAACTTCATATGTTCTTCAATGACATGAATGACTTCTTTGCTGAATTGAATACTAGAAGAATATTTTCTCAACTTTTTGTGCTATTCGCAATGCAACTAACAGCTTTAGACAGAACATATTTTTAAGATTTACCTGCATTATTAACAATTTCTTCATCTCTTTTTTAGCAGTTAACAGAACAACAGTCAAGCCTTCATTTGCAGACTTCTGTGTGATAAATGCTACTGCTATGACTGATTTCAAGTTACCAATGTGCAGTCACTGAACACAGAATTAGAAAAAGATGTGCAGTACCCACACCATTATATGTTGTTTCCATCATACAGATACAATAGACAGATAGCCTCAGGAGCATATAGTTAATAGTAAAATGTAATACAGTAATTGGGAAGTGATAAGTTTTGAGTATTTATTACCTATGCTTTTAATATAATTTGTGCATTTATATGATTTAATTTTTATTGATGATTTTTTCACAACCAGCTTACAAAAACTTCTGAACATTTAGCAGTCAACTCTCTTCAGCTGATGTGAGTCAGCTAGTTCCAGCACACTCACTGACCAGGTGACTGTGGATTTGTCACTTAATCTTTTTGGTTTTAAGCAGCTTTATTAAGAGATAATTCACATACCATATGATGTATCATTTAAGTATACAAATTAGTGGTTTCTAGTATACAGCCTGCCCTTCATGTCTGGGTTCCATATCCATGGAGTCAGCCAACACTGGATTGAAAATATTTGGAAAAAAAAAAGCATTTGTCCTGAGCATGTACAGACTTTTTTCTTGTCATTATTCCCTAAACAATACATGTTACACAATTGTATAACAACTATTTACATAGCATTTACGTTGTATTGGATATTAAAAGCAATCTAGAGATGAGTCCTGGAACCAATTCCCGTGTATACCAAGGAGAACTGTATTCACAAAATTGTTCACTCATCACCACAGTTCATTTTAGAACATTTTTGTCATCCCCAAAGGAACTCCTGTGACCATTAGCAGTTACTCTCCATTTACCCCTAACCCCCCCATGCCCCAGTACTTGCTAATTACATTTCACATAAATGGAATTATACAATATATGGTCTTTGTGACTGGCTTCTTTAACTTAGCAAAATGTCTGCAAGGTCATCCATGTTGTGGCATGTATCAATACTTCATTCCTTTTTTTTTTTTTGGAGTCAGAGTCTTCGCTGTGTTGCCCAACAATCTTGGCTCGCTGCAACCTCCACCTCCTGGGTTAAAGCGATTCTTGTGCCTCAGCCTCCCCAGTAGCTGGGACTACAGGTGTGCGCCACCATGCCCAGCTAATTTTTTTTTTTTTTTTTTTTTTGAGACAGGGTCTCGCTCAGTCTCCCAAGCTGGAGTGCAGTGGCGTGATCTTGGCTCACCGCAGCTTCCATCTCCTTGGTTCAAGTGATTCTCCTGCCTCAGCCTCCTGAGTAGCTGGGTCTACTGGTGTGTGCCACTGTGCCTGGCTAATTTTTGTATTTTTAGTAGAGATGGGGTTTTGCTATGTTGTCCAGGCTGGTCTTGAACTCCTGGCCTCAAGTGTTTGCCCACCTCAGCCTCCCAAAATGCTGGGATTACAGATGTGAGCCACCACTCCTGGCCCCTTTTTGTATTTTTAAATAAACTTCAGCGGGGCACTGTAGCTCATGCCCCAGCACTTTGGGAGTCTGAGGCGGGCGGATCATGAGGGAAGGAGTTCAAGACCTAGCCTGGCCAACATGGTGAAACCCTATCTCTACTAAAAATACAAAATTAGCCGGGTGTGGTGGTGCATGCCTGTAATCCCAGTTACTGCCTCACCTGGCCGAGCTAGTGCTGATCAAGGTTGTCATGGTGAAGTTACTCTTTTTTTCCCCCTTCTTTCCATACTGTGCTCTTTGGAGGGAAATCACTGCATAGCTCAGACTTGGGAGAGTTATGCTCACTCTTCTTGATGGCAGATTATACATATAAAGTATTTGAAGTTCTGCCCAGGCTGAGGAAGGAGAATCGCTCGAACCCGGGAGGTGGAGGTTGCAGTGAGCGGAGATCGTGCCACTGCACTGTAGCCTTGGCAACAGAGTGAGACTCCATCTCAAAAAAAACAAAAAAAAAGCCTTTTCAGTTTTAGAACAATTTTAGATTTATGGAAAAATTGAGAAGATAGTGCAGTAAATTCCCATAAACCCTGCACCCAGTTTCCCCTATTAACATCTTACATTAGTATAGTACATTTGTTATAATTAATGAACCAATATGGATATGTTATTTTAAATTAAGGTAATACTTTATTCATATTTTCTTAGTGTTTACCTAATGACTTTTTTCTCTTTCAATATCCCAGCCAGGATACCACATTATATTTAGCTGTCATATCTCCTGTGACTCCTCTTGACTGTGACGGTTTCCCAGACTTTTAAATAAATGACCTTGACAGTTTTAGAGATTACTGGTTAGGTATTTTGTAGGATGCCCCTTTATTGGAATTTACATTATGTTTTTTTCTCGTGATTATACTGGGTTTTTGTGTTCTTGCAAGGAAGAACTCAGCAGTAGAATGTCATTCTCATCACATCCTTTCAAGGGTATATATTGTCAACATGATTTATTACTGTCAATGCTTACCTTGATCACCTGGCTGAGCTAGTGCTGATCAGGGTTCTCATGGTAAAGTTACTCTTTTCTCCCCCTTCTCTCCATACTGTGCTCTTTGGAGGGAAATCACTGCATAGCCCACACTTGGGAGAGTTAAGGCTCACTCTCCTTGATGGCAGATTATCTGTGTAAAGTATTTGAAGTTCTTCTGCACAGAGATTTGTCTGTTCTCCCCCATTTACTTATTTATTCAGTCATTTATTTCTATCAGTATGGACTTATTGATATTTTACACTCTTAGTTGTAATGCAATACTACTTCGTTTATTTTAATGGTCAATTTTTTAAAAAGTCCTCTTTACGCTCAAAGTTTTGTCCACTAGGAGCTCTTTCAGTTGGCTCTTATGCTCCTTTGATTTATCCCCATCAGTATGAAGTTTGCTTGTTTGTTTTTGAGCATTTTCTTACTTTCTGGCCTGACAAGACGCTGCAGGCTCATCTTGTATATTTCCTGCCCCAGTCTTAGGATCAGTCATTTCTCCAAGGAGCCCTGGCTCTTTTTATTGGAGAATGGTATTAGAAACCAAGATCTGGTGTGGTAGCTGTGCTCTTTACTACTGGTATTTAGCCTCTTTGGACTTCAGGTTTTGGTAAGAGTTGAATTAGGTTATATTTGTAAGCTCACAGCCAATGTGAACTTAGAACTTATATGTGAGCTTACAGCCATATTCTTTTTTCTTTTCTTCTTCTTTTTTTTTTTTTTTTTTTTTTTTTTGAGATGGAGTCTCTTGTTCTGTCTCCCAGGCTGGAGTGCAGCGGCTCAATCTCAGCTCACTGCAACCTTCGCTTCCTGGGTTCAAGCAATTCTCCTGCCTCAGCCTCCTGAGTAGCTGGGATTACAGGCATGTGCAACCACGCATGGCTAATTTTTGTATTTTTAGTAGAGAGGGGGTTTCGCCGTGTTGGCCAGGATGGTCTAGAACTCCTGACCTCAGGTGATTCGCCGCCTTGACCTCACAAAGTGCTAGGATTACAGGCTTAAGCCACCGTACGTGGCCTGCCTACAGCCGTATTTCTACAGTTTGGACATTGGTCTGGCTTCATGTTGGTTGTTACTAATTCTTGTTAACTTTTTACCCCTATCTTTTTTTACCCCCTTCCTTTTTTACCTTCTTTTCTCCCTTTCTTTGTCTTTTGGCTTTTCTTTTTCCTTCATTTTTCCTCATGCTTTTGTTCTCATTTCCTGTTTCTGATGACTGTTTTAAATACTTTTCTTATATTATGATTCTCCAAATCTTTATTATTAGTATAAAATATTTTCTCCATTTTTGTATGTACAAATAACCAGGCAACTAATGAAATAGACACTATAGTAAAAACAAATTTCCTCCGCATAATTGCCCATAATTCATTATAAATGGCTTAAATAATAGCTCAAAAATGTGAAATGCATCATGATTATTTATGCAAACCAAATACCATAGTCATATTTGAATAAGGGAACTATTTTGACGTAATATTGTTAACACATTTAATCTTCACGTGTGGCTTCGTATATAATAAGTTTTTATAAAGCAATATCTAAATAAGCCAATATCATTATTTTACGTATCTCTTGGTGCTTATATCTTTTTCAGTTAAAGACAGAATAACTTAATTCTTAGAAATTCTTCCTATATTGAGACCCTACCCTCAGCTTTTTATTGCTGGCTTTTATATGCTTACTGCCTTGAATTACATTGTTTGCAAATGAATTGGATTTATTTTCTACTTCAGGTGACTTAGAGCACTCATTGAACCTAGTAAATATGTTCACTAAAGCACGCATGGTGTGTTGTATTTGTTTATTTGTTTTTCTCCTAACCTTAAACTCCTTGAGGGGCAGATAATGTTTTAAGGCATCTAGCATCTACTAGCTGAATGAATAGAGGGTTGAAATGTAAGATCTCCAAAGGCATGGACCATACCTTATGTATCCTTGTAGCCCCTGCCTGTGACCCACATTTATTGGCTCTCTGTAAATATTTGTTGCTTTAAGTTTAACTTAATTAATAAATAAACAGTGAAGTGTTTTTTTTTTTCCAATAATCTTCATTGCTTGTTTAGGTCAAGAAACACCTCCAAATTAGGTGTTCATTTTGTCTGTGACATATTGCATTCACCCTTTTGTGATTTTATGATCTCCTTCACTTATTAGATGCCTGGAGAAGTTCTGCACTTTACAGAATTTATATGCCTGGCACAGTGTCTTGTGCCAGCTACTTGTGAGGCTGAGATTGGAGGACTGTTTGAGGCCAGGAGTTTGAGACCAGACTGGACAACATAGAGAGACCCTGTCTAAAAAAAATAAAAAATAAGATAAATAAGATTTTGTAGTCTTTAAAATTTTGTTTAATTCAGCATTTTACAAACTTATTTCACCATGGACTCTTAATGCAACACAAAGCCTGGCCTGTAGAAGGCTTTCAGTAGATTTACTTGTTCCATGAATGAATGAACAAACTCTGTGGATGTCTTAGATAAGCCTTCCGTACAATATATGCTTTTGGAGATGCTTTACTGCACACATGCCAAGACCAACATGTCAGGAATGCATTCTAATTGCTGTATGTTCCTGCATTCCTGGAGGAATTTCTGCACTATGTGTCTAGAAAGAGGAATGCTTTATTTTCTCCTCTTCATCCTCTCTGACTACTTATGCCTTCAGACATACCCCATAGTGATACTTTATTATTAGAAAACGGAGACTGTGCACATACTAGTGCCAGGATTTAACCCAGATCTCTCTGAGTATAGATCTAAACTCTTAGCCACTGCACAGTCTTGCAGCAAGGCTGAGTAAACAGAGATTGGATGGCTGGGTGACTACTTTGGTGCATTTCCAGAGCCTGTGAACCAAATGGCAGAGGCTATGGCATAGCCCATTCTTGAGTATTCATTATAGTAAATGTGTAACAGCTAATTGATAGTGTGGTGTATCTTGCAGATGTGGATGTTGTTGATCCTGATGAAAAGTCCATCATGACCTATGTGGCACAGTTTCTGCAGTATTCCAAAGATGCCCCTGGGACTGGAGAGGAGGCTCAGGTATGTTTTCATATGCATAAATCAAGCTCATTTTAGTTGTATCCTGCTAATGGTTTAATTTTTAAAATCAAGATATAATTTGCATACAGAACTTAAATGTACAGTTTAATGAGCATACACCCCTGTAAATCATACTTCAATCATGATGTAAAACATTTCTAGTACCCAAAATATTCCACTGGGCACCTTTTCTGTCTCTGCTCCCCATCCCAGGCAACCAGCATTCTAATTTCTTTTACTGTAGATTAGTGTTGAATGTTCTTTTTTTTTTTTAGGTTCAAAGGGATAATTTATTAAACTTTGCTGAATTATCTGAAACAACTTTTAGATGGGCACTATATAAGACAAATGAAGTTAAGCTTTTAAAAATCTAAAGATATCAAATTTTTATTATAATATTCTATTTTTTATTTTTATTTTTATTTTTGTTTATTTATTTATTTATTTTTGAGATGGAGTCTTGCCCTGTCGCCCAGGCTGTAGTGCAGTGGCGCGATCTTGGCTTACAGCAACCTCTGTCTCCCCGTTCAAGTGATTCTCGTGCCTCAGCCTCCCAAGTAGCTGGAATTACAGGCATGTGCCACCATACCCGGCTGATTTTTGTATATTTGGTAGAGACTGGGTTTCACCATGTTGGCCAGGCTGGTCTCGAACCCCTGACTTCAAGTGATCCACCCACCTCGGCCTCCCAAAGTGCTGGGATTACAGGAGTGAGCCACTGCGGCCGGCCTGTCAAATTTTTTTGTATTATAATATTTATTTCCTTTATTGAGATATAGTTTATATACCATAAAATTCATCTATTTAATATGTTCATTTCAATGGTTGTTAGTGTATTTACATGATCAGGCAACCCTCACCATCATCTAATTTGAGCACATTTCCGGTTTGCCTATTCTTTAGCTTCATGTAAATGAAATTGTGTGATTCATATAAATGAAAGTGTTGTGTTCTACTCTTAATCCCTATTTGTTGATATACTCTTGAATTACTATTTTCTCTGCCTCACAGGCTTAAATGATTCTCGTGCCTCAGCCTCCTGATAGCTGGAATTATAGGCATGGACCATCCTGCCTGGCTAATTTTTTGTATTTTTAGTAGAGGCAGGGTTTCACCATGTTGGCCAGGCTGGTCTCGAACTCCTGGCCTCAAGTGATCTGCCTGCCTTGGCCTCCCAAAGTGCTGGATTATAGGCGAGCCACTGTGCCCAGCCTTGAATTACTATTAGATTGCCATTTGATTATTCAGTTTTTCTCCTTTACTTTCAGTGAATTACACAAAATATTGTGGGTAGAAACTTCATAAAAATTGCTGAGCTGAAAAGAAACTCTTATTCTGCTTCTAAGATGATAAATGAGTGCTGTGAATTTAGCAAAATGTTCGATATTACTTAAAAATGTATTTTAAACCACATGTTTGCATGCATTTTCAGACATGTTTACATGCATTTTATTTGACAAATTGGGCCTGTGTTTTTCCAGCTGTTAAGTTTGAGGCAATAAGCCAGATTGTTGCTGACTCTGGAAGAGAGTCTCAAGCTGAGATGCAGGCTTATAATTCGGTTCACTTATTTCTGGCCTGCTGAGGAGCTATTCTTTTCTAACTAATTTTCATATTAAAAAAATAAAATGAAAGATTCAACTGTCCATGAAATTGAGTGCAAAAATATTAGAAAACTTTTACTTAATAGGAAAAAACAAAGTAAATGAAGGTTAAGGAAGAGTGGAAATAAGATATAACTTCTTTGTCCTATAGTAGTAAAATTGGCTTCCAAATGTAAGCAAGCAAGTTTACCACCTAAGCAAGAATCTACGGAAAAAGTAATTGTTGTTCACATCTTAATGATAGCATAGCTAAAACCTTTGGTAGTGTTATTTTTAGGCTCTCGAAAGTGTTTGAGTTATTTTTGATGTCAGTGTTTTTGCAGGGTGTGAACATCTCTTGAATTACCCCATATTTCGATTTATTGGAAGGCAGTCTTCTGAAATGCCTGCTATAAAGAAGTGATTTAGAATAATGTTCTCCAAGCCAAAATGGGGGAGGGGGTGTGTTGCTTGCCCATTTCTTTAGCACATTGTCATGTTCAGATGCTAGTTTCAATCTGGTTTAAAATTTAAGGTGTTATGTGAACAAGTGAAATTACTCTTTGGCATAATGAATCATTGGTGTGTAATGATGGCATTATTTCACTGATGTTTCAAGTTGCTAATTTTTTTGTTAAAAAAACCAAGCCCGTTTAAAATATAGTTTAATTTTGTGTGTGTAAAATACAGGGAAAGGTGAAAGATGCTATGGGCTGGTTAACTCTGCAAAAGGAAAAACTACAGAAGTTGCTAAAGGATTCAGAGAATGATACCTACTTTAAAAAGTATAATGTAAGTATGATTTTAAACAGCTGTTTGTAATTTACCTTTTAAGAGTTGAGCGTAAGTATGTTTTTAGAAAACTCTTTCAGGCTTAAGTATTTTAAGTATTAAATTCACTGAAAGTTTTAAGGCTGAATTCTAGGACTGTACTTCCGAAACTTTAAGGTGCATGTGATTCACTGGGTAGTCCTGTTAAAATGCACATTCTGGTTCAGTAGTTCTGGGGCAGGGCCCAAGTTTTTGTGTTTCTAACAAGGTCTCAGGTGATGTTGATTCAGCTGGTTTTTGGAGTACTTTGAGCAGCATGGTTTTAGAGCAGGGGTTGGCCCATTTTGTAAATAAAATGTTGTTGGAACAGAGCCACACCCATTTAAGTATTGCCAGTCACTACTTTCACACTATAACCCCAGAGTTGAGTAGTCGTGATAGAGACCATATGGCCTGAGATATTTACTGTCTTGCCCCTTACAGTAAAAGTTTTCCAATCCCTGGTTTAAAGCAGAACATGCTTTTTATTTTATTTTTATTTTTATTTTTATTTTTATTTTTCGAGACGGAGTTTTGCTCTCGTTGCCTAGTCTGGAGTGCAATGGTGCGATCTTGGCTCACCGCAGCCGCCACCTCCCAGGTTCAAGCAATTCTCCTGCCTCAGCTTTCCGAGTAGCTGAGATTACAGGCATGTACCGCCATGCCCAGCTAATTTTGTGTTTTTAGTAGAGACAGGGTTTCTCCATGTTGGTCAGGCTGGTCTCGAACTCCTGACCTCAGGTGATTCACCTGCCTCGGCCTCCCAAAGTGCTGGGATTACAGGCGTGAGCCACAGTGCCCGGCCCCAGAACATGCTTTTTAGAATGAATATTGAATGAAAGAAAAATCAGGAATAGGGATCCTAGAATTACAATACAGGGCTCAACCGAGAGTCCTTTGGCAAATAATGACAACTGTGATTATTACCACATATTGAACATTTCTTTTTTTTTTTTTTTTTTGAGGCGGAATCTTGCTCTGTGGCCCAGGCTAGAGTACAGTGGTGTGACCTTGGCTCACTACAACCTCTGCCTCCTGGGTTCAAGCAATTCTCATGCCTCAGTCTCCCGAGTAGCTGGGTTTACAGGCATCCGCCACCAGGCCCGGCTAATTTTTATATTTTTAGTGGAGATGGGTTTTCACTATGTTGGCCAGGCTGGTCTTGAACCCCTGACTTCAAGTGATTCGCCCACCTCAGCCTCCTAAAGTGCTGTGATTTCAGGTGTGAGCCACCACATCTGACCATGTTGAACATTTTCTATGTAGCAGATACCTTGCTGGTTTGCATTTCACATGTTAAAATATCTTGCTGAGCTTGGTATTATCCCAGTTTTACAGATGAAGATAATAAGTGGCTTATTTAAGGTTACATGGCTACTGAAAGGGTAGACATGGGATTTGAATGGAAGTGTAGCTTTAAAGCCCAGCTGTTTTTACGTTGTGATGCTTCTCTGGGGTAAGTAGTTATTCCCTGTACAGTCTTGAAAGAGACTTAATAGGAAACAAAGCAAAGGTTCCTCAGTCCCGTTTCTTAGAGCCTGTTGTCTATACAGCACTGTGCTTCTCCCCAGTGCTTTGTCCTGAACAAGCTGCAGATACTGTCAGGTACCCCACACAGCACTTAGCACCTCTAGGTCTCCATCTCCCTGTCTGTTAAGTCAAAGAGTTGGATAAGTCCAGCCTTTTCAACTGTAACATTCAGTGGGTTGTGCAACTTGCTGGCCATACTTTCCTTTTTTGCTTTGGAAGCATCAGGGAAGGAAGGGATCAAACATCTTTTTCTTCCTTTGGTCTGAACTGCATAGGCTTCTTGACCTTCTTCCCTTAGCTCTGATCTAAGATTTTTTTCTCGACAAAGTGCTCATCATTTACTGAAAGTGTATTGTTCTCACATATGTCTTTGATTTAATAATGTATCACAGATTTGGGTTTCCTAAATAGGAAGAAGGCTTTATGAAGTCATTAATTATCAGAATTAAAGTAAATTAATTATCCTTTGACTTTCTCATAACATTTCATTTAAAATGCTGTCAATAATTCTGGATAATGTTTTAAGTGACATTTAAAACATTAATGCTGATCCTTGGAGTAGTTTGAGCAGCATGGTTCTAAAGCAGAGGTTGGCCCATTTTGTGAATAAAACGTTATTGGAACAGAGCCATACCTGTCAGTAGCTACTTTCACACTACAACCCCAGAGCTGAGTAGTTATCTATGGCCAGTTGTGGTGGCTCATGTCTGTAATCTCAGCACTTTGGGAGGTGAGGCACGTGGATCATTTGAACCCGGGAGCTCAAAACCAGCCTGGACAACATGGTGAAACCTTGTATCTACAAAAAATACAAAAAAAAAAAAATTAGCTGGACGTGGTGGTGCACTCCTGTAGTGCCAGCTGCTCGGAAGACTGAGGTGGGAGGTTCACTTGAGCCCAGGAGGCAGAGGTTGCATTGAGCCAAGATCATGCCACTGAACTTCAGCCTGGGCGATAGAGCCAGATCCTGTCTCCAAAAAAAGAAAAAAAAAATCTGTGTAATCAGTAACTCTTTTTTTTCCCCCCCCGAGACAGGATCTCTCTCTTTCTCCCAGGCTGTAGTGCAGTGGCCCGATCACAGTTCACTGCAACCTCTGCCTCCTGGGCTCAAGCCACTCTCCCACTTCTGCCTCTTGAGTAGCTGGGACTACAGGTGTGTGTCACCATGCCTAGCTAATTTTTTGTATTTTTGATCGATATGGGGTTTTGCCATGTTGCTCAGGCTAGTTTTGAACTCCTGGGCTCAAGTGATGCACCTGCCTCAGCCTCCCAAATTGCTAGGATTACAGTCATGAGCCTCAGTGCCTGGCCAGTTGATAACTCTTTTTTTTGTTTTTTTTGAGACGGAGTCTCTGTCACCAGGCTGGAGTGCAGTGGCGTGATCTCGGCTCACTGCAACCTCTGCCTCCCTGGTTCAAGCGATTCTCCTGCCTCAGCCTCCCGAGTAGCTGGGACCACAGGCAGGTGCCACCACGCCCAGCTAATTTCCGTATTTTTAGTAGAGACGGGGTTTCATCATGTTGGCCAGGATGGTCTCAATCTCTTGACCTCGTGATCCACCCACCTCTGCCTCCCAAAGTGCTGGGATTACAGGCATGAGCCACCGCGCCTGGCCTGATAACTCTTAAATACCCATATTTCACACAAATGTGAACCAAGAAAAAGCTTTACTTACTAAATATTTGAAGGCAAAGTGTTTCTCAAAGTTTATATAAAATGAATTGGGAAGAATAAGCTGAAGCTCAGTTATTCATGAACACTTTGAAAATCGCTTATATATGACTACTGCCGTCATATAATTTTCACATTCATTCATTCTTATTCTGTTGTGAGTGCATACTTGCGGAGAACAAACAAACTCATATTTTCCATGTAGCATCATGATCTGTCCTGTAGCCCAGTGACCTTGCTGCTCCATTCCAGTATAAATCCAACAATACACAAAGCACAGAGTGAGACCTATGACATTATGCTGGTGCCCAGTTATCACAGTGCACTGAAGAAGGAAACCAGAGCAGAGAGAGGATACTGGATTCAGGGGATTTTACCTTTAAGTAAAAACTTAAATATATCCTATACCTATAGACCTCAAAATAACAGATTATATGATATAAATGGAATTAAACATTTTCAATCTTTAAAATACTCTTCTAATTGCAGAGCCTGCTGTCCTTTATGGAGTCATTCAATGAAGAAAAAAAGTCCTTTTTGGATGTCCTGTCAATAAAACGGGATCTGGATGAGCTGGACAAGGATCATTTACAGTTGAGAGAAGCCTGGGATGGCCTCGATCACCAGGTGACTGTTTGTGTTGATTAGAAGAATATTTTCAGGCCAAAAGCAGTGGCTCACACCTGTAATCCCAGCACTTTGGGAGACCAAGGCGGGTGGATCACTTGAGGTCAGGAGTTTGATAGCAGCCTGGCCAACATGGCGAAACCCTGTCTCTACTAAAAATACAGAAATTAGCAGGGTGTGTTGGTGAGCACCTGTAATCCCAGCTACTCCAGAGGCTGAGGCAGGAGAATCACTTGAACCTGGGAGGCAGAGGTTGCAGTGAGCCGGGATCGTACCACTGCTCTCCAGCCTGGGTGACAGAATGAGACTCCGTCTCAAAAAAAAAAGAACATTTTCAAAGGGCAGCTTTGTTTTTTTGGATGAGGGCTTTATTTTAAACTTCCATGAGAAATTATGTAAAAGACAGTGTAGATGCTTCATCAGAAAATGGGATTGTGTTTTTATATTTTCTCCATGGCATCATTTGGGTAGTGGTCCTCTTTTAAGTAGGGATTTTTTGCATTCTGCTTAGAGAAAACGCAAGCTTATCCAAGCTTGATATATTTGCTATCAGTTCTTGGTTTGCCACAGTAGATTATCTATATTTTGATTGACCTGTGGCGGCTTCTCTACTATCATGTATCAATATCAGTAGATGCTTGAAAGAAGTAGGAACAAACCCACAGAGAGTAAGGATGAATTTGTGCATGTGTGTCTGAATATATCTGTATAATTTCAGTCCTTTTCAATTTATTGAGACATGGTTTATGGCCCAGCATATGGTACATAACTTTGTGCACTTGAAAAGAACACATATTCTGCAGTCATTGGGTATAATATTCTATAAATGTTAACTTTTAAAAAAATTCAATTTTTAATTTTTATGGGTACATAGTAGGTGTATATATTTATGGGGTACCTGAGATATTTTGGTACAGGCATGCAATGTGAAATAAACACATCTTGGAGAATGGGATATCCATTTCCTCCAGCATTTATCCTTTGATGTACAAACAATCCAGTTACACTCTTCAAGTTATTTTAAAATGTACAATTAAGTTATTATTGACTGTAGTCACCGTGTTGTGCTATCAAATAGTAGGTCTTATTTGTTCTTTCTATTTTTTTGTACCCATTAACCATCTCCATTTCCCCTTACTGCCCTTCCCAGCCTCTGGTAATCATCCTTCTACTGTCTGTCTCCATGAGTTAAACTGTTTTGATTTTTAGATTCCACAAATAAGTAAGAACATGTGATATTTGTCTTTCTGTGCCTAGCTTATTTCACTTGACATAGTGACTTCCACTTCCATCCACATTGTTGCAAATGACAGAATCTCATTCTTTTTTTTTTTTTTTTTTGAGATGGAGTCTTGCTCCGTTGCCCAGGCTAGAGTGCAATGGTGTGATCTCAGCTCATTGCAAACTCTGACTCCTGAGTTCAAGAGATTCTTCTGCCTCAGCTCCTGAATAGCTGGGATTACAGGTGCATGCCACCATGCCTGGCTAATTTTTTTTTTTTTTTTTTTTTTTTGAGATGGGGTCTTGTTCTGTCGCCATGCTGGAGTGCAGGGGTGCAATCTCGGCTCACTGCAACCCCTCCACCTCCTGGATTCAAGTGATTCTTTGCCTCAGCCTCCCGAGTAGCTGGGACTACAGGTGCATCCCACCACGCCCAGCTAATTTTTTGTATTTTTAATAGAGACGGAGTTTCACTGTTTTAGCCATGATGATCTCAATCTCCTGACCTCGTGATCCACCCGCCTCGGCCTCCCAAAGTGCTAGGATTACAGGCATGAGCCACTGTGCCCGGCCCTTATTTTTTTTATGGCTGAATAGTACTCCATTGTGTATATGTACCACGTTTTCTTTATCCATTCATCTGTTGATGGGCGATTACGTTGCTTCCAAATTACAAATATTAATTAATATAAGGTGGTTGATAATTTTCACATATAATGTTCACATTATCTGTGTCTTGACTGATGTTTTGTCCAATTCTATTATATTTTGCTGAGAGAGGAGTATTAAAATCTGTGGGAATCTGTCTTCAATGCTGTCAAATTTTGCTTCGTGTATTTTAAAACATTGTCATTGTGTGTACATGCTTATGATTACTTTGTCTTCCTGAGGACTTCTACCATTATGAAATATTCCTGCTTATCTTTAATAATACTGTTTTTCTTGACATCTAGTAATATTATACTTAATCTTATACCAGTATAGTCATTCCAGTCTTCTATGCTGACTGTATAGTACATCTTTTTCCTTCATGTACTTTTCATCTATTTGGAGTCTTTATATTCAAAGTGTATCTCTATAAATGACACCGTTGTATCTTGCTTTCTTACCTACTCTGCCAATCCCTGTCTTTTTTTTTTGAGATCGAATCTCACTCTGTTGTCCAGACTAGAGTGCACCAGCACAATCATGGCTTACTGCAGCCTCAGCCTCCTAGGCTCAAGCCATCCGCCTGTCTCAGCCTCCCAAGTAGCTGAGACAACTGGTGTGTGCCATCACACCTTTCAAAGTTTTAAATTTTTTGTAGAGATGGAGTTTTGCCATGTTGCCCATACTGGTCATGAACTCCTGGCTTCAAGCAATGCCCCTGAATTAGAATTTTGGGCCTCCCAAAGTGTTGGGATTACAGGCATGAACCACTGTGCCTAGCCTATCCCCTCTCTTTTAATTGTAGTGCTTAGTCCACTTAGTATAATTGTTGAAATAGTTCAATTTAGGTATATCATTTAACTCTTTGTTTTGTTTATTCTCTCTGCTTTTTCTATCTCTGTTTCTTCCTTTCTGTCTTTTTTCTTTTCTTTTTTCTTTTTTTTTTTTTTTTTTTTGAGATATAGTCTCTCTCTGTCTCCTGGGCTGGAGTGCAATGGTATGATCATGGCTCATTACAACCTCTGCCTCCGGGTTCGAGCGATTCTCCTGCCTCAGCCTACCGAGTAGCTGGGATTATAGGCATCCGCCACCATGCCTGGCTAATTTTTGTATTTTTATTAGAGACAGAGTTTCACCATGTTGGCCAGGCTGGTCTCGAACTCCTGACCTCAAGTGATCTGCCTGCCTTGACCTCCCAAAGTGCTGGTATTACAGACATGAGCCACTGTGCCTGGCCCCCGTTTCTCCCTTTTTTGCCTGGTTTTGGATCATACGTTTTTTAAGAATTCCATTTTAATTTGTTTATTGACTTGGCTCTACTTCTTCCTATCATGTTTTTAGTGGTTGCTCTAGGGATTATAATATACATTATAAAATTTTTACAGTCTACTTAGAGGTTTTTTGGTTTTTTTTTTTTTGAGACAGGGTCTTTGTCGTCCAGGCTGGAGTGCAGTGGCTTGATCACGGCTAACTGCAACCTCTGCTTCCCGAGCTCAGTCAATCCTCCCACCTCAGCTTTCTGAGTAGCTGGGACAACAGGCATGCATCACCATGCACACTTAATTTCTTTTGTATTTTTTTGCAGAGAAGGGGTTTCACTATGTTGCCCAGGCTGGTCTTGAACTCCTGGGCTCAAGGTATCCACTCGCCTTGGCCTACTGAAGTGCTGGGATTACAGATGTGAGCCACCACACCCACCCTTAGAGTTGTACAATATCTAAGTTATTGTACAACTTTTTGTAACATGTAGAAATCCTGCAAGCAAATTGATCCATCTCCCATTATTTATGCTATAGTGGTTTTATATATAAATATACATGACACATGTAATGTATGTCTTAAAATCCTCAGGACCATGTTATCATTTTTTTTTTTTTTGCTCTAAACAACCATATATTTTAAGGAAATTAAATGAAAAAATTAATCTTTTATATTTATCTAGGTATTTCCCATGTTCTTAATTTCTTTCTAGAGATCTGAGTTTCTATTGAGCTCAGTTCCCTTCAGCCTGAAAACTTCCTTTCACTTACTTTACAATACAGGGCTGTGAGTGACAAATTCACCTAGTTTTCTTTGATCTCTACATATGTCTTTATTTTGCCTTCATTAAAAAAATGACTTTATTGAGGAATAATTTATGTAACATCTCATTTTTAAATGGATAATGAAATGATTTTTAATACATTTATAGAGTTATGACAGGAACTGTGTGGTCCACAAGTCAAAGATACTTAATCTGGCTCTTCACAGGAAAAGTTTGCTGACCCTTTGCTTGGCTGTCAGGAGTGGCAGCCTGTTTTCAGAATACATTTTCCACACCATTTACTAAGTGTATTAAATAGCAGTCCAGTGGCTTAAAAGAGCCACTCTTTTAGACAACCTAATTTTGAAGAACTTGGAGCTCCTAGAATCTTCCCATCAGTGTGGTGCTTATTGCATTGTCAGTTTCTATTCTGATCACCGCTTTGAAACGGACTCTTGTGAAGGATAAGACCTGTCCGTGACAGGTCCTCACAAAGTGGAAGGCAATGAAGAAGATATTGTCTATATAGCTCAGGCTGTTCCAGGCCACAGAGACCTGGCCTGATTTTGTGAAATATGGAAAAATTGCCCAAATAATGAGAAAAACCATAAAAAGAACTATTTTACAAGATTAAGTACTGTAAATTTGGTAATAGCTTGAAAATCCATTCCTCAGTCAGGTAAACTGCAGCTCAGTTTCTTGGTGTGGCAAAATGAGACATTGCTAATTTTAAAGTCATTGAGGACATAAAAGTTGAAACCATGTATGCAGTTTCTGGTTCAATAGTTTGAGAACAGAGATTTCTCAGAGTATCATAGTAAATGGTTTCATACTGAGCCTACTGTAGAAAATAGCAACATTATGTTATTTTGACCTGTTAAGATCTTACATAAATTTTCAGCCAAATCAAAAAGTAATTACTGCAGAAGGGAAGTGTTAAGTGAGAAAGAAGAGGAACGAAAGGTAAACATTGCCTTCTGTTCTTCGTCTTCTGCCTGCTGTATAAATATTGAGTGTAGCCCTCAGTCGGAAAAAACAGGTTTGGTTTAATTCAAAATATATGCAGCTGTCTTTTGGTTGTGCAAAGAATAATAGTTGAACTAGAGGTATTGCTCTTAGCCTCTCTTTAACTCAATTATTTATCAAATTTCTGTTTTATCTTTTGGCAAATGTACAAGTAATTAGACACACTAAAAGTACATGCTAACTTGTTTATTTGAAAAGTCACAAAAATGGCTGGGCGCAGTGGCTCGTGACTGTAATCCCAGCACTTTGGGAGGCTGAGGCAGGCAGATCAGTTGACGTCAGGAGTTCAAGACTAGCCCTGGCCAACATGGCACATCCCTGTCTCTACTAAAAATACAAAAATTAGCCAAGCATGGTGGCACACACCTGTAATCCCAGCTACTCAGGAGGCTGTCAGGAGAATCGCTTGCACCTGGTAGGCGGAGGTTTCAGTGAGCCGAGATATGTATCTAGCCTGGGAGACAGAGTGAGACTCCGTCTCAAAACAAAAAGAAAAAAAATTTACGATAAAGAAATAACTTTTTTCATTTTTCTTTTATCTGGAGACATAATGGCAAATAGTTAATGATTTACGATTGTAGAATTGGCCAGGTGCAGTGGCTCACGCCTGTAATCCCAGCACTTTGGGAGGCCGAGGCGGGCGGATCACCTGAGGTCAGGAGTTCGAGACCAGCCTGGTCAACATGGTGAAACCTCGTCTCTACTAAAAACACAAAAATTAGCCAGGTGTGGTGGTGTGTGCCTGTAATCCCAGCAACTGGAGAGGCTGAGGCAGGAGAATTGCTTGAACCTGGGAGGTGGAGGTTGCAGTGAGCCAAGATTGCAGCACTACACTCCAGCCTGGGTAACACACCGAGAGTCCATCTCAAAAAAAAAAAAAAAAAAAAAAGGTTGTAGAATTATCTTTGCCATATGCCTTTTGAGAAAATTAAACTTGCAAGATAAAAACAAGCAAAACAAAATGGAAAAACTGTAACATCTAATGCTTTCATTTTATGCACAGTTCCATTTGACTGCCTTAAAGGAACCCAGCTTTGTCCTCATTTTGTATACCTGGGTACTTGGTTAAATATCTTTTAGATATTTGCTTTTGCATATGATGGGTACCCCATAAATGTTTTTGAATGAATTAATGTTGAAGTAATCTCTCTAATATACAAATTTTTGCCTGTTTAAAAAACAATAGAACTCAACTGGGCTCATGCCTGCAATCCCAGCAGTTTGGGAGGCCAAGGCAGGAGGATTGCTTGAGGCCAGGAGTTCAAGACCAGCCTGGGCAACATAGTGAGACCTTGTCTCTACAATAAAATAATAATTTTAAAAACCTCAAACAATAAAAACAGTGCATTTAGTAGAATTAGACTGGGTAACAGAAAGATAAAATACAGACTTAAGACCAGGACTTTTCATTAGAGAAAGTTGAGTGAAACAAATTTTAATTTGTGATTGATCTTCATATGAGTATCAAATAAATGAAAAGAGGCTTATTTGGCTCACGTTTCTGCTTCTGTACAAGAAGCGTGGCACCAGCATCTGCTTCTGGTGAGGGCCTTAGGCTACTTCCATTCATAGTGGAAGGCAAAGGGGAGCTTTTGTATAGAAATCACATGGCAAGAGAGGAAGCGAGAGCGAGAGAGACAGAGAGAGAAAGGAGGTGCCAGACTCTTTTCAGCAACCAGCACTCATGGGAACTCAGCTCCTGTTAGGCCCAGCCCCGATACTGGGTATCAAACTTAAACATGAGATTCAGAGGAGATAAACATTCAAACTGTACAGCAGTAAGTTTGTGTAAAAAGTCACATTCTTTTTTTTGAGATGGAGTCTCGCTCTGTTGCCCAGGCTGGAGTGCACTGGTGTGATCTTGGCTCACTGCAGCCTCCACCTCCTGGGTTCCAGCGATTCTCCTATTTCAGCCTCCTAGGTAGCTGGGACTACAGACATGATCCACCATGCCAGCATACATATATATACATATACATATATATATGTATATACGTGTGTGTGTATATATATATGTGTGTATATATATGTGTATATATGTGTATATATGTATATACATATGTATATAGACGTGTGTGTGTGTGTACATGTGTGTGTGTGTGTGTGTGTGTGTGTGTGTGTGTGTGTGTATATATATATATATATATATATATGTATCTTGAGACAGGGTCTCACTCTGTCGCCCAGGCTGGAGTACAGTGGTGCGATCTTGGCTCACTGCAACCTCCGCCTGCCTGGCTCTGTGACGTCACTTAACACACTTTCCTGTAACCATGTTCTTGGCTGCTTCTCTGGATAGGTGGTTCAGGCAAGAGCTGTGGCTTTTATTTATCTGGTTTACACTCTGACATAGGGGGTTGTATTAAATTGCTCTTCCATTCATACACGACACATGGAGCTGGGCAGGGCCCTGCTCTTGTTTTTATTCATTTGCTTAATTGTGTGTTGATTTCCTTTTATACTCACCTTCTTTCCATTCTCCTTTCTCCTTGAGCCACAATTTTGATATCTTTAATGTGTTTCTTTTCGTTTTATGTTTTTGCATAATATAGATTGAATTTATGTGTATTATTTTGTTTTGTTTTTGAGACAGGGTCTTACTCTGTCATCCAGGCTGGAGTGCAGTGGCATGATCATGGCTCACTGTAGCCTTGACCTCCTGGGCTCAAGTGATCCTCCCACCTCAGTCTCTTGAGTAGCTGAGACTATAGGTGTGCACCACCACTCCTGGCTAATTTTTGTATTTTTAGTAGAGATGGGGTTTTTCCCATGTTGCCCAAGCTGGTCTTGAACTCCTGTGCTCAACTGATCCGCCTGCCTTGGCTTCTTGAGGTGCTGGGTTTATAGTTGTGAGCTACTGCACCCAACCTGTACATGTATTTTTAAGTTGTGTACCCTTCAGATTATATGTTGTTTCTTTTTATTTTTGAACACAGTGTATTTTAAGGTGCTTCCATGTTGGCATTTGAGCATCTAATTTTCGCCTAACTGCTGCATAGCATTAAATGATGGGTAACCATCACATGGTCCTTCTCCACACCAGAAGCTTTCTGTATCTTTATCTCCAGCTCTTAGCACAATAGGTTGTTCATAAATGTTTGGCCAATGAGTAAATGAATGAACGTGTGAGTGAGTTTTGTCAGCGCTTGCCGGGGGGACATCCAGGTAGCAGGGGCAGTGAGAATGAAGACACAAGAGTACAGCGAGTATTTGGAGAAGCAAGCAGTCAGAGTGTGTTTCTCACATGCTTGTGCATGCAGGGAGTGGTGGGAGGCTGAAGAAGGAGGAGATGTACTTGGATTTGGGGATGGGTGGTGCTTTCGTGAAGGACAGATATTCGGGAGATATGGTAGAGATATGTCATGTGGATATACAGTTAGGGCTAGAGAGGGAAGAAGTTATAAATCTGTATGAAAGATGTAGTGTCAGAGCACACAAGGACATACGGCATTTCAAATGATGGTCATTCAGTAGGTTAGTCTATCCTTGCTTAGAGGTGTGCTTTTAATCTTTTGAATTTCCTCCATATCTTATTGTGGATTTATCAAAACGTTTGTTTTTTCTTATGCCTTCTTTTCCTACAGCTTTTGAACAAATTATATTCCTGGTGAGCAAGTAGCTAAGTGATATTTAAAACTAAGAAATTTACCCATTGATGAAGATTTCCATGATAATTGATCACATTTATCAGACTTGGCTTCCAGAGAAACTTCAAAGAATCAAACATACTGTATGTGAAGAAATAAACTAGAAAAGTTCTACTGAAGAATATGTTCTTTTTTTTTTTTTTTTTTTCAGATTAATGCATGGAAAATAAAGCTAAATTATGCCTTGCCCCCACCCCTCCATCAAACTGAAGCTTGGCTCCAGGAGGTAGAAGAGCTTATGGATGAAGATTTGTCAGCCTCCCAGGATCACTCTCAAGCCGTGACTCTGATACAAGAGAAAATGACTTTATTCAAGGTTGGAAAAGAAAAAAAAGAGATGTAGGAAAATACATATTTTGTTAGGGATTGTTCTTGAGGAAGACTTTGTCCTAAAAAGAAGAGAAGGATAATAGTGGATATTTGAGGATGGTTTAGAATGATTCCTCTGGGGATTTTTGGGACCTAGAATGTAACTTTACCTTCATGACCATTGTGTTAGTTTAAGATTGAAACAATTAGGATAGAATCTAAATAAGGATAGAGTTCTAAAGCAACTATAAATAAAGTCTTACCAAAAAAAAAAGGTCAAGGGGTGGGAGGGTGGAGAAGGGGGAGCCTGATTTAAAATTTGAGGGTCTGGGTTCTCACTAAAATGGCATGAAAAAAATTATGTGAGATTTATGGTATTTGAGCCTACAAAGGAATGGAAAATACACCAATAAATAAAAGATTGTAATAATGGTTTTACTAAAGAAACTACGGTCTGCCTCTCTGTAAAATGTTCAGATTTAAAACATTTATGATGAAAATTTTTTTTTTGAGACAGAGTCTTGCTCTGTCGTCCAGGCTGGAGTGCAGTGGCGCGATCTTGGCTCACTGCAAGCACCGCCTCCTGGGTTCACACCATTCTCCTGCCTCAGCCTCCCGAGTAGCTGGGACTACAGGTGCCCACTACCACACCCGGCTAATTTTTTGTATTTTTAGTAGAGATGGGGTTTCACCGTGTCAGCCAGGATGGTCTCAAGCTCCTGACCTTGTGATCTGCCCACCTCGGCCTCCCATAGTGCTGGGATTACAGGCGTGAGCCACCACGCCCAGCCAAAAATATTTATTCACAAAATCTTAGTTAAAGGGGGTAGTTTCATCCTAGGCAATATAGCAAGACCCCACCTCTACAGAAATTTTTTTAAAAAACAAAATTAGCTGGGTATTGTGCTCTGCATCTGTAGACCCAGCTACTCAGGAAGCTGAGGTGAGAGGATCCCTTGAATCCAGGAATTCCAGGCTGCAGTGAGCTATGATCATGCCACTGCACTCCAGCCTGGGTAACAGAGCGAGACCCTGTGTCTTAAAACAATAAAAAAAAGGTGGGTTGTGGGGAGGGTTTTATGATTTTTTTTTGAAAAAAGATGTAATGCAAGTGAGATTGACAAACCCTTAATTACAGTGTTTGGCAATAAGTATCGTTTATGTCATGCTGAATTTCTTTTCAGAGCCTGATGGATAGATTTGAGCATCATTCGAACATTCTCCTTACCTTTGAAAATAAGGATGAAAATCACTTGCCATTGGTACCACCTAACAAATTGGAGGAAATGAAAAGACGGTGTGTAACACTACCATTTCACAGCTGCTGTCACTATTCACGTTTGAGTAACAACTGATACTACAGGGACCACAAAATACAGATTTTTAGATAATTTTTACCAAGTATTCTCCTTTAAATCTTGATAACAGTATCTTCACGTTTTATGTAGTAGTAACATTATAGGTAGTATGCCAACATACCTCCTTTTTTATTGAATGGTAGAATATGGTGATGGAAAACATTCAGAAACTGAGCTCTGTATCTTGGTTTTGGGTAAGTTACTCTCTTTTTGAGCATGTTTCCACCTTTGTAAATTTAGGTTAATGATAATTGCCCTGTCCAGGTCTCACCAGGAAACTGGATCAAATGGGAGGAGGGATATGAAAGCACTTTACAAACTGTAAAATACTACAAATATTGAGATTATTTAATTCATTATCTTTTCTTATTACTCAAAAACAACTTATTAGAATAATAAGAGGGTGTTAGCATTAATAATGAAAACTTTTAATATATAAACTTAGATTATAGTTTTATTAAGTTATGTGGAAGTTTTCAGATTTAGTAAACTATTTCATAGATCAGCATTTTATTACAGGATTTGTCAGTCGGAGAATAGTTTATTCAGAAAATGTTCTGTTTTTGATGTTTTTACCTTAGAAATGGTTGTTGTATACCTAGTCACAGTATTCGTTTTACAATGTTTAAAAAAGAAAAAGACAATGATACATCTGAGTTCCATGTGCTTAAAAGAAAAAGTTAAAGCCTCAATATTTTTTAAAATGCTGAACAGATTTCTCACATTTGGTCAATAATATTAAGTTAAATTCCAAAACCTGCACTGTTTTCCAGAATCAACAACATTTTGGAGAAAAAATTTATTCTACTTCTAGAATTTCATTACTACAAGTGCTTAGTTCTTGGTTTGGTAGATGAAGTGAAATCAAAATTGGATATTTGGAACATTAAATATGGGAGCAGAGAATCTGTGGAATTATTGCTGGAAGACTGGCATGTAAGCTTTTCAATTTTGTGTCTTAGGCAACTCCTCCATCTCTGGGTGCTGTGTTTGCATTTTTCCTTGGCATGATTTCCCATTAACTCTTCGGGTTTTGAGATGGGTTTTCTTGGTAGATTTCATTAGCTTAAATATTGCATGGAGAAAAGAATTACAGGGAGTCAACCAGCAGCACAGGAAAGAGTAAAAATATAGAAAATATCACTACTTACTACCCAAGGGGAGATTAAGAGTTAACCAGGTCTATTAATGTAATATAAAAGGTTTCCATGCTTTTTTTCATTAAAAATTCCGCTTTCACTTACTTGAAATGTTAATTTTTGTTTCCTTTTCAGATTCATAGTTTCATGCAGTAATTACATTTTTCTTATAACATTTTGATCTTAGCTTACTAAATTTTACTAACTAGGATAAACAATACATTTTCTCTTTTGTCATGAGGCTTTCCTTTTGGGTTTAGCTCTTCTAATTTATAGGAAAAAATGTTTGAAGTGACTTGCATGTAAGTGTGTTCACATCTAAGTTAAAACTACAGCATCACAGAAATGTCAATTCTACATTTAGACTTTGTCCTTCTTTTTGTTTCCCTCCTTTTAGAGATGAGGTGGGGTGGGGCTGGGCGCGGTGGCGCACACCTGTAATCCCAACACATTGGGAGGCCAAGGCAGGTGGATTGCCTGAGGTCAGGAGTTCGAGACATGGCGAAACCCTGTCTCTACTAAAAATACAAAAATTAGCTGGGCGTGGTTGTAGGCACCTGTAATACCAGCTACTTGGGAGGCTGAGGCAGGAGCATCACTTGAACCCTGGGAGGTGGAGGTTGCAGTTAGCCAAGATTGTGGCACTGCACTGCACTCCAGCCTGGGCGACAGAGCAAGACTTTGTCTTAAAAAAGAAAAATAGAAATGAGGGGGGGAAGGAAAAATCCAAGATTGTAAATTTTATTGTAAAAATTTAAAAAAATGATAAAGAGAAATTTACTTCCAGTTTATGACTTAAACACTCTAAGTTTCCAAACAGGAAGCATCATTCTAAACTAGGCTAGATTTTGAGTATTTCTATTTCTTTTTCCTTGCTTGAATTTTCATTTTTCTATTTAAATATTCATACTATTGGCACACATAAGTATACAGTAAATAGGAATTTTGAATTAGCTTAGTATTTTTTCCATAACAGAATTTGGTTAATGGTAGTTTCTGAAATGTTTTTGTGTGATGGATATCTTTTTGTAACGTACGCTAATATATCTAAAAAGATTACTCAGTATTAATAAAGCATGTGAAATAAGAGCAGCTGACACAATTATGTAATATTAAGGAAATGTGCAAAGTAGGAGATCCTGAAATTAAATACCTAACTTGCCTTTTTTCCACAAGAGGAAAACTACTATAGCACCATGTCACCACATTAAGATCAATTTTATCAGATGTCAGACCTATTTAATGTTCACACTCAGCTTATGTCTCCTAGATTTTCACCATCCTTCTTCCTGTTTTCCTACCAAATATGTAGTATTAAAGCCCTAAAGAAATTTGGTAACTCTGTCCTTCGTTGAATGGCTGTATCTCACTATCTGGATTTCTTGGCACAATTTTAAAAGTAAAAACTGTCAATATGTTTTTTGTTTTCTTCCCAGAAATTTATTGAAGAAAAAGAATTCCTAGCTCGACTTGATACTTCTTTTCAAAAATGTGGAGAAATTTATAAGAATTTGGGTAAAGTGGTTCAGTTACTTTCTGATGGAATGACTGTCACTTAACAGTGATGTTTTATCTGTTGTGCTTTCTATATAATGTTTTAGAAATTAGTTTTATGTGCATGTTTTCCTGGGAAAATTCTTGCTTTCACTTTTAATATTGTCAGAGTACATATTATTTTGCCGCTGTCAATTAATATGCAAATATTTTTAAATAGTATTAATAAAAAATTGTTTTCTAAGATTACTTTTTTGTTTTGTTAATATTGTAGCTGGAGAATGTCAGAATATTAATAAACAGTATATGATGGTGAAATCTGATGTTTGTATGTATAGAAAAAATATATATAATGTGAAGTCCACTCTACAAAAAGTGCTGGCATGTTGGGCTACTTATGTGGAAAACCTTCGCTTACTAAGGGCTTGCTTTGAGGAGACAAAGAAGGAAGAAATTAAAGAGGTATTTGCAGTCTAATAGCATCTGCTCAATTTTATTTTTTAATTGTTTTATTTTGTGACCCTCATTTTCAATCCAAAGATGAGAAAACAGAGAAGAGTACACCAGTGTTTTGGAAAATTCTTCAAGGTCTTGGAAAGAATTTAGTTTCTTCCTGATATAATTGCCAAGAGGTAGTTTTCTCCACTGGTTTATATATACATGGTCAAACACGCACATACACGCCCCCCTCTTCCCACACATAGAGCTTTCTTAAGGTATAATTTACATACAGAGTAATAGCTTTTGGGAGATGTTTTGCTAAGCTCTTTGGAGAGGAAATAAGACTTAATGTACTGGCTAGCTTATAGACACAGTTAAAATAAACTACTGTTCAGAAAGTTTTATTTTTCCATTTGGTTGAAACCTTTCAGCTCTAAAATCTTCCTGAGTTTCTATAGGAGGAAAATCAAGATACCGTAACTTATGTGTAGAGGTGTGGAAGAACTGTCAATGTAATTCATTATTGTTTTCATGTGTTATTTATGTAATAATCTGTTCTATGATTATCTGAGGTGGTTTTTCTTTCTTTCATTTGTTTTTCTCTGTTGCAGATGGCTATAGATAGCCTTTCAGATTAAACATTTCCAAAATAGAAACTAAAATTAATAGAAAATAGATTATTTGTGTTAATGTAAAATTTGTGATAACGGTAAGAGTGCAAAAAAGAGCATTTTACGGGTTGAGTCATCACTTCTGTTACCTGTATTAGCACTAGAAATTCAAATCTTCGTCTTCCAACAGTCTTTCTGTCTTTAAAGATCTTCTATAAAAATGTACATAACTCAGAGAAAAACACGCTAAGGTTGTAATACCCAAAACTGCTAAGAAACCCTGAGCTACCAGAGAGAACTAAGAGAACTTACAGAACACTCTAAAATTTGAAGGAGACACAACAACATCCATCTGTTGGACACCATGCTGCTACTAAGTTGTTGAACCTGACTACTAAAAATGGGAACTGTTAGATAATATTTCTGGTCTAGGGACTCTCCGAAAAAATTAATGAGACAGTTAAGGCTCCATGAACTAAACAAGTTTGGAAACCACTGCTGTAAGTTCATCAGCCATGTAGAAAGAGATAAGATGCATCATAAAAGTTCAGGACCAGGAGTGATGACAGACAGCTGGCATTTGCCAGTTAGCACTTAAGAGGGAAGAGCTAGACCAACAGGGATGGCAGACTCCTCTAAGGGGAAAGTCAGTCTCTGCAAAGAATGTTGCTTAGAATTAGTCTTGGTGCGGAGGTTGCAATGACCTTGATTGCGCCACTGCACTCCAGCCTGGGCAACAGAGCAAGACTCCATCTCAAAAAAAAAAAAAAAAAAGAAAAGAAAAAAGCCTTGGTGAACATTGATTATACATAATAGAAAGACAATATCGTGTCATTAAGATAGTGTGTTGCTTGTGTATCATGTAGGTACCCTTTGAGACACTAGCCCAGTGGAATCTAGAACACGCTACTTTAAATGAAGCAGGAAATTTCTTAGTCGAAGTCAGCAATGATGTGGTTGGATCATCTATTTCTAAAGAACTGAGAAGGCTGAATAAAAGATGGAGAAAGTTGGTTTCAAAAACTCAACTTGTAAGTTCTTTTGATTGGTTGCAGCTTTATTTAGATATGATTCATGTACCACACAATTTACTCATTGTAAGTTCATAACCAATTGATTTCTGGTATATGCACAGTTACGTAGCCATTACCATAAAAAATTTAGAACATTTTTATTACTTCATAAGGAAACCCTAGCAGTCACTCCCTATTTTCTTCCAACCCCCACCCCCTAAGCCCTACACAACCATGAATCCACTGTCTTTCTATAGATTAGCCTATTCTGGACATTTCACATAATGAAATCATATAATATGTGATGTCTTGTGACTGGCTTTTGTTACTTGGCATAATATTTTTAAGGTTCATCTGTATTATAGAATGTAATCGTACTTCATTCCTTTTTATTGGCAAATAATAATTCATTGTATGGATATACCACATTTTGTTTATCCGTTCTCTAGTTTATACACATTTGAGTTCTTTTAACTTTTTGGGTTTTTATGAACAATGCAGCTGTGGACATTCATATGGACACATGTTTTCTTTGAGTGTATGCTCAAGAGAGCTTTCAGTTCTTGAATCTTTCTTGAGTATATGCCTGAGAGATCTTTTAATTCTTGAACCCTTTTTACTGTAGAGCTTTCTAGTTGAAATTCACTTACCATGAAGGAAAAACAAGCATTGTTTTGCCTACTAGATTTTCAGCTCATTGAGAACATACACTGAGCCTTATGTATCTTTATATGTAGCATAGTGCCTCATAAAAGCAGACTTTTTATAAAATATTTTTTCAACTGATTCTTAACAATTTGAGATGTAGGTGTTTTATGTGAAATGCTCATATTTTATAACACTGTTGTAGTTTAATCCTAAACATATATTTGAATATATTACATCCACTTACTGTTTGTAATGTATATTAGCATAAAATAAAAATATGAGTATTACATTTCATGAAATTATTTTGTATAGGAAATGAACCTGCCACTGATGATAAAAAAACAGGATCAGCCCACTTTTGACAATTCTGGAAATATTCTATCTAAAGAAGAGAAAGCAACTGTTGAGTTTTCAACAGATATGTCAGTAGAACTTCCTGAAAATTATAATCAAAATATAAAGGTAAAATAATCATACTTTGTATATTTCACTTGCAAATAGAAATAATTTAACTTTGCTATTAAAAAAAAGATATTGCCGGGCACGGTGGCTCATGCCTGTAATCCCAGCACTTTGGGAGGACAAAACAGGTGGATGGCTTGAACTCAGGAGTTCGAAATCAGCCTGGGTAACGTGGCAAAACCCTGTCTATACCAAAAATACGAAAGATTAGCTGGACGTGTGTTTGTGCGCCTGTGGTTCTAGCTACTTGGCAGGCTGAGGTGGGAGGATTGCTTGAGCCTGGGAGCTGGAAGTTGAAAGTGAGGCGAGATCGTGCCACTGCACTCCAGCCTGGGTGACAGAGTAAGACTCCCGTCTCAAAAAAAGAAAGAAAAGATATTGTTGAGTTGGTGGTAAATGTGTGGATTGCTAGATAACATTTAAAGTATGGTCATTTCCTAGGAAAATGCTTAAATGTTTTCCCTTATGAAGTCTTTAGCATGAAAGTCTTACTTATTACACTTACTGTGCTCTCACAGACACACAGAGCAGTCCTGATTCTGAGCAGTGTAAATTGAGTTGTTATTTTCTTGAGATTACTTCTGACTAGTGCACAGAAATTGGCTACCTTTAGGCTAGCCCCTGGCCTCTGTGTGTCTTGCTTCCTTTCTGTAAAATGGGGGAAAATATTCTATTTCTTCCTTGTTTTGTTGGGTAATTTGGAGGATGACTTTAGAGTCATCCTACCAAGTATGGGAAAAGAACAAAAAATAAATTAAAAATCATATACTTGTAAGATATAATACCTATGGCTTTGGAAATGCTCCACCTTCATGATAACTTACACAGCTTTACTTAAACTACTTTTAAACTGGCTCAGACCTACTGGCATGATGGAGTGCCAGCATTTTCCTACTGTAAGAATACCTACTTAGAAAATCTGGAAAGATCTGAATTTTTGCAGTGTGCTTAAAATACTAGAGTCTTCTGATACATTTAAAATGTAATCTGACCAGGCAAGGTGGCTTATGCCTTCAATTCTAGCACTTTGGGAGGCTGAGGCAAGAGGATTGCTTGAGCTCAAGTTCGAGACCAACCTGGGCAACGTAGTGAAACCCTATCTCTATTTAAAATAAATAAAATAAATAAAACAGTGATCTGATTAAAAACAACTTTCAGAATGTATCTTTCGGCTGGGAGCGGTGGCTCATGCCAGCACTTTGGAAGGCCAAGGCAGGCAGATCATTTGAGGTCAGGAGTTTGAGACCAGCCTGGCCAACGTGGTGAAACCCCGTATTTACTAAAAATACAAAAATTAGCTGGGAGTGGTGGCGGGTGCTTGTAATCCCAGCTTCTTGGGAGGCTGAGGCAGGAGACTTGCTTGAACCCGGGAGGCGGAGGTTGCCGTGAGCCAAGATTGCACCACCGCACTCCAGCCTGGGTGACAGACCGAGGCTCCATCTCAAAAAAAAAAAAAAAAAAAGAGTGTATCTGTGTACTCCATAAATATAAGCCATTATAATTTGTCAATATATAGTTTAAGAAATAATGTATCTATCATGTAAAGCTATAGTATGTCAACCTATAGATTATTAATGGGAAAAAGATTTAATTTTGTTGAAATTTGATTTGAGTTTCTTCTTGATATTTTACAACTACCATTACTAAGAGCTATATTTGTTTAAATCGCATATGAGTTTTAGAAATGTGTTTATAGTCACCCTAATTTACTAAACTTTAATCTTCTTACATGTAAAATGTATAAAATATTATCTGATAGGAATGATATTATAATTAAGTAAGAAACCGTGAACAAACTTTTTAAAAATTTGCAAAGTGATATATACTATTTTGAAGTGTTATCATTGGCCAGGCATAGTGTCTCATACCTGTAATCCCAGCTCTTTGGGAGGTTGAGATGGGACTTAAGCCCAGGAGTTCAAGATCAGCCTGGGCAACACAGTGAGACCCCATCTCTACAAAATATAAAAACTTAGCTAGACGTAGTGGCATACACCTGTAATTCCAGCCACTCAGGAGGCTGAGGTAGGAGGATCACTTGAGCCTGGGAGGTTGAGGCTGCAATGAGCTGTGATTGTGCCACTGTACTCCAGCCTGGGCAATAAAGCGAGACCTCATATAGAAGAAAAAAGTTATTATTGTCAAAGAACTACATCTTATGTCATTAAAATATGTTTAATTAGCACTCTTCAGGAAAGAAAGTGGTGTAACTTTTTTATCTTTTATTTTTGAAGACAGGGTCTTGCTTTGTTGCCCAGGCTGGAATGCAGTGGCATGATCATAGCTCACTGTAGCCCCAAACTCCTGGGTTTAGGCAATTCGCTTGCCTCAGCCTCCTGAGTAGCTAGAACTACAGGCATGCACCATTATGCCCAGCTAACTTTAAAATTTTTTGTAGAGATGAGGTCCCGCTTTGTTGCCCAGACTGGTCACAAACTCCTAGCCTCAAGCAATCCTCCTGCCCTGGCCTCCTAAAGAGCTGGGATTACAGGTGTAACTTTTTGAAAAGGAAAATTATTTTGTTATGTACATGCTGACATTTTCTCAGTGGTACTTTTGAATGTTGTAGGCTGGAGAGAAACATGAAAAAGAAAATGAAGAATTCACAGGGCAACTAAAAGTGGCTAAAGATGTTGAAAAACTCATTGGACAAGTGGAAATCTGGGAGGCAGAAGCCAAATCTGTTTTGGATCAAGATGATGTGGACACCTCAATGGAAGAATCTTTGAAGGTATGTGTGTAAAAGTATTAAGAGGGTACTTTCATGGTTGTGCATTTATGTTTTAAGTTAAATAAGAAGTTTTAAAGTAAGTAGTAATAAGCCTACAGTTTTAATTTTCTTTGTTGGGAGTTTTAAAAATGAATGGATTTTATCCCTGGATCATTTGCTGTTATTTTGCTTGAAAGCAGAGGATAGATTAGGAGACCACTGATAATACCTATGAATGTTAAGCTCTTGGACTTATTTTCTTAGCTATAACATGGGGGTTAAAATATTTTCTTGCACCAGAGGACAATGAGGAGACGAGTGAGTTCAGTCTCATTATAGCTCAGTGCAGAGTACACGTAAGAGATAATATAATCAGGCTGGGCGCGGTGGCTCACACCTGCAATCCCAGCACTTTGGGCGGTTGAAGTGGGTGGATCACAAGGTCAAGAGATAGAGACCATCCTGGCCAATATGGTGAAATCCCGTCTCTACTGAAAATACAAAAAATTAGCTGGACGTGGTGGCGCGCACGCCTGTAGTCCCAGCTCCTCGGGAGGCTGAGGCAGGAGAAATTGCTTGAACCCAGGAGGCGGAGGTTGCAGTGAGCCGAGATTGCACCACCGCACTCCAGCCTGGCGACAGGGTGAGACTCCTTCTGGGAAAAAAAAAAAAAGAAATCATACAATCTATGCTTTGAAAGTTCACCCTCTGATGAAGCCACTCTCCTTTCCTTACTCAATGCAGGGAGAGTGACTCATGTTGTTAGATCTCCATTCTGTCTTTATTCTCAGGCAGTCAACTCATTGAAAGGCAGTGAGGCAAGAGTGTGTCTTAATATCACTTAGTTCTCCTGGGAGTTATCATTGAGGTTTTTACTGAGTTCCAGCTCAGCTGTAAAACCTACAGAGCATAAGTTACAACAAGATGGGAAGTTCCTGGAATAAAAAGGAACATTTATATAATTTTTTAAGCCTACATTTCTGAAAGGTGTATATTTCAGCATTTTGTGTTTTCATTGTGTGATAGTTTTTATTGCTTTGAAAATATTATATAAATCTATCATGCCATCTCATCTGCCAGTGCTTTTCTGATTTTATTTTTAGTATTTATTTACTCTATCTGGAATTTATTTTCTTGAAAAAAATGAGGTAGAAATTAAATATTTAAAAATTTTTTAAATAATTTAAAAATTTTAGTGAACATACAAGCACACTGAAATATATTTCTATTAAGAAAGAATTAAGTAGATATTCATTGGATCAAAATATTGGATCAAGATGTATTCTAAAGTAAGAAATGAAAGTTCCTAAACTGTGTGGATAATGAGATAATGTAATCTCATTTGTGGTTTTTAAACAGAGTTGTATTTTTATATGTAATACATTTATATTCATAGAAAAATATCTGTAAAGATATACCTGTAACTGAGTCTATCTTAATCCTGTGTTATGCTCAGCTCCTAGTACATGGTAGACATAAAATAAATATTTTCTTTCCTTTTTTTTGAGACAGGGTTCTGCTCTGTCACCCAGGCTGGAGTACAGTGGCACAACCATGGCTCACTCGACCTCCCCAGGTTCAAGTGATCCTTCCACTTCAGCCTCCCAAGTAGCTGGGATTACAGGCATGCGCCATCACGCCCAGCTAATTCTTATATTTTTAGTAGAGATAGGGTTTTGCTGTATTGCCCAGGCAGGCCTTGAACTCCTGGGCTCAAGTGATTTGCCCGCCTCAGCCCCTCAAAGTGCTGGGATTGTAGGCGTGAGCCACCGTGCCCAGCTATAAATATTTTCTCTACATGCTGTACCTTTCTATTGTTTTTCAGTTTTTTTTAATTACATGAGCTTTTTTGTTGGTTTTATAATTTAAAAGAGGGAAAAACTGAAATGATAAATGAACATGCTAATTTCAAAAAAATTGAAATCACTGTGATTCCACTGCCCCAAGACAAATAAGATCAACATTTACATAGTTGATATCACATACTATAACTTCTATTTTATCATACCCATGTATATTAGTTTGTTTTCACCCTGCTGTTAAAGATATACCTGAGACTGGGCAATTGACAAAAGAAAGAGTTTTAATGGACTTACAGTTCCACGTGTGTGGGAAGGCCTCACAATCATGGTGGAGGGTGAAAGTCATGTCTATGTGGTGGCAGACAAGAGCAGAGGGCTTGTGCAGGGAAACTCCCCTTTATATAATCATCAGATCTCGTGAAACTTATTCACTATTTTGAGAACAGCACAGGAAAGATCTGCCCTCATGATTCAATTACCTCTCACCGGGTGTCTCTCACAACTCGTGGGAATTCAAGATGAGATTTGGGTGGGGACACAGCCAAACCATATCACCATGCCACTGTGAGTTGTAATTAAAAAATTATTTTTTGCTAACTTGAGAAGTGAAAAGTGGTATCTCACTTATTGTTTTAATGGGTACTTATTTGACTACATGTAATATTGAACTATCATATTTATTAGACATCTGTTTCTATGAATTATCTGTTCTTAGATTTTCAAAATTTTCTTTGGGATCTTGGCATTTTTAAAATTGAATTATACAAGCTCTTTGAATTGTGATCCATTTTCATTTCTGTGTCAAATATTTTTGCTGAGTTGTTGACTTTGTTTATTTTATTTTGCATTGCAGGTTTTTTATATTTATGCAGTCATGTCTATCCCTACTCTTAGGCTTCGAAAGACCCTCTGCAGCGAGATAGCAGATCAGATTTTATTTTATTTTATTATTTTTTTGAGACAGAGTCTCGTTCTGTTGCCCAGGCTGGAGTGCAGTGGTGCAGTCTTGGCTCACTACAATCTCTACCTCCCAGGTTCAAGAGATTCTTCTACCTCAGCCTGCCAAGTAGCTGGGACTATAGGCGCCCGCCACCACACCTGGCTAATTTTTGTATTTTTAGTAGAGGCTGGGTTTCACCATGTTGGCCAGGCTGACCTCAAACTCCTGACCTCAACTGATCTACCCACCTCAGCCTCCCAAAGTGCTGGTATTACAGGCATGAGCCACCGGCAGTTTTATTTTATTTCATTTATTTTATTGTATTTTTTGAGATGGAGTTTCACTCTTGTCACCCAGGCTGGAGTTCAGGAGCACAGTCTTGGCTCACTGCAACCTCTGCCTCCTGGGTTCAAGCAGTTCTCCTGCCTCAGTCTCCCGAGTAACTGGGACTACAGGCGTGTGCCACCATGACCAGCTAATTTTGTATTTTTAGTAGAGATGGGGTTTCACCATGTTGGCCAGGGTGGTCTCGAACTCCTGACCTCAGGTGATCAGCCCACTTCAGCCTCCCAAAGTGCTAGGATTACAGGCGTGAGCCACTGTGCCTGGCCGCAGCTTGGTTTTTATGGATAATGTCTTCTTTTTGTGGTTTCATATTTCTGACCCATTTGAAATTTATTTTTGTTATGATATATAAAGATTATTTTCCAACAGCTATTTTCCCCAGTAACATTTATTGAATTCTCCTCTCCACTACTTTGACATAGAACAAGATCATTTTAATATTTATTACCATTGTCTCAAGTTTCTTTCTATTGTCATTGTATTACTTTCATTCTTTATTTTATTGAAGTGCTTACTGTATAAAGAATGATCCATAAAACATGTTCAGAATCTGATTGTATCAATATGAAATTTCAAAATGACTCCTTAAAATATCATTTTTCAGAATGCAAATTTGCCTGATTTTGGATTAATAATGAACTTTTTTGGTTTCCTGAGATTGTTTTGATTAATGTTTAGCATATAATCAGAATGTTTATTGTGATCTCACTTCAATTTGTTTTAATAGCATCTTATTGCCAAAGGCTCTATGTTTGATGAGCTTATGGCAAGAAGTGAAGATATGTTACAAATGGATATACAAAATATTTCAAGCCAGGAGTCCTTTCAACATGTTCTCACAACTGGGCTTCAGGCAAAGATTCAAGAAGCTAAAGAGAAAGTCCAGGTCTCTCTTTAATATTCCCTATTTAGTAATTCTGTTCTCTAAAACTGAGGGGTCACTGAGTGGGCAGTGAAGGGGGGTGATAGCCCTGTAGCTTGGAAATGTTTTGTAAAATATTACTTTTGCATTATGTTTTATTTCTTTATAATTTAAAGCGTATCAGAAAATATAAGTATCATAAGTATCATAGTATATAAGTATCAATTTGGATAGATATCTAAATTTAGATAGATTTATAATTTAGATAGATTTATCATAATTTAGATAGATATCTAAATATCTTTGTCTAGTGGGAAAATAACAAAGTATTTGTTAACTTAAGAATTTATTAAGAATTGGTCCCCGTGTTAATTTGAGAATTTTTTTGTCTTCAAGATCAATGTGGTAAAACTCATTGCAGCGTTGAAGAACTTAACTGACGTTTCACCAGATTTGGACATCAGGCTGAAGATGGAAGAATCCCAGAAGGAACTTGAATCATATATGATGAGGGCTCAGCAGTTACTGGGGCAAAGAGAGAGCCCCGGTGAACTCATTTCAAAACACAAGGTGGGAATCTTTTCAACCATCAAATGTAGGACATTATTGTTAACTGCCTATCTTGTTTGAAATCAAGATGTTTCCTTCACTGTAATTATATACTGAGTTACTGTAACTTAAAAAGAATTTCCCAGTATTCTATATTGTTCCCCTGAGGTTATTAAACGTAAGTATTCAAGTATAGAATTTTTTTATTCAAATTTTATTGTGGATCTGCTGAATGTACTCAGTGATACGGTGTAAAGAGTGCAGCCGACTCTATGACATTGAACAAGAATTTAATTTCTCTGGCTTTTTAATTTGTAAAATTGGCATAATAATTCCAGCCCTATCCAGCTGTCGGATTTGTTGTGAGGCTTTAAGTGAAAATAAGGTACGTGAAGTTACTTTGCATACATTCTCTGAATGTAAAAAAAACCATTATTATTAAAATACTTTGATAAAAGTTATTCATGGAAGCATACTTTTCTATAGTTAAAGACCCAATAATGTTTTGTATGGAGACAGTTTCAGGTTGATTTTTATGGTTTGATAGGCTGAGGTTGCAGCTTAAGATGTCACCAAACCAGAGACTCACTATTAATTAACATGGTGGGAGGTGCTTGGGGGATTAGAAGCAAAGCTAAATGCCTCTACCTTGGAGCAAATTGGAGAGGTAGAGTAATACTTTTTTTCATTCATATTCAGCATTTAGCACACTTTATTGAACACTTATAATGAGCTGGGCATTTAGGGGAAATAAAGATGCAGGAAGGCATTGCCCCATTCCTGCGCCTACTCTTTATGAAAGGGCGCCCTATAGGAGTCTCTCTTCATTCTCATCACGGCCTCTGTCTGTCTTCTGGGCCTCAACCCTGTTTTGGCCTACTGGATTTGCTAACCACGCTGGGGCCCTGTTGTCAGTCATTTCAGCATTGCTTTTCCTATGACCTTAGTAGCCCTTGTCTGCTTGATCTCACGCCGTTTGAATTTTGCTAGCTGCCACCTTCAACCACTTCCCTCTGTTTTTTATTTTCACTTTTACTCCTAGGTTCCTGAAAGTACTAAATTGACCTTAAGAATGAATGCTTGTTTTAAACGATGGTGAGGCTGGATTCTAGGTGGGTAGAGATGGTCTGGTCAGGAAAAAGAGAAGGAAAAAAAAAATAGAGGGTCCTAGTCTCCCTCTTTGAATTTTTATTTTTCTTAGAGACAGGGTCTCACTCTGTCACCCAGGCTGGAGTTCAGTGGTGCTGTCTCAGCTCACTGCAGCCTCCAACTCCTGGGCTCAAGCTATCCTCCTGCCTCAGCCTCCAAGTAGCTGGTACTACAGGCAAACACCACTACGCCCAGCTAATTTAAAAAAATTTTTTTTATAGAGAAAGGGTCTCACTCTGTTGGTCAAGGCTGGTCTCAAACTCCTGGCCTCAAGTGATCCTCCCATGTCGGTCTCCCAAAGTGCTGGGATTATGGACGTGAGCCACTGTGCCCAGCTTCTTGGCTCCTTTACCAGAGAAGGGCTGGAGGTGTCAGTTTTCACACCATTTTCCTCTCCCTGACCTTCTTCCTTTTGGTTTTCCCCCATTTTGCCAATGGCATTTAGTCAAGTGGATACACTCTCACAACAGAAGCAAGATCCCTGCCCTGGTAGGCATGCACACATGGGCAGTGGGAGCTCCCAGCTATGAATAGCATACAGGGTAAAAGTGTGTCCCCAGGTCATAAATCTAGCAGTCCTCAAGGAGGCCTTGGAGGAGAGCCCTGGAGCTCAGCATTGTGCCTTACCTGCAGCCGGTCCATAAAAATGTGTAATGAGTGAATGAGCGAATTCCCACCCTGCTTAGCTTCTCCCGGAGTTATTCATCTTCTCTCTCCTGTAGGTTTTCTGCCTTTTTCACACACAGGCCCCGACCTGTTTTTTTGTTCTGTCATTCGCTAGTTACCTAGGCCAGGTTTCTGTTCCTGTAGAGTATGTCAGGTTAGGAGCAGACACATACCTGTCAGGGCTGTTCCCATTCTTGTGTACTGCTGGGGAGGAACTGCCAACATGAGTGGCCCTGGGCAAAACTTTGAAGTTGATGGTGAAACAAATTGGCCTCCTTTCAGCATAACTGCTTATGCACGATAGTTAACCTTTCTATAAATTTTGTCTTGGCCAGGCATGTGGCTCACACCTATAATCCCAGCATTTTGGGAGGTTGAGGTGGGAGGCTTGCTTGATCCCAGGAGTTTGAGGTTTCAGTGAATTGTGATTGTGCCACTGCACTTCAGCCTAGGTGACAGATCGCGATCCTATCTCAAAACAAAAAACAAAACGAAACAAAACTGTGATATACTCTTCATATTATATTGCTTCTGAAGTATGGTTGTCTGCTCAATACTTAAGAACTTTAGAGGAAACTTAGCCAGGGGCTCATTAACCCTGTACAGTGAACTTTATAATTACTTATCAATGGGGTAACAAAAATCATTTTGAATATCATAAAGGTATCTTAATCTGGGCCTTATGTGTAACTACATTTGAATAATAAATATTTTGGCACTCTTTTGAAAAGAATTTAAGAGATTTCAAAGGGCTAGCAACCTCGATTTACAAAGAGAAGTCTCCTATAAATCTTCAGATATTCTTCAGAGAGCACCTTCCCACTTTACCAGTTAAAGACATACCAAAATTAGCTTAGAGGATTTTGAGGATTTGGCAGTAGAATGAGGCTTTTATGATTTTGTTTGCAATTTTTTTTTTTTTTAGGAAGCACTAATAATTTCTAATACAAAAAGTCTGGCCAAGTATTTGAAAGCTGTTGAAGAACTAAAAAATAATGTAACTGAGGACATAAAGATGTCTTTAGAAGAAAAGAGTAGAGATGTCTGTGCCAAATGGGAGGTAAGAACATGCATATGTTTCTGAACTTACGTTTTTATATGTCTGATCCTGGGCTGTTGGTTGTCAGAGCCATTCCTGGGGTTTTCCTGTCTACGTTGTATCACCAGTGGGCTGGTCCCTGCAGGCTGAAGTCCCAGGGTTCATACAGAGTTTCATAGCGGAATAGGTCTAGGCTTTGGTGGCAGACAAACCTGGATTCAGCAGCTATGACCCTGGGCAAGGTACTTAACTTTTAGGAGCCTCCCTGATAAAAATGGGGTAACACCACCTACTGGGCAGAATTGATGCAAGGATTTATAGAAAGCATCTACCACTGAGATTATGTTCTGGTAATTAATGGCAATTAATATTAAATGATAATATTGAAATGTGTAATTAATGTGATAATTAAAATGTGTGTGTCTATATATCTATGTCTATGTAAGTGGATTGAATATGTACTGTTAAGGATCCTCCTAAAACTCATTTTAAAATAAACTTTATTACTTTAGAATAGTTTTAGATTTACGGAATTACTGTAAAGATGGTGCAGAGAGTTCCAGTGTACCCCACGCCCAGATTCCTCTGTTATCAGCATCTTACCTTAGTATAGTATCGTTGATACGATTACTGGGTCAATGTTAATACATTATTTTTTCTAGCAGTTTACCCTGACAGAGTGATACATTAGTATTAACTAAAGTTTGCACTTTATTTACCTTTTCACAGTTTTCCTCAGATGTTCTTTCTGTCTGTTCCAGAATCTTATCCAGGATATACATTACATTTACTTATGTCTCCTTGGGCTCAGTTATCTGTTTTGCATAGTTTCCCTCAGTCTGTAGCTTGTCTTTTCATTTTCTTAACAGTGCCTTTCACAGCTAAAATACATTTTTATTTGTTAGAAAAAAAAACCATGTTTATGAGCCTGGGATGTTTTAAAACATCTCCCCCCAAAATACATGGATGAATCAGAATGGCACTTAAGCTTTGTTTCTGTCCTTTTGTCACTACACATATATTTATTGTTACTATAAATACTTTTTTGTATATTTTGTTCTCATGGTTAATATATTCCTTTGATTTTTTTTGTAGTCTCTTCATCATGAACTGTCTTTATATGTTCAACAACTAAAAATAGATATTGAAAAAGGAAAGCTTAGTGACAATATTTTAAAACTTGAAAAGCAAATAAATAAAGAAAAGAAACTTATCCGTAGAGGAAGGACCAAGGGTCTCATCAAAGAACATGAGGTACAATAAAGTGTTTCCACTTAAATTTTGTCATCATTTTGGGGTTTATCTTAAATGGTTGTGTGTATCTTTAGCCTAGGATGAAAACTGTTCTGAAAATTACCCTAGCCCTCCTCTCCCCGGGGATGATCACTTCTTTGCTTCACACTCGCAGCAGAGCCTGTACTTCTTACTTTTTAGAAGTGAGAAAATTCGGCACTGAGTTAATATTTTATGATTTCCCTTGATGTGTCTCAGTGGCCCCTGTCCTCAGACTCTGGTCACAAATGTGTCAACTGTTACTAAAGTACCCACAGTTGGCTTTTGTCAGGACACAGTGTCCTCAGAAGCACAGCTTTTGAGAAAACGAGCAAATCAGGGTACAAAGCAGCTGGGGCAAATCTCATGATCTTTTTTTGGTCTCTATCCTATTTGATTGCTTTTATGTATTTGACATTCCTGACCCTTTTTTCATTTCTTTTTAAGTTTCTACTGTTGTGGCTCTCCCACTGTCAGTCTCTCTTGCTTTATATAATTCTATATCTATCCATCTATCTATCTATCTATCTATCTATCTATCTATCTAGATATATATAAACAGATATAGATGTAGATATGTAAATATATAGCGATATATAATTTGCAGTGAGTACTTTTTAGTGTCTTCACAAATATTCCTTTTTATTCTATTAATGTTTTGCTTTTGAAGAAGGGGTCTCCACCTCCACTTTTGGCTAATTCCGTGCTTCCCTTAGGCGATTTTATGCACTCTGGGGTTTGACCTGCCTTCTCTGCAATGATAGTGCGTCAATTTTTCTCTCCAGCTGAGTCCTTTCACCTGAATTCTATGTTCTATTTCTCACTGACTAGTAGATATCACCAGTGTTTTTCGGAGAACTCAAATTCAGCAAGCTCAAAACTGAACGAATAATATCTCCTCTCAAAGGTTCATTTTATATTCTGCCTACTGGTAATGAATGGCATTGCTGTCTCATGACGCCCTTCCTCTCCTTCCTCCCTTCCTTTCCACTCAGCCTTAATTAAATCTGTTGCCAAGCCCCATCTGGGATTCTTCAGAACAGCTTCTTCCTTCCCAGTGGTGTTGCCAGTTACCTAAGCCAGGGTTCTTTTCTCAGAATGATGATGGTTGCTTCATCTCATCTTCCGTACCAGCACCAGAGTTGTCCTTTTGAGCCACAAATCCTATGTCACCAGTTCCCCATACCCCCAGGACAATTCCAGGCATCTTAGAAGGCCACTTAGTTCCTTCACTGCCTGGTCCAGGAAACCCCTTTAGCATCCCTCCTGCTGTGCCGTGTACTCCAGCCCCACTGGAGTTCTGGTCCTTTGAGACACCTGGTGCTTTTCATTATCTTCGTGCTTTTCGTCCTCTTGGTGGTCCTTCTGCTAGAAATAACCTCTCTCCCCTTTTACTTGGAGAACTTGTCCTTATTTCTTCCACATATAGCTCAGATGCTTCCCTCTTGTGAGGCAAGCTTTCTCTGACTCCTTCAGGCGGGTAGGCTCTATCATAACACTTAGCACACTCTGTGCTGGTTCTTTGTCTGTCTAGGTTACTGAACCGGAAATTCCTTTAGAGCTGACTCTCTCATCTTTTTTTCTCTAGCGCCTATTGTCATAGCATGTAGATGGCCTATACAAGAACACATTGTTAAAACTACACACATCTGTTAGTTTCTAGTCCTTATGGAATAATCATGTAAACTCACCAGAAGCACATTTCCTGCTTTATTTCTTCAATTAGGCCTGCTTTTCTGAGGAAGGCTGCCTGTACCAGCTTAATCACCACATGGAAGTCCTGAGGGAGCTGTGTGAAGAGCTGCCTTCACAGAAGAGTCAACAAGAAGTGAAGAGACTACTCAAAGATTATGAACAAAAGATAGAAAGACTTCTGAAATGTGCTTCCGAGATTCATATGACACTGCAGCCCACAGCGGGAGGCACGTCGAAAAACGAGTTAGTACTTCATAAGAATAGCTACCCTTCAGGATAAAACGAAGCCTTTTGCACGATCAAATGACATTAAGCGTTAGTCATGCTTGTTTAGGTTTCATTTTTCTTACCCTCTTTTAAACATGCAATTTTGATTCCTTTCTAGGGGGACCATCACCACATCTGAGAATAGAGGAGGGGATCCCCACAGTGAGGCACCATTTGCAAAATCAGATAATCAGCCATCAACTGAAAAGGTGTTAAATGTGGATAATGTATTTTAGAAGTAAACCCAAAGTAAAAGACCAAGTGTACAATAATTCACTTCTCATTAATTAGGTGTTGGTTTTAATTATTCGATTGTTTTTATCAATGGAGAATTTCCACTTACACAATGCAAAAGACTGATTTTCAAAGGAGAATGCAACTAACCAAAGCTACAGTGAGCATAACCTAATCTTCTTCTGAGTATACAAATAGTTCTTTCAAGCAGAGACCCTTTTGAACCATTATGAATACTGATTATCTGTGTATATTGTTATTGAGGGTAGAAGAGGTTGAGCTTGATCTGTACAGATGTTTCCATTTCATTGAGATGAACAAGTTCATTTATCATTTGCCTTTTCTTCTGCTGCATTATAATGTATTTCATTTTCTGTGGGAATTGAATTTTCTAAATTCCTGAAGTCTAGATAATTTGGTATTTACTGTGTGTTACAGTCCAGACTGTCAATCAGATCATGTGGAGGAAGGAATGAGATGAGGTGGATTTGTTTTTAGAGGTCTGCTCCTGCATGGTAGGCTTCTGTCTACTTTTGACTATGGGTATGGAGTCTCAGGCAGAAATAGCATTTTGGGGCTGGGAGTCTTCCTTTACCATGCTGCCATACCAGTTAGAAGGTGAGACTCTCCTCTGTCCTACGGAAAGACTTTTCTCTGAGCTGAGACATCTCAAAGAAATTGTATTATCTCCTGGTTTGAGGTATAAAGAATCAATGATACATTTTTGAACATAAGCATTTATCTTTTCCAGATAAAAAGTATGTTTAAGATATTTCGTTTACTATTTTGCATATTCCCTTAGGCAATGGAACCCACTATGAAGTTTAGCCTGGCATCAGTGTTAAGGCCTCTGCAAGAAGAAAGCATTATGGAAAAGGATTACAGTGCATCTATAAATAGTTTACTAGAGAGGTAAACTCTTTTTAAAAACAACTGGAAAATCCACCAGAAGTCTTTCATCGATGCAAACATGTTAGACTTTTTAAAAGTTTTATTTTCATTTAGTCGTCATTTTGCATATGATCCAGTAACTTAGAAATTCTATGGTATTTTCTCACACGCAGTTGACAGTAATTTTAAAATATTTCTTTGTGTTATTTTATTTTTCTTATTTTTTTGTTTGTTTTTTGTTTATCTTTGTGTTATTTTATTTTTAATATTTTAGGACAGAGTGTCGTTCTGTCGCCCAGGCTGGAGTGCAGTGGCGCCATCTTGGCTTGCTGCAGCCTCCGCCTCCCAGGATCAAGTGATTCTCCTGCCTCAGCCTCCTGAGTAGCTGAGATTATAGACACCCGCCACCATGCCCAGCTAATTTTTTGTAGTTTTAGTAGAGATGAGGTTTCGCCATGTTGGCCAGGCTGGTCTCAAACTCCTGACCTCAGGCAATCCACCCGCCTTGGCCTCCCAAAGTGCTAGGATTACAGGTGTGAGCCACTGCGCTTGGCCTGTGTTATTTTAAAAATTAACTATTGTGATGTTGCATTTCATTTTGCCCAGGTATGATACATACAGAGATATTCTTGAACACCACCTGCAAAACAACAAATTCAGGATTACTTCTGATTTCTCTAGTGAAGAGGACAGGAGTAGTTCTTGTCTGCAGGCTAAACTGACAGATCTACAGGTAATTACCAAAAATATTATTTCTCTGATTATCTTGTTTATTAGAAAATAGTACCACTGTGAGTCTGGACATCCCCTTTTCTGTTGAGGTCACATATGCTAAATGTTTCCAAAGAACTCTCTTTGCTGGATTGCATTTCTAGTGTCACCCTAGTCCATAAAGTGATTTTCTTTCAGGTACCAACCCCAGGAAAGGCTTTGGTTTAGGGTCTTAATTTACTGCTTATACTCTAATCTGGTACTCCAGATATTGTGGCTTGAATAGTTTTTGTTTATTTCTTTCTTTTTATGCTTCAGGCTTCAAGGGAATTGATCAAAAACAATGTGTTTGAAGGGAATTTCATCCTGCTCCTGGGTTGCTCCAAAGTCAACCAGCCAGTGACTCTGAATGTTTGTTTCAGTCCTTCATCATCTTTACCAAATTATCACATTGTCTAAAATTGCTGTACAGTGATTGCTGACTGTCTGATGTTGGGCATTTAGGGCACTGGAGGGAGTTTTCACTCTAAATGATGGATTCTCCTCCTAAAAAGCCTTCAGTGGAAGTTATTGCAGTTGACTCAGAAACAACAGAAAGAAGCAATCTATTAGTGGTTGGCACACAAATCACAACTTCTACAAATAATATCTTTCCTATTAAAGATGATCTGTGCATTGCAGTGCATCATTCTTGATGCACGCCCTGAGTGCATTAGAGGGAACCCTCACAGATGGAGGGCCATAGGTAGTTCCTACAACATCCTTCCATGTTTTCTAGTTTCTTTTATCTTATTATACCAGGTCTCAGTCACTCCACCATCTGGCTGCTCTCCATTTTTCATCTGAATAAGCAAAATTTATATGTTAAAATCCCTGTTGCTCAAGTGATGGATTTAGCATGTTTTCATCACAATTAAGCAACTGTCTTGAGACGTTTCTCCAGTGACCGAATAATGAGTTGGTTAGAAAAACTATACTAATCTTTGGGTAAAGTGAAGAACAAATTATACTGCTGATTGCTGATCTGTCAGTAGTATTGTATAGCAGTGCCTTACCAAAAAAAGCATCAAGATAAGGAGCTGGAATAGTATAGAATTATAGATGTTAATTATAAACCATAAATTAATTTAAGTTACTTCTTATTTATGTAGAAACAGTTTTGGTTCACTTCAGTTTTCTTTTAGTTTAGAAGGTAAGAAAGATTTCCTATCCAGAGAAAACAGAATATCTGTTCTTACATGTATGTATTTTTCTGAATTGTATTCTATGTAATTACCTTAGGGGAAGGGAGTTTGGGTACCTTTGAAAGCTGCCTTGTCGACTCCCTTGACTTTACTGAATGGGTCCTCTGAGAGCACAGTTAATGTCCTTGTTCCCTAAAGGATAGTTCACTTGTAGGTGGTTGGAAAGTATTTTTAAACACATTTACATATGAAACATTGTGTTTGCTTCCACAGTTGGTGAATGTCTCATGTTTTAAGAACAGAATAATTGTGTCTATTAACCCCATTAGTTGATAAATTAATTTATGTGTTCCATCTAGGTCATAAAAAATGAAACTGATGCTCGCTGGAAAGAGTTTGAAATTATTTCATTGAAGTTAGAAAATCATGTGAATGACATAAAAAAGCCTTTTGTAATTAAGGAAAGAGACACACTAAAGGAAAGAGAAAGAGAGCTTCAGATGACTCTTAATACCAGGTAAAATTCTGAGATCTATTAACTATGAATCTAATAAACTCACTAAATCCTGTAATGCCATTTTAAGCAAGATTCTTGCTATACTAAGTATGTTATTTTATTTGGATGTCACAACAACAGTAAGAGAGGCTACCATTATGATTGCATTTTGCTGATAAGGAAACTGATACTCAGAGAGGTTAAATATTAATAATATAACCAGGCCACACTGCTAGCTAGAAACTTAGTAGAACTTAAGGTCTGCCAAAGTTCAGAGGCCACACAGTCTTTCCACTGTCTCTTTTGGGCATGAATTCGACCAAGTCACATAAACTCTATGGGCATTGATCTCTTCATTTCTGAAATGAGAGTGTTATTAGGACCTTGTATACATAGGTTGTGTATCCCCAGCATATATTCCTATATTGATAGGAAAAAACTGAGGCTCAGAGTCTATATATTACTTACCTATGGTCACACATTTCAATTTATTATCAGTAGTGCCTATTCTTTGGACCCCATTATATTTGTAATATGGAAATATAACAAATTATTCAATAATTAAAATAATTATGAGGTTTCTTAGTTGTCAAGGTGAAGTTAAGTTACAATTCTGTTTTTATTTCAAAAGAGAAAGGCTTAGTATGTTTTACAACAATTTTCCATTCAGTGTGGTATATATTACACTGCTAAGAATACTTTGGGGCCAGGCACTGTGGCTCCTGCCCATAATCCCAGCACTTTGGGAGGCCAAGGCAGGCGGATCACTTGAGGTCAGGAGTTCGAGACCAGCCTGGTCAACATGGTGAAACACTGTCTGTACTAAAAATACAAAAAGAAGAAAAAAAGAATACTTGGATATTGGGATGCTTTTTGGAGTGAAAGGAGAAATCATTAATGATACCAAAACAGCTGGAGTTGTCTGGCCCAGTGGGTCATGGTTAACCTAGCTCTGCTGCCTCTTACTAAATAAATGTATGTTGAATGAATGAATGAATAAATGGATAGATGGATGAACAAATAAAAGAATACTTGGATATAGCAACCAATTCATTCTTTGGCATTTTGAATCGATGGGTTTAGGTATTAATGTGATAATGTGTATGTATATATCATTGTATGTCTGTTTATTGGATAATTATTTTCTGTTCTTAGTTCAGTAATTGTGTTAATCAGTTTCATAGGATATCTTTCTGCTGTGTTTTCCCCTCATGTCTGATTTACCTTGCACCCAGAATGGAATCTTTAGAGACAGCACTGCGGCTTGTGTTACCTGTAGAGAAGGCATCACTTCTTCTCTGTGGCTCGGACCTGCCTCTCCATAAAATGGCCATCCAGGGATTTCATCTCATTGATGCTGATCGCATCTATCAACACCTAAGGGTAAGTATATAAGTTCTCACAGTGTATTTACAGAATAATCGAGTCTTTTGAGATTTATAAATCCTTATGGATTTTTAATTATTCATGATAGCATAGATTAAGAGTATAAGCCATGACAGTTTTTTTTTCAGTAATTTAGACTTGTTTTTTATTTCTTAACTCTTTAATTCCTTGCAAATTTGGAGGTGGGCACCGTGGAGTGCATAGTGAGGTATTTTCTTTGAATTCAAAATGAAGCCTTGTTTATGAATGCCTTCTTCAGTGACTGAATTCCTAAATATACGAGACTCATGCTTAAATGCCGTATTCTACCGTTTTCTTATTCTAAATCCCATCTTAACTAAAAATATTTGTTCATTTTTCAGATTATAAAATTGTTCTCTGAACAGTTTAACATCTAATTATGTACTTTGAAGCAATAGATTTATGTGCTTGTTTTCTTTTTGGGATTGAAACATGAGCTGGCACATTGATCATTTGTAATTAAAATGTTTCCTTAGGTAGAAACTGTCACCTTTTGTTAAACTCAAAAGCATTTTTCTAGATCAAATCTAGTCATGCAGTTTGGGGCTAGTTTCTCACATGTAGCCTTTCTTTTTTCCACCTCAGTGTTTTAGCTTTTCTTATCTTTATTTTAGAATATCCAAGATTCCATAGCAAAACAGATTGAAATATGTAACCGCTTAGAAGAGCCAGGCAACTTTGTATTAAAGGAGTTACACCCATTTGATCTACACGCAATGCAGAATATTATACTGAAATACAAAACACAATTTGAAGGAATGAACCACAGGGTGCAGAGGAGTGAAGATACTCTCAAAGCTCTGGAAGACTTTTTGGCGTCTCTCAGAACAGCTAAACTCTCTGCTGAGCCCGTTACAGACCTTTCAGCCTCAGATACACAGGTGGCACAAGAAAATACGTTGACAGTAAAAAATAAAGAGGGAGAAATTCATCTGATGAAAGACAAGGCCAAACATTTGGATAAATGTTTGAAGATGCTCGATATGAGCTTTAAAGATGCTGAACGGGGTGATGACACCTCCTGTGAAAACCTGCTTGATGCTTTTTCAATAAAGTTATCTGAGACACATGGCTATGGGGTACAGGAGGAATTCACTGAGGAAAACAAATTACTAGAGGCTTGTATTTTCAAAAATAATGAACTCCTTAAAAATATTCAAGATGTGCAGAGTCAAATCAGTAAAATTGGTCTTAAGGATCCTACTGTTCCAGCTGTGAAACATCGGTAAGTATTGTCCATCCATTTCCATCCAAGGTGACTGACATCTTTCTGTATTTTCACTTCTGTTAGGTGAAAGAAATTCTTCCTATGTCTTTCTGCTTCTATTCCATCCCACTCTATTCAGTGTTCAGCATTCTTTTCTGTAGACTTTTCAAGCAAACTTCCTTTTTGTTGGTATTGTACCTGTACAAAACGTTGCATAATTTTTTTCCTCTTTAAAGTGTATCTTATGGATGAAGGAGTGGTGAAGTCAGATGTACATAAAGTACTGTACATGAGTTACTTCCGATTCCCTTGTCCTTCTGTGTGTTTACTGTGGAGTTCTCCTCAGGACAGATGACTGGCAGACTCCACGCTGTGATATTAATGAAACCAGTGGTGGAAGATGCATATGCCACATCTTGTCCCTGCTTCTTCCTTAGTTATTTGGTCCCCTCCTCCTCCCAGCAGGATTAGGGTAGGAACTGAGTGGAAGGGCAGGAGACTGAATTTAAGAGGCAATCTAAAGTTAGTGTTGATTCTGGAGATGGAACAGAGTTGCAGTAGACTGAGGTTGGCAGCCTTCTGTATACCTGCTGCCATTTTAATTCCAGCATTTGGAATAGGGCCTTCAGATTCCAAAAGCTAAAATGTTAGCAACAGTCGCTTTTGTGGAATTCTTTCCCCCTCACCTCCCCTCCCTTCTCCTCCCCTGTCCTCTCCTCTTTTCCTTCCTTTCGACAGAGTCTTGCTCTGTCAACAGGCTGGAGTTCAGTGGTGCGATCTTGGCTCACTGCAACCTCCGCCTCCTGGGTTCAAGCGATTCCCCTGCCTCAGCTTCCCGAGTAGCTGGGACTACAGGCGCATGCCACCATGCCTGGCTAATTTTTTTTTTTTTTTTTGTATTTTAGTAGAGACGGGTTTTCACCATATTGGCCAGGATGGTCTTAATCTCTCGACCTCGTGATCCACCTGCCTTGGCCTCCTAAAGTGCTGGGATTACAGGTGTGAGCCACCGTTGTTTTTTTGTTTGTTTGTTTTTGAGACAGAGTCTTGCTCTGTTGCCCAGGCTTGGGTGCAGTGGCATGATCTCGGCTCGCTGCAACCTCTGCCTCCCAGGTTTAGGCGATTCTTCTACCTCAGCCCCCCAGTAGCTGGGATTACAGGCACGCGCCACCACGCCTGGCTAATTTTTGTATTTCTAGTAGAGACGGGGTTTCACCATGTTGACCAGGCTGGTCTTGAACTCCTCACCTCAGGTCATCCACCCGCTTTAACCTCCCAAAGTGTTGGGATTACAGGCGTGAGCCACCGCGCCTGGCCTCTTCCCCCCTTTCTAAATCTGTCTCACTTTCTGTCTCCTTCTCTGCCCACCTTGAGTTCCGCAGGCTCAGTGGTCTCTTGAGGGTCTTTAGATGACCAAGCCCTCAGTGTAGCCAAGTGTGCCTTTCCCTCTGAAATGCTCACACCCTCAGGCTCAATGATACTTTCATTCTTAGGGTATCCCACCACGGCATGCGATTGCACCACTGCCCTCCATCCTGGATGACACAGCAAGACCCTCTCTCAAAGAAGAGAAAGAAAGAAAAAGAAATTCTATGTAAGGAAGGAGGAGGGGATTGCTATTGAACAGGGTAATCAGGGAAGGCCTCACTGAGAAGGTGGCCTTGGCATCAGATGAGAGGCAAGAGCAAGCCACTTGAACCTGGAGAAATAGCCTTCTAGGCAGAGGCAGCAGTAGGTACAAGGGTCGGGTGTGTTTGAGGAAAGGCAAGGAGGTGAGAAGGTGCAGCAGTGAGGGGGAGATGTAGCTTAGCTCATGCAGGAACTTTTAGGCTGTTTGATGACTTTGGCTTGTTCTTCAAGTGACATGGGAAGTCATTGCAGGGTTCTAAGCAGAGGGAAATGTCTTGGTTTTCATCATAACCTTTTGTCTCTGACTAATGTGTTGAAAATAGACTGTAGGAGTTGAGAGAAGACATGGGAAGTCTGGTTTGACCTATTGTAGTAATCCCTGGTAGGGATGAAGCTGGCATGGACCAGTGGTAATGTGGTAGAAAGTGTTGAGATTCTGTATATAGTTTGAAGATAGAGACCAGATGATTTATTGACACATGGACATGGGGTGTAAAAGAGATATTGGGGTCAAGAATGCTTCCAAGCATTGGAACCTTCCTCTGGGTTCAAGTGCTCTTGGCTTTCATTGTCCATTGTGTCAGTGGTAACTTGAACAGTGAGTAAGAACCGAGTTACCATTAACTGAGATGAAAAAGACTAAAGTTTATCAGTGTTGGATGAAATGTATCAGTATTGAATGAAAGATTAGGTGTGCTCAGTTTTAGAAATGATATATTCAAGATACTTATTAGACATTCAAGCAGCAATATCAATAAGACACTTAAAAATACATGGCATTAGGAATCAGGAGAGAGGTCTGGGCTTGAGGTATATATTTGAGAGTTTTCATCATTTTACAAGGCTGTTTAAAGCTATGAGACTGGATGAAATTTCTGAGGAGAGTGAGTTTAGATAAACAAGAGAAGAGGTCCAAGTTGGATCCATACTCAGGGGCACTCCTTATTGAGAGATCAGGAAGATGAGGGGGAACTAGCCGAAGAAACTGAGAAGGGAGAGGCCAGTACAGTAGGATGAAAATCAAGAGACTTCTGGGGTTACCTGAAGAAGGCATCTCAACAAAGAGGAAGTGACCAAATGTGCTGACTAGTGAAGCGAAGTGAAGATTGAGAGTGGAACAGGGATTTTGCAATGTGGAGGCCAGCTGTTTCAGTAGGCAGTAGAGAATGAAAACCTTATGGGAGTGAATTGAAGAGAAAATTGGAGGCTAGGAAGTAGAGGCTGTGAGCAGTTTAGCAATTTAGATTTAGGTGAATGGTGTTAATCCTTCCAGTATTACTTTATCCTTAAATAACTCCTTTTTGATAGGGAGAGCTTTTTGTACATAACGGAGAAATGAAAGATTTCCTTTGTCTTTTCCTTCCTCCTTGGCCGCCCCATCCCTCCTTAGGATCCTGCAGTTCTTGGTCATTCACCTTCTCCTCTTCTCCTATATCATGCTGTCTTCCCCCTACATAAGCACACGTATGCGCTTTGTCTCTCTCTCTTTTCTCTCGTGTGTATACACCTTTTACAAGTGTGTTCATCATAGACATATGTTAATGCTAATGTTTTTGTATATTTATTATATTTATTTAAAGCACCAAATTAATATTCTGGAAATGCAGCCAGGCACGGTAGCTCACACCTGTAATCCCAGCACTTTGGGAAGCTGAGCCAGGGAGATTGCTTGAGTCCAGGAGTTTGAGACAAGTCTGGGCAACATAGTGAGACCCCATCTCTACAAAAAAAGAAAAATTAGCCAGGCGTGGTGGTTCGCACGTGTGGTACCAGCTGTTCGGGAGACTGAGGTGGGAGGATCACTTGAGCCTGGGAGGTTGAGGCTGCAGTGAGCTGAGATTGCGCCACTGCACTCAGCGTAGGTGACAGAGTGAGACCCTGTTTCCAGCAAAACAAAATAAGACAAAACAAAACAAAACAAAAATCAGAAAAATTCTGGAAATGCAAAGAGCCTCCTGAACTCTGTAACAGGAATGTGTAATTTTGGCATTAACCACATGAGGACAAATTAAAGTTAGTGTGCCTCCCCAAGTTACCCATATTTGTGTTGAATCAATGGTTAACAGTTGGCTATCAAACTTTTTTCTCATTCATAATCAAGGAAAAAATCATTAATCAGACTGGATAAGGTTCTAGATGAATATGAAGAAGAGAAGAGACATTTACAAGAAATGGCTAATTCTCTTCCACACTTCAAAGATGGCAGAGAAAAAACCGTGAATCAACAGTGCCAAAATACAGTAGTCTTGTGGGAGAATACCAAAGCCTTGGTCACCGAATGGTAAGGAAAAAAAAGAATCCCTCTTGAATCTGAAAAATTGTCTGTAGCACAATTAACTTTTTCAAACTTCTGGGTTGAAAACACATCTCCGTGGACCCAAAGGAGGGACAAACATAAGGATTTCCTGCTGGAGTTCACAGGGCCAGTGTCTGGGACAAGACCTAGAATTGTAGATTATAGCCAGAATGCAGCAAAGAGGTTCTCCACGAAGCATAACACATACACAGTACAGTCCGTTTATGCTCATTACCATCCCAACTGGGGTGGTTTCCTATTGCTGTAAATCACCAAGCAAATCACCACGAACTTAGTGGCTTAAAAAGAACACGGATTTATTACCTTATGCTTCTGGAGGTCAGAAGTGGTAAAATAGGCTGCGTGAGGTGGCTCACACCTGTAATCCCAGCACTTTGTGAGGCTGAAGTGAGAGGATTGCTTGAGCCTATGTGTTTGAGACCAGCCTGGCCAACATGGTGAAACCCCATCTCTACAAAATATAAAAAAATTGGCCGGACACAGTTCTCATGCCTGTAATCCCAGCACTTTGGGAGGCTGGGGTGGCCGGATCACCTGAGGTCAGGAGTTCGAGACCAGCCTGGCCAACATGGCAAAACCCCATCTCTAAAAAACATAAAAAAAGTAACCTGCATGCTGGCATGTGCCTATAGTCCCAGCTACTCAGGAGGCTGAGGTGGGAACATCACTTGAGCCTGGGAGGTTGAGGTTTCAGTGAACCGAGATAGCACCACCGTACTTCAGAGTGAGACCCTGTCTCGAAAAAAAAAGAAAATCAAGCTGTGTTCCTTCTGGAGGCTCTAGGCAAGATTCATTTCCTTGCCTTTTCCAATTCTAGAGGCCTCCTGCTACATTCCTTTGCCTGTGTCACCCTCCTCCATTTTTAAAGTAGCAGCACAGGATCTTCAGATCTCTCTCTGCCCTCTGTTCTGTCATCATGTCTCCTTTGACACCTCTCCCTGCCTCCCTCTCAAGAGGACCCTTATGATTACACCAGGCCCACACGGGCAATCCTGGATAATCTCTGTAGTTTAAGATCCTTAGCTTAATCACCTCTGCAAAGTCCCTTTTGCCTTGTGAGGTAACATGTAAGGTAACATTCACAAGATCCAGGGATTAGGCCCAGGACATCTTTGGGAATTGGGAGCATTACTTTACCACACGCCCCTACCTGAATGGGAGATGTTGCCTGTCAATAACGGCTGCGTTTCCTGCAGAGTTGGGGCTAGTTGCAAAAATTTTTGAAACTGTGAAGACCATTACCTATCAGTCCCAGTTGGCAATTCTTATTTTTTAAAAATATTTGATATTATTTATTAATTTGCCAGACTGCTTTGGAGGGATTCAGTTTTTTATATATGATTGCTTGTGTGTCCAGTTGTCCATTCCATGGAATATCCTCTGTCCATCCCTCTTACTATCTACATGAGGGTGGGGAGTGGTGGAATGGGTTATCCCTACAGGCTGAACTGCCCAGGCTGAGGGTTCCAGCAGGGTTAGGCAGTGGGGGGTATTAGAGGGGAAGAAGAGAGGCCAGGGTGGTCTCACCATCCCGCTTTGTTTCCGCATGTGGTTCTGACACCACCTGACGGCACCATCCTGTGTGGCTTGGGGCATCTCCCCAGCTTTCTCCTAGAGGCTGAGTGGCATGACCTATTTGCGGGGGTTAATCCCTGTGTGCCTCGGCCTCCCTGGCAGTTTCCCCTGATTCTGCTCTCAGAATTCTGATTCTCTCTTCAGAATTCCATTTGGGTACACCTCCTGTTTCCTACCGGAACCTGAGTGTACAGGAGTCAAGATGAACCCTGTATGTGGTATTTGATCTAGTCTACCCTCTGATTTTACTGAGGAAAGAATTGAGATTCAAAGAGGCTAAAGTAACTTATCCAGAGTCTCAGACTAAGCAGTGCCCACATGTAGTAGAAACCAGGTGTCCTAACTGCCACATTGTCTCACTACCTTAACGTTTTAAAAAAGACTAAATCCAGAATGAATAGAATAGATATATAAAAGGCCAGGCACAGTGGCTCACACCTATATATAATCCCAGCACTTTGGGAGGCCAAGGCAGGTGGATCACCTGAGGTCAGGAGTTCACGACCAGCCCGGCCAACATGATGAAACCCCTTCTCTACTAAAAATACAAAAATTAGCCAGGCATGGTGGCACTTGCCTGTAATCCTAGCTACTTGGGAGGCTGAAGCAGGAGAATTGCTTGAATCCAGGAGGCGGACGTTGCAGTGAGCCAGGATCACACCACTGCACTCTAGCTTGGGTGACAGAGCTAGACTCTGTCTCAAAAAAAAAAAAAAAAAAAAAAAAGAGAATAGATATATAAACACCCTGTGACTTGCTGAATTAATATTGAAATAATCTGCCAGAGTTATGTTAAAGGGGCTCTGTTTTCTGAGATGTCTTTTGGTTAATGATGAAATTGAGATGCTGATTCCTTAGGGTGATGAATCTTGTGTTTCTTTCTAGACCTTACATCTGGTAACTTTTTAATGTTCACCTAGTGACAGTACTAATCTAGAGATTATGCCATCTATTTGCCAGATATATTGATGTGCCATCATTCTTAGGTTAAATTGGTAAAAAGTATTAAGAACCACATCAAGAGGAAAAGTCCTTTACACCTTATTCATCATTTATGTGGGATACTTGCAAAGAGAAAGAACGGTTTTGCTATTTTTGGACATTTAGCTATTGTATATTTTTCTATTCTTAGTCTTGAACAATGTGGGAGAGTTTTGGAGCTCTTAAAACAATATCAGAATTTTAAAAGCATCTTGACAACTTTGATTCAAAAAGAAGAGAGTGTCATCTCCCTGCAGGCTTCGTACATGGGAAAGGAGAACCTGAAGAAAAGGATAGCAGAGGTGAGTCCAGGTTCCATTAGAAAAAACTGCCCAGTGACCTCACTGACAGGCCTGGTAGTAAAGAGATATTATAGATTAAGTCTTTTTTGAAACTTCGTTTAAAAGAAGTTACTAGTGACCCTATTTTACCAGGTATCTAAAAATTTGTTGTATTCATCACCAGGGCTGGAAAAAAGAAACAGTCACCAAGTTGATGGTGGGTCACTTCTGTTTGGGTTTTGATGCTGGGGCTGTGTTTCTGCTCACCCCTGCTGCCACCTCTGTGAGGTTGTAACAGCCTTTGCACTGACTTTCTGTTTACAAGGAACCTGACCCTTCATTGCAGGCTTGACAGAAGGAAGACGGTGGGAAAATCCTCTCTGTTGTTAGTAGAGTGAGGAAAAATTAGCTTTTATTTACTGATTTTCTGTGAAGATGTGCAAGCTTATTACCACTTTGCTCCATCTATGTTTATATTCTAAGAAGAGTAATATTTTTGGACACTAGGTGTCATTATTTTCTATGGTTTTATGTGGTTATCAACCAGAGTGGCAGAAGAATGGAATAGTTAGAAAAGAATATACTATACTGCACTATATGACTCTACACCAGAAAGTTTCTTTCTTCCCTCCCCTCCCCTCTCTGTGATTCTCCTGCCTCAGCCTTTCAAGTAGCTGGGAATACAGGTGCGCAACAACACGCCCAGCTAATTTTTGTATTTTTAGTAGAGACAGGGTTTCGCCGTGTTGGCCAGGCTGGTCTCAAACTCCTAACCTGAGGTGATCTGCCTGCCTCTGCTTCCCAAATTGCTGGGTTTATAGGCATGAGTCACCACGCCTGGCCTTTTTCTATTGATTTTACGAGTACTAAGCTAAAGTGCTGTCAGGGTGTTAAAAGTATGTGAAATGTAGTTTGCTTGATATACTTGGAGGTTGGAAAGCAATTTTATTAAACTTTCCAGTTGTCAAGAGCAGCATCAGTGAAAGCTTAAATAGGACAATTTAGTCCTTATCTAGAACTATTAACCCTGAAGCTCAAATGACACCCAGAGTGTCAGGAATGGCCCTTGTCTGGGACCCACTTTCTCAGACTTAGTTTCTTAGAGCTGGCCAGTCGGAAGCAGCCCTGTTTAGATACCAGCTGTACAGTATGTGACTGTGTAGCTGATTTCTTGTCAGACTTAATCAAAGTTGTCAAGACCATGAGCAGATAGTCACAGTTGCTTAGATGTAACCTGTCTGGTTCCCTCTGGTGGAGGCAGCTTTTGGATTTGGCTCATCTTGGGATCTAGAAGGGTCCTGTCCTCTTTCAGTAGATTTAAAGAGCTCTGGTTTCCTAGGTTCTTAGAGAATCCAGCATGTTCAGCCTTACCAGATCCTCTCGGGCTTGTGTCCCAGTTCGCATAGCCACCCTTCTGCCGTGTCCCCGATAGCAGTCTCCTACCTTGTACTCTTGTTTTAGGATCAAAGTCTCTGCCTTATTCAACAGACCTTGAGACCCTTCCTTGTATGCTGCCCAGATATCTAGTCCCTCTTGACTTGCAGCTTTTCTTGTTCATGCAAATCCTCCTCACTTCTGGCACCTTTCCTTAGCCCTGTTTTGATAAGTGTCAGTTATGATGCCCCATGCTGCGTGTGGCCTGTCTGCTGCTCTTCCCACTACCCCATAACTGTATAACCTTATAACTATAAACTATACTTTCTAGATAAGTTACTTATCTGACTAATAAACTTCTTCTTGTCACCTCCAGGGAGCTGACTCCATTCCTGGGTGAGTCTCCCTAATCGGAATCTAGGCCCAGGTCTTGGTCTTTCTGCCATCGTTAGCTCCTCTGTGGCTATCATAACTGGACCTCACCTCTGTCCTCAGCTGTATTTGGCAGCCCCAAGTCCAGAGCCTCCCCAGAAAGTCAATCTCTGTGGGTATGGAGGGATTCCATTCAATCGGGTGGAGGAGGGCCTGAGAGTCTAAATATGTTTCTCTTAAAAAATGTCATCCAGTCTTTCTGTTTGTGGCTGTGTTTCTGCCTTAATGATTACCTTGAAGTCATTTCTAGCCTTTTGAGTTTCTATGGCACAAATGGCCTTGCTTCTTATTGGCTTCTCTGCACCCTCCCCGCTACCTCGTCTCCTCCTAGACCAAGGTTTCAGCTTTAGTTTTGGTGAGTCAGTTACCACTCATTTTTCAGCTTTCCAGCTTCCCAACTTCTCACCTTCTACCTGAGAGTATTCTTATCCTCTATTCTCTGTGTGCTTGTTGGTTTGTACCATTTTAAATTCTTTTCTGTTATTAAAGTAGCATGTGGGGAGAAAACAGAGACAAACATATATATTTAATCCACCATGTTAAACTTGTTATTTAACTGTTTCAATCACTGCGTAAAACTGCCTGCCCTGAAGACATATTTGAAGTGTGTATATAGTAGAAATAAAAATTAATTAAAACTCTGCTTTGTCTGTACTCCTTACTCAACTGCAAAAGGTATTTTTAAAATTAATAAAATAATTATAACTACCTTTAAGAAGCAACAGTCCCAGCTTTCCTTATTTTATTAAAATGAGAATTGTACCTCTAGTATATGGGTACTTCATATGTTTCTTGAAATAATCTATTATTTTGTATGAAAGATATAGAAGTTTTAATACACTATTGTTTAATTCTTTGGTCAGGTTTTTAAAAAACTGTCTAAAAAAGCAGATTTTAGTACTAATTGTTAACATAACTTTCAGTTAATTTTGTGATGACATAGGTACTATCTTCACAAACAGTCCATTTCTGTAGCATGGATCTTTATCCTGCTTTGCAGCAGTGCCTGGAATATGATACCACTGAGAACTTTTGTCCTTCAAAACTGTAGTAACCTGGATGTTTATCTAGGATATGGTGACAAAGTTCTACTCTCTTTAATGAAAGACAGAAGTGCAAAAAGTTAGACTAGAAGGCTGGAATGTCAGGAGACTATTAAAGTTTGGAAATATCAAAGTGGGCCTAGTTCCCTTTATTTTACTCCTTCCATTCGCTGTAAAACAAAACCCATAGTTCTGCCAATGCTAAAAGTATACTCTCTTTTCTCATCATCCGGTGGAAGCTTGTGCTAGTTTAACAAGAAAGTTCTTTGCAGGCAAAAAAATTTAGTTTGTTCAAATAAATGAAGTATATCAATTAAATGAAAATTTTTAAATTTAATTGAACAAACATTTTTGCTTAAAAATTTTTTTCCTCATTAAATTTTTTTTTTTTTTTTGTATATTTAGGGAGTTACAAGTGCAAATTTCTTATATGCGTATATTGTGTAATGGTGGAGTCTGGGCTTTTAGTGGAACCTATCACCCAAATAGTGGACATTGTACCCAATAGGTAAATTTTCAGCCCTCACCCCACTCCCACTGTCTCACCTTTTATAGTCCCCAAGGCCTATTATTCCACTCCATGCGTCCGTGTGCCCCCATTGTTTAGCTCCCACTTATAAGTGAGACCATGCGGCATTTGACTTTCTGAGTTATTTCTCTTAGGATAATGGCTTCTAGTTCCACCTGTGTGGACAAACATTTATTGTGTTCCAGTGCAGAGTTCTGAACCAGGAGAACGAAGACCTGGGTTTTGATCTCAGCTCTGCCGATGTATCAGTCAGCATCTAGTTAGAAGACAAACCTCCCCAGTTATTGATTTTTCATTTTAAATATTTTATTTAATATTAATGTTTAAATTAGCCTTTATTTTGAGATAATGGTAAACTCACATATAAAAATAATACAAACAAATCCCAGGTATCCTGTATTGAGTTTCCCCAATGGTAAAACTATAGAATATTGCAATCAGGATGTTGACATCAATGCAGTCAAGATAAAGAACATTTTTGTCACCACAAGGATTCTTGTTATTGCCATTTTCTAGCCCCATCCACTTCCCTCCTCCTCCCACCCCTTCTAATCCCAGACAGCCACTAATATAGTCTCTATTTCTATAATTTTATTATTTTAAAAATGTTAAAAAATATTTTAAAAATTTTATAAATGAAATTATATAGTATGTAACTTTTTGGGATTGGCTATTTTCACATAGCATTATTCTGTGGAGATTCATTCAGGTTCTTCCATATATTGATAGTTTGTTCCTCTTTGTTGCTGAGCAGTATTCCATGGTATAAATGTGTCACAGTTTAACTATTCACCCACTGAAGGACATCTGGGTTCTTTCCAATTTTGGACTATTATGAATAAAGCTGCTGTAAACATTTGTAAAGGAGTCTTTGGTGAATATAAGTTTTTATTTCTCAGGGATGTGTCCAGGAGTGTGCTTGCTGGGTCATATGTTAATTGCATGGGTTTTTTTTGTTTGTTTGTTTGTTTTTGATGGAGTCTTGCTCTGTTGCCCAGGTTGGAGTGCCATGGCACGATCTCGGCTCACTGCAGCCTCCACCTCCTGGATTCAAGCAATTCTCCTATCTCAGACTCCTGAGTAGCTGGGACTACAGGTGCACGCCACTACACCCAACTAATTTGTTTGTATTTTTAGTAGAGACGGGATTTCACCATATTGGTCAGGCTGGTCTCGAACTCCTGACCTTGTGATCCACCTCGGCCTCCCAAAGTGCTGGGATTACAGGCGTGAGCCACCATGCCAGGCCTGCATGTTTATTTTTTAAGGAAACTGTCAAAATGTTTTTCAGAGCGGTTTTACCATTTTATATGCTTTTTCTGCATTAACTGACATGATTATATAATTTATTTCCATTAGCTTGTTAAAATGGTGGGTTACATTGATTGATTTTTGGATGTTAAACTAGCCTTGCATTCCTGGAATAAACCTTATTTGGTCATGGTGTATAATTCCTTATATATATATATATATATATATATATATATATATATATATATATACACACACACACACACACATATATAAATATATATATGTGTATATATGTATATAAATATATATGTATATATGTATATATATAAATATATATGTGTATATATGTATATATATATAACGTGTATATATATATATGTAGCTGAATTATATTTGCTAATATTTTATTAAGGATTTCTGTGTAAATATCCTTGAGAGATATTGTAGTTTCTTTTTTGGTACTGTAAAACTGGCTTTCATAAAATTAATTGGGAGTGTTTCTTTCTCTTCAGTTTTCCAGGAGAGATTGTACATAATTGCTGTTAAATCTCCTTTAGATGTTTGGTCAAATTCTCTAGTGAAACCATCTGGACCTGTAGATTTCTTTTTGGGGAGTTTCTACATTATTCATTCAATTTCTTTAGTATTAATAGGGCAATTCCCATTATGTATTTAATATTGGATGAGTTGCAGTAGTGTTTTTCAAAGTATCTGTCCATTTCCTCTAAGTTTTCAAATTTGTGTGTGTAAAGTTATTTGTAGCATTAACTTATTATCTGCTTGATGTCTGTAGTGTCTGTAGTGGTATCCCTATTTCATTCCTAGGACTGTATTGCTTTCTTCTGTCTTTGCTTTTGTCCGTCTTTCTAGAAGTTTATCAATTTTACTGATCTTTTAAAAGAACTAGCTCTTTATTTTATTGGTTTTTTTCCCCTAATGTTCTTGTATTTTCAACTTGATTGATTTCTGTTTTAATTTTTATTATTTCCTTCCTTTTGCTTGCTTTGGGTTTATTTTGTTCTTTTCTTAGATTCTTGAAGTGGTCATTTAGATTATCGATTTCAGACTTTTCCTCATTTTTAATGTATGCATTTAGTGCTATAAATTTCCCTCTCAGCAATACTTTGACTGTGCTATACAAGTTTTCATGTTTTATTTTCATTCTGTTTGATGTATTTAAAAATTTCTCTTGAGACTTCCTCTTTGACTGGTATTTAGAAGTATGTTGCTCAGTTTCCCAGTGATTGGAGATTTTCGTTTTGATAAAGTAGCATTTTTGCCTTTTATGTTAGAAATGATAAAGTTAGAATCCAAGATGTCTTAGAGTTCTGTTTATTTTATTCAGATAAGTGCTTAGGTTCTTTGATATTAAAAAGATGATTCTTATTAGGCAGATGTAGGGACTTTTTTTTTTAATGCCATTGAATGCAGATGCTTTTTTTGGCAGATAGAATCTTATTTCACATGGACAAGAAATATGGTTTTAGACCACTATAAAAATTTCATCATGCAGAGTGGGATGAAATTTGAGTATAGGGTTAACATTGAACCAATGGTTAGGATGCTAAAAACTTTTTATTGAGAAAGTGGGACGATAAAAACGTACTTTAAAAAAGAACAATGTAAGAAGGTATTATGCTTTGTTGGGTATTGTTTTTAAGCTCAATATCCAACAATAGAATTGTGATTCTTAGCTGTTTGTCTATATCAAAATATCAGAAATAACTTTCATATCTTTTTTACAGATTGAAATTGTCAAAGAAGAATTTAATGAGCATTTAGAAGTTGTAGACAAGATAAACCAGGTCTGCAAAAATCTACAATTTTATCTAAATAAAATGAAAACTTTTGAAGAGCCCCCTTTTGAAAAAGAGGCTAATATTATTGTGGATAGATGGCTTGATGTAAGTGATAATTTCATTGATTGCAAATTTAATTTTGTTTCCAATATTTTGGTGTATCTTTAGTATTTTTATTTAATTCAAGATTCAAAAATACTCATTGTAAAAATGTTCAAATTATATAAAACTTAGGAATTAATTTTAACCCCAGAGTTGGGACTACTAACAGATGGGTTCATCATCTTGTACATATAGAAATACATACTTGGCTTTTTAAAAATAAGTTCTTTAATATATTGCCTGTTCATGCAGTATACTGATGTTTAACTACATATTTAATATAATTTTGGTTGAGTAGTAATGATATTACTAGTTTTTATTAATTAGAAACTAAGAACTCATCTGCATTATATTTTCATCTGGGTTTTTAAAAGTACCATTTAACAAAAAAAAATGTGGTTTAGAAATGAAGAAGACTAGACCCAGCATGGTGGCTCACATCTATAATCCTAGCACTTTGGGAGGCTGAGACGGGTGAATCACCTGAGGTCAGGGGTTTGAGACCAGCCTGGCCAACATGGTGAATCCTGTCTCTACTAAAAATACAAATATTAGCCGGGCATGGTGGTGCATGCCTGTAATCTCAACTACACGGGAGGCTGAGGCAGGAGAATGGCGTGAACTCGGGAGGCGGAGCTTGCAGTGAGCCGAGTTCGCACCACTGCACTCCAGCCTGGGCGACAGAGCAAGACTCCATCTCAAAAAAAAAAAAAAAAAAAAAAAAAGAAATTAGGAAGACTATTGATTTCAATTGCATATAAGCTACAGCAAATCAGGTAAGTTTTATTTTTATTTTTTAAGAGAAAGAACTACATGATATGTTAAAGCAAATTTTTGTTGATGAATAAAGCAGATTATCCAGTAATAGTAAACTAAAATTTTATTTTAAAACAGTGTTTGGCTGAAACAGTGGTTTTCAGACTTTTCACTGCTACATATGTTGTTTCTCTTTTTAAATTATGGTAGATAAATGAGAAGACAGAAGATTACTATGAAAATCTTGGTCGAGCTCTAGCTTTGTGGGACAAACTTTTTAACTTAAAAAATGTCATTGATGAGTGGACAGAAAAGGCCCTTCAAAAAATGGAATTACATCAATTGACTGAAGAGGACAGAGAAAGGCTGAAGGTAATTTAACAGATAAAATACATGCTTTTCTTGGTACACAATTGACATTTTTTATTTTTTATGAATATAGTCAACAAACATTAGGATGCTCATATGTGACTTTGTTATCAAGAAAATCACAGACATTTTTGGATCATTATTCAGTTGTTGAATCTATTACCCTTACCAATACTTTGAAAGTATGGGATTTAGTAAGTCTATTGCTAGATCTTGTTATATAATGGGGAAACGTGCTAGTATTACGTATCACAAATTGTTTTTAATATTTTGATAACTATCATGTAATTGTTTTCCTTTGTAATTCTACCTTATTTAGTTTATGCTTTATTTTAAAATTGCTATTACGCAAGGGGTCTGTAGGCTTCACCAGATTGCCAGAGGGATTGGTAGTATGAAAAAGATGAAGAATTCCTAGCAAAAGCGCCAACAAAATGCATAATTGCTCCCGGGTAGCAATACAGACCCCAGGGGTTACCAGACTTTTTCTTTTCTCTTTTTTTTGAGGCAGAGTCTCGTTCTGTCACCCAGGCTGGAGTGCAGTGGCACGATCTCGGCTCACTGCAACCTCCGCCTCCTAGGTTCACATGATTCTCCTGCCTCAGCCTCCTGAGTACACTGGGATTACAGGCGCACACCACCACACCTGGCTAATTTTTTGTGTATTTTTAGTAGAGACGGGGTTTCACTATGTTGGCCAGACTGGTCTTGAGCTCCTGACCTCGTGATCCGCCCACCTCGGCCTCCCAAAATGCTGGGATTACAGGCGTGAGCCATCATGCCCAGCCAGCAGACTTTTTCTTAAAGGGCCATATAGTAAATATTTTAGCCTTGTGGATCATTTGTTTCTGCCACAACTGTTCAACCCTGCTGTTGGAGAATTGAAAACAGCGAGAGACAATATAAATGCTTGAAAGCAGCTGGTTTCCAATAAAAACTTTATTTATAAAAACAGGCTATCAGCTCTCCGGCTATAGTTAACCTCCGATCTAGACCATGATTTTAGACGGCCTTCTTCATATTTGAATTAAACAATGCCTTATAAAGATCAGAAAAAATACATGGCTGAGTATCACCATCTTTATAGAGCTTCAAGAAAAGCTACTTTTTAAAACAACAGTCTCAGGTTGTGGCATCTGGAAAGAATCAAAGTTATTTCTCTTTCAACTCTAGGAAGAATTCTTCCTAATTGCTTGTTTACATATTATTTGTTTGTATCATATAAATTTGTTGTCAGCTGAGTGTGGTGGCTGACACCTGTAATCCCAGCATTTTGGGAGGCTGAAGCAGGTGGATCACTTGAGGTCAGGAGTTTGAGACCAGCCTGGCCAACATGGTGAAGCCCTGTCTATACTAAAAATACAAAAATATTAGCTGGGTGTGGTGGTGTGTGCCTTTAATCCCAGCTATATGGGAGGCTGAGGCAGGAGAATAGCTTGAACTGGGGAGGCAGAGGTTACAGTGAGCAGAGATTGCACCACTGTACTCCATCCTGAACGACAAAGGGAGACTCCGTCTCAAAAAAAAAAAAAAATTTGTTCTCTTGCTAGGTCAGAAAACAGCCAACTGTTGCCAGTTATATGTGGTTCAACGTAACATAAAAATGTATGCTAATGCCTCAGATCTCGTTTTGTCTCTAACTATTTTATTTACTTTTTAATTCATGTATTTATTTTTACATATTTGGAAAAAGTTTTTGAACTGTTTGGAGATTTCAAGTTTCCTGGATAAATGATAATAGGTATTAAGTGAAACTATGATTTTCTAAGTATAAATGAATCATTTCTAAGAGTCCTTTAAATTTGTCTTGGATTACAGGTTGTTTAAAAATCTGAAGTTAAGAATTGTAAACTGACAGCTGTGGGCCAAAATCTGCTAAAATTGTGTGTCCGTGTGTGTGTGTGTATGTGTGTGCATGCGTGCAGATGCGCACACACGGGGTATGCAATTTATAAATATATTTATGAAATTGAATGCTTTAAGGCAGACCGTGCATTCTCTTGTGGCACAGGCCTAGCCTTTCTCTTGTCTTATACCTAGAAAGACGCTTGGTTGTAGCATTTGCCTGACCCCTGAAGGCACTTGGATTTGTAACTTCTAGGACTCTGACAAAACACACATGATTATGGGAAATTCAAGGGCTCTCTCAGTTTCTATATATAAACAGTAGTAATTATGGGTATCAGAAAATAAGGTATGAAATAAAAAGACACTATCCTTTAAAATTACATGTTTTAGGAAGAATTACAAGTCCATGAACAAAAAACTTCAGAATTTTCTAGAAGAGTGGCTGAAATACAGTTTTTGCTCCAAAGCAGTGAAATACCTCTTGAATTGCAGGTAAGAATTTTTATTTAAAAGTTTCAGTTATTGAGGCTTCAGTAAGCCATAATCATATCACTGCACTCCAGCCTGGGCGACAGAGCAAAACCCTGTCTCTAAAAGAAGAAAAAAACGGCCCAATTAAAGATTCTCTATAACAGGGGTGTCCTGTCTTTTGGCTTCCCTGGGCCATATTGGAAGAAGAATTGTCTTGGGCCACACATGAAATACACTAACAATAGCAAAAAAATTTCATAATGTTTTAAGAAAATTTAGGAATTTATGTTGGGTCGTGGATTGGACAAGCTTGCCCTATGGCCTCTAAAATAATGCTTAAAAATCATGCATTCTAAACATAAAGCCTAAAATAAAATTAGGATCATTTATTCAATTCCTATGTTAAGTCCCACCAAATTTCTAATAGTTGGTATAGTTAAATATATTTATTCCATATTTAGCGTCAATGATATTATATTTTTGTAGTCCTTTATTTTCCCCTCACCTATTTCACAGGCCTCACTCAGGTATGGAGGGCAAATGTTGCCTGTGCATCTGTGTAAAGTAATGATTATTTTCTATGTGTTTCTTGGGTATAGGAAGGAGAATTTCACTCAAGTCATCCTAGGTTTATTATTTGCTAGATGGAGAAAGAGAGAGATTGCCCCAAGTATGGTTTTCTGTTGTGTGAAGAGATTTGTTTTTGTTTTTCTTAGATCTAGGTACATAGTGGTTGAATATGAGTGCTGGAGTTAAGACCTTCTGGGTGAGGTTCCGGCTGTACTACCTACTAGCTTTATAATCTTGGACAAGTTACTTAACATTCTTAAGCCTGTATTTTGTACACAAAGTGCTTACCACAATGCTGTGTACATCATAAATACTCAATAAAAAGCAGGCTGTTTAATTTTTTTCCATATATTTTTCTTTATATTTTATGTCATGAGCACCATGAGACAGCACCTTAGTTGGTATGCTAGATTAAACTTGTGTTGAGGGGAAGGATCAAGTTTGTCTCTTAGAAAAAAATCAGAATATCCATTTCAGTTTTTTTTATGTTATGCTTTATCCTTTAAAGGCAAAATTCAAATTGTATCAGTGACATAGAAAAACGTAGAGCAATGAAAAGAATGCATTTCACATTGAAATGAAGTAATCTCAACCCATTCTCTAGCAATGCAGTTGTCTTAAATCTAGTTAAATAATGACTGTTATACAACTTCATATATTTCATGATTTCAGGTCATGGAGTCCTCTATTTTGAACAAGATGGAACATGTACAGAAGTGCTTAACAGGAGAATCCAACTGCCATGCACTCAGTGGCAGCACTGCTGAGCTAAGGGAGGATCTCGACCAAGCCAAGACCCAGATCGGGATGACTGAATCCCTCTTAAAAGCCCTGTCTCCTTCTGACAGCTTGGAGATCTTCACTAAACTAGAGGTGCTACCGAGCTGCTTGTCTTCTGTGGTTCAGATTTATTTTCACACTATTTGCAGTTGTCTTGAGCTCTTAGAGTTAATAAAAATAGAAAAAAAAAGTCGAAGAAGAAAACTCAGAAAAACCGCTTTTGTATATTTAGCATTTTCATCTTTGAATTGCTTTGTGCATGATAATTATTTGATATTAACTTGCATTGTATCATACATTTACTAGCAAAGAGAAAGTGAATCCACTCAACAGAGAGTCATTGAGATTTTTACAAAACAATTGAGATCTAATATGCTTTGTGTAATTTGAGCCTGTTTTAAGATTTAATGGTTGTTGTTTGTTTATGCATTTAGGAGATACAACAGCAGATTCTACAGCAAAAACACAGTATGATATTACTTGAGAATCAAATAGGTTGTCTGACTCCTGAACTCTCTGAATTGAAAAAGCAATATGAAAGTGTCAGTGATTTATTTAATACCAAAAAAAGTGTTTTGCAAGATCACTTTTCTAAGTTATTGAATGGTGAGTGCAACATTTCTCTTATTTTGTTTCTGGGACTCTTGAAGTATGAATGTAGTACTGTGAACACAAAAGCTAATCTAAGCCTGACTTAGAGATGGTTTGCACAGACTACATTCAAGGAAATAATAATCAGATAAATCTTTTGGGAGCAAAGACTGATTTATGCTTGACATAAATAACACCTAGTTCTTGCAAGCTCCAAACCTTTATTTCTTTCTTGAAGGTAAGTCACTAAGGTCCTAGTGTTTGACCTGCTCATTGTGGTTGGTGAGTCTGGGGAAATACTGGTGCACAAGCGGTCCAGGCAGTGTCTTTGAGTGTCCTGTATGCTTGGACGTTTGGTATAGAAAATACACTACAATTATTTGATGAATTGTAGTAAAAATACTGGAGGCATAGAACTGTATCTAAATAAATAGGGAGGCCGGGCGCGGTAGCTCACGCCTGTAATTCTAGCACTTTGGGAGGCCAAGGCGGGTGGATTGCTTGAGCTCAAGAGTTTGAGACCAGCCTGGGTCTCAAACCTTGGTGAAAGGTTCACCAAATTTATGGTGAAACCTTGTCTAGGCTTTATTAGCCCTCAAAATTGGGTTTCAGAGGTTATTACCACTTTCACAACGATGTATATCTATGGCATGGGAAACAAGTTTCAAAATCTCTCACTTTAACAAGATGTATGAAGTCTTCCTTGAATGAATAGAGCTTTTTTTTTCCCCCTGCAGATCAATGCAAGAACTTTAATGACTGGTTCAGCAACATTAAAGTGAACCTTAAGGAGTGTTTTGAATCATCAGAAACAAAAAAGAGTGTGGAACAAAAGCTACAAAAACTTTCTGTAAGAGATATATGTGTATTTTTAATAAAAATTTTCAATACTAAAATACTGGAGGCATAGAACTGTATCAAAATAAATAGGGAGGCTGGGCATGGTAACTCACACCTGTAATCCTAGCATTTTCGAAGGCTGAGGCTGGTGGATCACTTGAGCTCAAGAGTTCGAGACCAGCCTGGGTCTCGAACTTTGGTAAAAGGTTCACCAAGCTCATGGTGAAACCTTATCTCTACAAAAAATACAAAAATTAGCTGGGTGTGGCAGCAAGTACCTGTAGTCCCAGGTGAGAGGATCGCTTGAGCCTGGGAGGAGGAAGGTGTAGTGAGCTGAGATCATGCCACTGCACTCCAGCACTCCATCCTGGGCGACAGAGTGAGACCCTGTCTCAAATAAAAAAGAAATAGAGTAATAAGTACTTTGACTTACTGATATTTTCACATGAGAGATAATATTCCCAAATAACTTGGCCTTTTTCCAAATATTTAAGACTCTATTTATTGGGTGTGTGTACAAATGGCTTACAGAATCTCTACTTTTACATATATTCTAAGATGCTGTTTAATTTAGTGTCCACTGGGGAATTCAGTTGTGTTGAAATCATATTTGATAAAAAATAAAGACCTAATTTGGACTTTAAAATCCCCTTTCTTGAAAGAGGTATTTTAACTTGTTTATACATCTTTTTCCAGTTATATTTCTTTTAAAAATTGCCGCTGAACTTCAGTACATTTCTGGTTGGAACGTAGTGGAGGATATCCTGAAATGAAAGGCAGAGTTCACGGGGGCGTATGAAAGGCCTGTGGTACCCTAAAATCTTGATCACTTTAGGGTAGACTATCTATTACTTTAATGTTTTGATGATAAGTTATGTTTTTAAGCTTATCAATGGCACTAAATGTTCACTGTTTAATTCCTTGCTTTGATGGTACCATTCTTTACTGATAGAATCACCCCTCTTCTAACAATTTGAAGTCTCATCTTTTTTTGTTTGCTTGTTTGCCTTTAATTTTGCCCATTGCATGGGCCTTAACAATTGATGCCCAAACCTTGAAACGTAAACATTGAGATAAAATTCTTATTTGGGCAACGTTAAATAGAGAATAGTCTGTGGAGAAGTTGGACGTAGCCAGGATAGGAAAATGTAGCTGTCCTGGTCTTGCTCCTGCTGATCTTCCTGGTGGCTCTGTGTTACTTTGCTTGATGTAATTCCCAAGAAGTCAGAACTATTATAAATCATCTGCCATTGGAGATAGCCACATCTCCATCACCCTTCTTTCGTATAGGATCTTAAGAAGGTGGTATGTCTGTGTACTGGTTTGGAAAAGTGTCGTGAGGGTGGCAGAGACCACATTCAGACTTGCCAGGAGATTGTAATGGACTTTTTGTCTTTCTGAAGGATTTCTTGACTCTTGAAGGAAGAAACAGTAAAATAAAGCAGGTGGACAGCGTACTGAAGCATGTGAAGAAGCATCTGCCCAAAGCACATGTGAAGGAGCTTATCAGTTGGCTCGTGGGTCAGGAATTCGAATTAGAAAAAATGGAGTCCATATGCCAGGCTCGAGCAAAGGAGCTTGAAGACTCCTTGCAGCAGCTACTGAGGTAGGAAATAAAGATGATATCTAAATAACATGTTTTCTAACCATATCTTTATTTGTACTCTGCCTCAGCGCAGAGAGCACTGGGATACGCAGTACACACAAATTTCACACACAAAAGGCGTACTTTTCAATCCAGGTTTGGTGCTAGAAATATAAAAATTCGGGAAAAATCTTCACATTGTCTAATGTAGCAAAGGTTCATGGGATAGTCTGAAAAAAGTTTTCTGTTTCCTGTTCTCTATGAGACATTTGTGTGGTTTTCTTTAATACTATAGAACCCCGCTATCATACAGGCTGTTAATTAGATTTTTTATATTACAAATTAAATTCTCTCTAAATTATAACAAACATATTATAAAAACCTGGTTGAGTCACAAGGTTTGTGCCATCCTTTTCTTTGGTATAAACACTTTTTGCTTATTTTGTATTTAAACATGTGTAATGCTCTTTTAGACTCCAGGATGACCATAGAAACCTGAGGAAGTGGTTGACTAATCAAGAAGAGAAATGGAAAGGAATGGAAGAACCAGGGGAGAAAACTGAGCTGTTCTGCCAAGCTTTAGCTAGAAAGAGGTATAGCTGATCTTGTATGAAATACATTACCTGAGATTATGGTTTCTTCCATGGTGTGGTTACTCCTATAAACTTTAAGTGGTATTTGGAATTTACAGGGAACAGTTTGAATCTGTGGCCCAATTGAACAACTCTTTGAAGGAATATGGGTTTACTGAAGAAGAAGAAATAATAATGGAAGCAACATGTTTGATGGATAGATACCAGACATTACTGAGACAACTAAGTGAAATCGAGGAAGAGGATAAGTTACTACCCACAGAGGACCAGAGCTTTAATGATCTTGCACATGATGTAATTCATTGGATAAAAGAGATTAAAGAGTCCCTTATGGTTTTGAATTCATCCGAAGGCAAAATGCCACTTGAGGAAAGAATCCAAAAAATCAAGGTATAACTATGGAAACTAAATTTCAGAAGTCTGAGTGAACTCTAGTTTTGAAAAGATTTAGAGGAAAACTGTAAAGATGTGCTTCTTAATGGAAAATCAGATCACTGTGGAATGGTTGAAGAAATTCAGATCACTGAGCTTACAAAAAAGAAGGGTTGTGACGGATCTAAAATTACTTGGATGCACATGAAAGACAGAAAGCATGTCCTGTCTTAGAGAGAGCAGTGTGCCTATTGTCCGTCTTCAATGAGTGCAGAAGAATTGAAATAAAGACAATGAATCAGAGCTGCTAGTGGGAGGGAGTTTGCTAGGATGTCAAAAGAACATATGTCAGTATAGCAGAAGCATCAGCAATGTCGAGGCAGGGGAGTTCTTCAGAGTGGATGTGTATGGTTCATAAAAGTTTATTAGATAGTGGGAGGGGAAAGCAAGGAAGTCTCAAGCTCCCTTGGGCTCCCTTTTTATCTAAGGGGAGATTCAGTAAACATTTTTAAAAATTAAAATTTAATTATAATAAATTTAAAAATTCAATCACTAGATAAAAATACAGGGGACAGAAGCACTTGTGTTTAAAAGGAACTGTAGGAGAACTGAAATCACATTCATTGAAGCATTCTTAGAGGAAGAAATGGCCAAAAATCATGAGCTCTTAAGGTTGGTGAGACTTAGTAAATAATCAGAATCATTTGGGATTATATCCAGACGTTTTCCCAGAGAAAGTGAGAACGAGAATTAATTATGTCATGGTAGAGAAACAAGAGTTGACATGAGGGACACTGTATTTTCCTATGGGAAGTCATAAGTCTATGCTTAGGTTATAAAAATGTCTTGTCAGATTGTTATCATAACTCTCCATCCATAAATAATAGAGTGGATAGGAAGAGGTTTTGCCAGGGTTTTGGGGGCATAAAGGAAGTATTGAAAATCTAGAGAAGAGCAGGAATGCAGTCAGCTCAAACTGACAAATATTTATGGAGAACTATATATAATGTGAAGAGAGATATCTTTGTCTTTCGGGTACATATAAAAATGAAAAGATTATGTTGAAATATACCCTACAGATAGAATCTCTATATAAAGCTTACAAATAAAGAGATAGCATGTAGTATCTCTAAGTAATGCAAATGACATTATAAAATCTCTTTTATTTAATTCAGGAAATCATTTTGCTGAAGCCTGAAGGGGATGCCAGAATAGAGACCATCATGAAGCAGGCTGAGAGCAGCGAGGCCCCGCTGGTTCAGAAGACCCTCACTGACATCAGCAACCAGTGGGACAACACACTCCATTTAGCTAGCACCTACCTAAGGTAAAGGGCATGCCTGCACCACTTGCATCATATCCCATTGCCCAGTGAAGCCATAACAAGTATGTTTTGTCTGCCCCCTGGGTTTGGATATAATATCTGCTAGAGAGAAAGTTGGTAATGTCAGGGACATCCACAGTGTCAAGAGACAGAAACCAAAACCAGATAACCTCATTATCTGCATGGTATCACTGTAGAATAATTAATGCTCTTAAATATTTATTTTAAGAAATTCTTAAATATGTGAACATTGATAAATGTTGGCTGAATCCAATGGATGTAATTCTAGTGAAAATTCTTAATTCATATCATGTCTACAATGGTACATTTAATATTTAGAAATGTGAATTTTATGTTTGAAGAGCCAATCAGATCTTAATTTTAAGCTATAAAAGCATAAACTAGTTAGTTGGTTAATATACGGAATGTTTGTTTTACTTTATGAAGAAGTAAAGTATGGGAAAATATAATTAGTAGAAACTGTTGGGACTTGTTTGAAATCTAAATTATTAAATATTCTCTGGTCAAATTATGTAACAGAAAACAATTATTTTTTAGTAATACTCAAATAATTTCTGTCTTGGTTTCTGAGCTAAACAGTGTTATTTACAGTGTTCTAATATCAAAAGAGTCTCTGGGAACAATGTATATTAGTGTTATTTTAATGTTTATTAGGATGTGTGTTACATAATATGCAAAATGCTAGTCCATTTTGCTAAATATCATTTAATTTATAAAATATTTTGTGAAATTTAGCCATCAAGAAAAGCTTCTACTAGAAGGAGAGAAATATTTACAAAGTAAGGAGGATCTGAGATTAATGCTCATAGAACTAAAGAAGAAACAGGAAGCAGGCTTTGCTCTACAACATGGTCTGCAGGAGAAGAAAGCTCAGTTAAAGATTTATAAGAAATTCCTCAAGAAAGCCCAAGATTTGACATCCTTGCTAAAGGAGTTAAAATCTCAGGGAAACTACCTCTTGGAGTGCACTAAAAATCCCAGCTTCAGTGAAGAGCCTTGGCTGGAAATAAAGCATCTACACGAAAGTCTTCTTCAACAACTGCAGGTGAGGTGGTCAAAATAATGCTTTAAATGATTGTTCTAATTATACATAAGTATGCAAGACATATGTGGAACTATCTGTTGTTGTTGTTCATTTTGTTTTGTTTTATTTTATTTTATTTTATTTTATTTTTTTGAGACAGGGTCTCACTCTTTGCCCAGGCTGGAGTGCAGTGGCATGATCTCAGCTCACTGCAGTGTCAACCTTTGAGGGCTCAGGTGATCCTCCTGCTTCAGCCTCCCGGGTTGGGACTACAGGCATGTGCCACTACACCTGGCTCATTTTTGTATTTTTTTTAGAGATGGGGTTTTGCCATGTTGCCCAGGCTGGTCTTGAACTCCTGGGCTCAAGTGATCCTCCCGCCTTGGCCTCCCAAAGTGCTGGGACTACAGACGTGAGCCACACCTGGCCTGTTGTTGTTCTTTTGGTAAACTAAGAGCTTTCTAATTTGATTGATCCTGTTTATTTATTTATTTATTTTTAGAGACAGTGTCTTTCTCTGTCACCCAAGCTAGAGTGCAGTGTTGCAATCATAGTTCACTGCAGCCTCGAACTCCTAGGCTCAAGCGATCCTCCCACCTCAGCCTACCTAGTAGCTAGGACTACAGGCATGCGCCACTACACCCAGCTAATTTTTTTATTTTTGTAGAAATAAGGTCTCGCTTTGTTGCCCAAGCTGGTCTAGACCTCCTGGCCTTATATAATCCTCCTGCCTCAGCCTCTGGAATAGCTTGGATGACCTGCGCGAGCCACTGCACCCAGCTCCTAATTTATCATTTTTAGATGAAAATCCTAACTCTCAAGGATGGAGGAATAAATCCAGCTCATTTTGCTATTGTATTATTTGATGATGATATTATATTCTCTCATCAAAATTCCCCTCTTTAGGGGTAGAATGGGTTAAGATTTTTCAGGCATCTCTGTGAAGGTAACAGTGTCAATATTATCCATCCATCCATCATCTATTGTTAGTAGTTTATGTCAGTTATCTTATATCCACCTTCTTATCAGTGCCCCTCCCTCAGATCTTCCTGCCTGATCTTCAGTAAAATAATTACGAGGCAGGCTGGGCACGGTGGCTCAACGCCTGTAATCCCAGCACGTTGGGAGGCTGAGGTGGGTGGATCACAAGGTCAGAAGATTGAGATCATCCTGGCCAACATGGTGAAACCATGTCTCTACTAAAAATACAAAAATTAGCCGGGCATGGTGGCACGCGCCTGTAGTCCCACCTACTGGGGAGGCTGAGGCAGGAGAGTTGCTTGAACCCAGGAGGTAGAGGTTGCAGTGAGCCGAGATTGCACCGCCGCACTCCAGCCTGGCAACAGAGTGAGACTCCATCTCAAAAAAAATAATAATTAAGAGGTAAAATGTCAGCTTGTCATGAGGGAGTATATTCTTTTAATAGAAGTGTTTATAATTCTTTGTACACTGAAAGCCAGATTCCATGTAAACATTGCCTGGGTAAGAAATCCTGCTTGAACAGATAGCAGAAGTTGGGCAGGGGTTAAGATAGACCTGTTCTTCTGTAAATTGTTTAATTTAGTAGTTGCTGCTTTTTGATCAGCTGTGGTCATTGTATTTTCCTATCCCAGGGAGAGAAACTAAAGGTGGTTTTACTTTTGAGTTAAGATTACATTTTCCTAACACACAGGTTTGGAGTTTGATTCTTAAGACATGAATCTGAGGTTAGTTTGATCTCATATGGTCTCATTTCCAAGTGTGGAAATTGGTAGTTGGTTTTATTGCAAAGGATAATTAAGGAAGCTGCTTTATCATGAATGTTTGGGATTTAATGATACAATTTGTAGCTATTTCATTTTATAAACATCTTGACAAATAAATTATCTTCATGAAGGGGAAATGAAGGCAAAGAAGCATGGAAAAAACATTGTTTTCAATAAGAGTCATTTTTTTGCGGGGGAGATGGAGACTTTGCAGTGAAATATCTCCAACTCTAAAATCTTTAGAACTCTAATTTATAGCCGTATTCCTGTTTCAAGATGAAACTGGTAAACAAGTATTTATTAGTCATTTAATTATTTTGTGAGTGAAAACAATCAGAGAGAAATAATTTGTAAATTGTCTGTGGCTTTATTTTTAGGATTCTGTGCAAAACTTGGACGGTCACGTTCGAGAACATGATTCATACCAGGTTTGCGTCACAGACCTGAATACTACATTGGACAATTTCTCCAAGGAATTTGTCAGTTTTTCTGATAAGCCTGTGGATCAAATAGCGGTTGAGGAAAAATTGCAGAAACTGCAGGTACTAAACGGTGTCCAGACATGATAGACATTTAAAAAAAAAAATCAGTGTTAATTACAGTGTGATTAATCAGTGTCCTCTGTCAGAAATTCCAGTGGTATTCAGATGACTCTTAGGTAATTAAAGCTCTGACCAGTCATAATAAATGAGAATGTCCTTCTTTAGTGGACAAATCCATTTATAATTGGAATTGACCCTCACTTGGTGGGCCCTCAGGGACAGTTTTACCCACTAGACTGTAGCACCTTGAAAGGCCTGTATGTTACTTCTTTATGTAACTTCAAAATCTATCCTAGTACTTGGCTGTTAGTTGGATGAATGAATGATTGAGTGAATGCTTCTTGTGTAGCCCATTAGGATAACGACTGATAAACTGTACATCGTTCACCTAGATTTATTCTAGTTCAAAGTAGCTACTGCAGTACATCAAATTCCTTTTCAGTCTAGAGTTTTAAAATTAGTCATATTTGTTTACGCATTTACTATTGATTTTCTGCTATATTTAAGATAGTACACTAGGTGAATTTCTCATCAACACAAAGTTTTGCTCTGAATTTTAAATATTAGCATTAGATTCATTGGGTACATTCTAAATGATTCTTCTATTCTTTTTAATACTTCACACATAATAGGCACCTATTATTCAGTGTTTTGATTGTGTGACAAAGACGTATCTTGAACAAAACATATATATTCAACGAATATCTGTTGATTGCCTCCTGTGTTGTTCTAAATTACTTGTTGCAAACATTTTAGTATCTTAAAATACGTATTTGAGAATTTGATCCAAGATGCAGCATTGGTTTAAATTTTGCCAAAGTTTCTTCTATGTGATATGAGTTGTTAAGTTTTTAAATATTTCTACTGGTGAAGCAAGAGTACTCTGTGATTTACAAAAGTCAATTAACTTTTGTGGCAATTGAATGGAGATATAACAATCTTTTCTCCACTCGTAGGAACTAGAGAATAGACTCAGTTTACAAGATGGCACATTAAAGAAGATTTTAGCTTTAGCAAAATCCGTCAAGCAAAATACATCTTCAGTGGGGCAGAAGATTATTAAAGATGATATAAAATCACTTCAGTGTAAACAAAAAGATTTGGAAAACAGGCTTGCATCTGCTAAGCAGGAGATGGAATGTTGTCTCAACAGCATTCTCAAATCAAAACGCTCAACAGAAAAGAAAGGAAAGTTTACTCTGCCAGGCAGAGAGAAGCAGGCCACTTCTGATGTGCAGGAGTCTACTCAGGAATCAGCTGCAGTGGAAAAGTTGGAGGAAGACTGGGAAATAAACAAGGTAAGTGCTTGTGATTGCACTTTCAAGACAGTGAGTCTGAGAATGAAGAGGTATTTGGCTCTGAAAAGAGGGTCGTGAATCAAGCATTCTGATTTCATAATTAAATCCTCAATGTCCTGGCTATTTATGAAGCCTACTTGTAAAAAGAGCTCTTAGAAAATTGTCCAGGATTTCAGTGGTGAAATATTGCTGTTCAGTCTGTTAAAATGTCAGTCATCAATTTAGGTTTATTATTCTCTCTGATAGGTAATCAGATACCGTTTCTTGGGTCAAGAGCACAAAGGCAAATTAGAAAAGGCGAAAGAAAAGAAAATGTTCTTTACCTATTTTCTCAGGAAAAAAATCCAAGATCCCAATTTTTGGGGGGTTGATTTCATAATAAAATCAGAGACTGTCGGAAAGGATAGTTTCTTATCTTTTTCTTCTTGTGTTAACCCTCTGTTGTTAGATCATTTAGTGTGAGGATAGCAACATTTAGGCTCCTAGCTTTCCCTAGGGAGAAGAAAGAAGAATGTTTTCTTGTTTTCACTGTGAACAATCACATGAGTACATTTCTTGTGGCTCTTAAAGTGCGTTTTCATAGGTTACAGATTGAAATGGGAATCGCACAAAGAGAGATCCAGTAAACTGTATTTGAGAGGATCTCCCTGACACGCAGCTTCTCACAGTCAGGGTCCGGTGGGACAGTAGTGGAGGTTGGAACATTCAGGTATGAGTTCCCATCAGGTTTTTAGGGAGTAAGTAATCAACAGGAATAAAGAGAACATGCACTTTTATTGTCTCCGTAGAATAGAAATGCATGGAAGATTAAAGGAACCAGGCAGGATTTTCTAAAAATATGTAAAACAATGTGAAATGCCTATGGAGCATCTCTCTGTGAGGAAAGGTTTTTAAACAAATCCCACAGTGTTAGATATTGCTAAGGAAATGTGTCAGGCCGGGCATGGTGGCTCACATCTGTAATCCTAGCACTTTGAGAGGCCTTGGAGGATCCCTTGAGACCAGGCTGGGCAACATAGCAAGAACCCTGTCTCTACCAAAAAATAATAATATTAATAACCGGGCATGACAGTGCACATCTGTTATCCCAGCTCCTTGGGAGGCTGAGATGGGGGAATCATTTGAGCCTAGGAATTTGAGGTTACAGTGAGCTGTGATTGCACCACTGTACTCCACCCTCGGCGACAGAGTGAGACCCTATCTCTAATTTTGTTGTTGTTGTTGTTGTTGTTGAGACGGAGTTTCACTCTTGTTGCCCTGGCTGGAGTGCAATGGTGCAATCTTGGCTCACCGCAACCTCTGCCTCCCAGGTTCAAGCGATTCTCCTGCCTCAGCCTCCTGAGTAGCTGGGATTACAGGCATGTGCCACCACGCCTGGCTAATTTTGTATTTTTAGTAGAAGATGGGGTTTCTCTAATTTTTTAAAAAAGGTGATATGTCTTAGAGGATTAAGAGATCAGTGAGTGAGGCTCTTGATGTTGTATGTGTAAAAGAAACTTTTAAAACAGTATTTAAATAGCAATAGATAATCAAGACTTAGTGGCTCACACCACTAATCTCGGCACTTTGTGGGGCTGAAGTGGGAATATCCCTTGAGCCCAGGAGTTTGAGATCAGTCTGGGCAACATAGGGAGATTTCATCTCTACAAAAAAATTAAAAATTAGCTGGGCATGGTGGCTTGTGCCTGTGTTCCCAACTATTTGGGAGGCTGAGGTGGGAGGATCACATGAGCCCCGAAGGTTGAGGTTGCAGTGAGCCATGATTGTGTCACTGTGCTTCAGCCTGGGCAATAGCACAACACCTTGGTCTCTAAATAAATAAGTGATAAAGTTAAAAAGGAAAAATAACTCAGTGCTTTCTATGAGATAGGCTGTACAAAAGGGCACAGTCCTAACACATGAGCTTGCTAAAGGGAGTTACTTGCCTAACAACTTTTAAACTAACTTCCCAGATCCATTTTGACTGTGAACCCCCAAAACTCAATAGAGTATGTTGAGAACTATATAAAGATCATAATCTAAAAATAAGAATTGTTTTTGGCCAGGTGCAGTGGCTCACAGCTGTAATCTCAGCACGTGAGGAGGCCGAGGTGGATAGATTGCTTGAGCCCAGGAGTTCAAGACCAGCCTGGGCAACATGGTGAAACCCAGTCTCTACAAAAAAAAAAAAATACAAAAATTAGCCAGAGGTGGTGGCACATGCCTATAGTCCCAGCTACTTGGGAGATTGAGGTGGGAGAATTGCTTGAGCCCAGGAGGTCGAGACTGTAGTGAGCCGAGATTGTGCCACTGCACTCAAGCCTGGGTGACAGAGCAAGACCCTGTCTCAAGAAAAAAGAAAAAAAAAGGTTTAAAAAATTTATTATGCTTTTAATTAATCTTGAATGATAAGAGTTATTGATAGTTTATGATACAAATTTAAGGGTTATTGATAGTTTATGATACTTCATTTAAATGTTTTTTTCAGGGCAAATGGAGGAATTGATGTCCTCAAATAATTTTCATAAGTTTGGATACAGATAACTAGTTTTTATTCTCTAGCAACATTTTGTTGCTTTATTCTTTTGTAACATGGCTATTTTTCTGTATCTGTATGGCTTATTTTCTCTGAGTACTGGCTGTATTTTCTTGTATGTAATATTAGAGTATGTAATATTATATAACATTAGTCTATTAAGGTCAAGAGCAGTTTTAAAGTTGAACAGCAACTAGCAAAAGAGATCAGATTTATGCTTAGACTAATAAAGTACATGTATAATGTGACAAATGACATAACTGTGTTAATGACTGAAGCTGGATTCTCAATATAATGAATACGTAGGACACATAAAGGCACAGTTTACTGAATTATAAATTTGATTAATATAAAATCATTGTGATAGTGAAAATAAGCACTTTAGTCATTAAAAACACTACTTGAGACTTATTTTGTGCTAGTCATTCTGCTAGAATGTGAGGATATAGTTGTCACAGCTTAAAATCTAACACTAATTAAATTGCTAATTAATACTCACTTCACATGCCTTTTTGGAATCCAGAGAGGCTTTTATCAGATTATTTTAAATAGACCCCAGAAGAATTTTTAGAAAGTTTTTATTTCTTTTACTTTTTCTTTAGTAAATGTCATTAATCTTAGAATTTTGTTGAAAATGTGATGGCAGTTTCCAAAAATTGCCATCATAGCATGTATATATTTGAATCCATTGTCAAGAATTTCATTTCAGATGAAATGCAGGTGATTTTGTAGATCTGGACCTTTGGTTGACCTTTTCTTTAATATTGGAAATGTTCAGGCAGACCTAGAAACAAAAGAAGTTGCAAAATTCAGTATGACAGGTATTTGTGCTTATGATTCAATACCATACTGCATATTTTTATAGATGCGTATTTCTGAATTTTTACATATGGGTAGGCAGAAGTACCTTCCATCTCCTCCTTTCTATATAGGTTAAGTGAAGCAGCAGATTAGGATATGGTAAAAAGTGAAGACTGTCTAATCTCTTAGGATTTTATGTGCCCATAAAGAGAAACGATAAAGAGGAAAAACAGGGAAACTCATACATTTTCTAATTTATTATTTTTTTTCTAAAAAATCATAATACAACATTACAGCTTATCTAGTATGGAATGATCTTTCTTGCCCCATCCTTCCGAAATAGCAGCCTACATGACATAATTGCTTTTTAAAAACTGAAAACCTTTGGTCTGTAATTACTTCTTTGATTTCCTTATCATTGACGTAATTGTTAGCATTTCTGAATTGATTTTGTTCTTTTCAGAAGTTTCTGAGCATTTCTAATTTGATGTTTAAGAAGGCATTTGTAGATAAATCTTGGAAGGTACAGGCAAAATGTGCAAAGCTCTAGCTGTGGGTGAGTGACCCGGAACAAAGCCTGGAGTCAGAATTTGAATGAGAAGGAAACTACTTACTGGAGAGTTTTCAATCCTGGGGTAAATTATGTCTATTTCTGGTGTTGTTTATCCTGTTAACTCAGTAGAAAAAAAAAAGTTATAACAGAGCACATAGTTGGGCCATGTGTCAACTACAGTGTCCTACTTGCCCTTTCTGGCCAGTATGCAAATCTTGCATCTTACTGTAGAGGTATTTTCACAATCCAAAATTTATGCCTTAATGGGATAACCAACTTACATGGTACATTTTTTTTTTTTTTTTTTTTGCCATCTATAAACAACGTGCATTTGAGAACATGCTCCAAAGTTGTAAAATCTCAGGCTGAAAAAGACCTTAGAAATTGTCTAACGTAACCCTTTTATTTCAGGTGAGGGAATTGAAGTCCAGCAGAGCTGGGACTAGAACTTAGGCATCCTTTATTTATTTTTTATGAATTTTAGAGACAGGGTCTGGCTCTGTCACTCAGGCTGGAGTGTAGTCATAGTGCAGTCATAGCTCACTGCAGCCTTGAGTTCCTAACCCTAAGCCATCCTCCTGCCTTAGCCTCCTGAGTAGTAGGACTCCAGGCATGTATCACAATGCCCAGCTAATTTTTGTATTTTTTTTTTTTTTTTGTAGAGACCCAGTCTCACTAAGTTGCCCAGGGTAGTCTTGAAGTTATCTTATCTGTACTCAGTCTGATGCTCAGAACTTTTTCATTTTACAAAATGTGGTATATGGGTGGAAAATTCAGATCCAAAAAAGTTTGAGGAATGTAGGATTAAACACATTCAAATAGGTTTTCTTTACTGTGTGACCTTTTAAATCCTTTAAGAGGCTAACGTGCTGACTGACCTCAATGGACTCTTTATTGAGTTCTCATGGATACCTTGTCATATAATCCTGGCATTTGTTTCAAAGTTTCTTTTTCCTCTTTTTCTTTTTTACTTAAAAAAAAAAAAAATCACCTCCCCTATTCTAAGAATGTTTTGAACTTTCTCCACTCTTTCAGTCAAACCAAACCTGTTCTATCGTTCTTTTTGTTTGTTTGTTTGGAGAAAGGGTCTCACTCTGTCACCCAGGCTGGAGTGCAGTGGCGCGATCTTGGCTCACTGCAACCTCTGCCTCTGGACTCAAGCGATCCTCCCACCTCTGCCTCCTGAGTCGCTGGGATCACAGGTGTGCACCACCACACCGGCTAATTTTTGTATTTTTGGTAGAGACGGGGTTTCACCATGTTGCCCGGGCAGGTCTCAAACTCCTGGGCTAAGGCAATACTCCCTCCCACCTTGGCCTCCTAAAATGCTGGGATTACAGGCATGAGCCACCACCCCTGGCCACCCTGTTTCTATTGTTCTTGACAGATGTTTGGTCAACAACTGCTACATTGACAGGCCCTCAGTTTCTTTCCATTTTACTCTATAACCCACACATTAAAAAAAATTTTTTTTTAATTTTTCCCCAATCACTTACAGGCCAAAGACAAATATACTATTAATATTGGAAATGGAAGACTAAATAAAATTCTTATTCTGGTTTACATTCTCTGGTTTGAATTCATCTGTACATCTACTCAGTTTAAATTCATTGACTAGGCAGTGAGGATCCCCACATAAACATGGTCTCTGTTCTCAAAGAGCTTCTAGTCTAGCTGGGTGGATACACATTAATCAACTAATTATAGCAATGAGAATCTAATTACAGGAACCAAAGGAAGGAACCTAGTTCCATGATAGTCTTTAACCAAGGAATCTGACCTACACTGTAGTGTCAGAGAGAGCTCCCAGGAAGCAGCATTGGAACAGAGACTGGAAGTGTCAGTTGGAGTTAACAGAGCTCAGGGCTGGGTGTGGGGAGCATTTTTGACAGAAATACTGTCTCCTCTTTTTTTTTTTTTTTTAATTGATCATTCTTGGGTGTTTCTCGCAGAGGGGGATTTGGCGGGGTCATAGGACAATAGTGGAGGGAAGGTCAGCAGATAAACAAGTGAACAAAGGTCTCTGGTTTTCCTAGGCGGAGGACCCTGCGGCCTTCCGCAGTGTTTGTGTCCCTGGGTACTTGAGATTAGGGAGTGGTGATGACTCTTAACGAGCATGCTGCCTTCAAGTATCTGTTTAACAAAGCACATCTTGCACCGCCCTTAATCCATTTAACCCTGAGTGGACACAGCACATGTTTCAGAGAGCACAGGGTTGGGGGTAAGGTCACAGATCTACAGGATCCCAAGGCAAAAGAATTTTTCTTAGTACAGAACAAACTGAAAAGTCTCCCATGTCTACTTCTTTCTACACAGACACGGCAACCATCCGATTTCTCAATCTTTTCCCCACCTTTCCCCCCTTTCTATTCCACAAAACCGCCATTGTCATCATGGCCCGTTCTCAATGAGCTGTTGGGTACACCTCCCAGACAGGGTGGTGGCCGGGCAGAGGGGCCCCTCACTTCCCAGTAGGGGCGGCCGGGCAGAGGCGCCCCGCACCTCCCTCCCGGACGGGGCGGCTGGCCGGGCAGAGGGGCCTCTCACTTCCCAGTAGGGGCGGCCGGGCAGAGGCGCCCCTCACCTCCCGGACGGGGCGGCTGGCTGGGCGGGGGGCTGACACCCCCACCTCCCTCCCGGACGGGGCGGCTGGCCGGGCGGGGGGCTGACCCCCAACCTCCCTCCCGGACCGGGCGGCTGGCCGGGCGGGGGGCTGACCCCCCCACCTCCCTCCCGGACGGGGCGGCTGCCGGGCGGAGACGCTCCTCACTTCCCAGACGGGGTGGCTGCCAGGCGGAGGGGCTCCTCACTTCTCAGACGGGGCAGTTGCCAGGCGGAGGGTCTCCTCACTTCTCAGACGGGGCGGCCGGGCAGAGATGCTCCTCATCTCCCAGACGGGGTCCCGGCCGGGCAGAGGCGCTCCTCACATCCCAGACGGGGCGGCGGGGCAGAGACGCTCCCCACATCTCAGACGATGGGCGGCCGGGCAGAGACGCTCCTCACTTCCTAGACAGGATGGCGGCCGGGAAGAGGCGCTCCTCACTTCCTAGATGGGATGGGGGCCGGGAAGAGGCGCTCCTCACTTCCTAGATGAGATGGCGGCCGGGCAGAGACGCTCCTCACTTTCCAGACTGGGCAGCCAGGCAGAGGGGCTCCTCACCTCCCAGACGATGGGCGGCCCGGCAGAGACACTCCTCACTTCCCAGACGGGGTGGCGGCTTGGCAGAGGCTGCAATCTTGGCACTTTGGGAGGCCAAGGCAGGCGGCTGGGAGGTGGAGGTTGTAGCGAGCCGAGATCACGCCACTGCACTCCAGCCTGGGCACCATTGAGCACCGAGTGAACTAGACTCCGTCTGCAATCCCGGCACCTCGGGAGGCCGAGGCTGGTGGATCACTCGGCGGTTAGGAGCTGGAGACCAGCCCGGCCAACACAGCGAAACCCGGTCTCCATCAAAAAAATACGAAAACCAGTCAGGCGTGGCGGCGGGCGCCTGCAATCGCAGGCATTCAGCAGGCTGAGGCAGGAGAATCAGGCAGGGAGGTTGCAGTGAGCCCAGATGGCAGCAGTACAGTCCAGCTTCGGCTCGGCATCAGAGGGAGACCGTGGAAAGAGAGGGAGAGGGAGACCGTGGGGAGAGGGAGAGGGAGAGGGAGAGGGAGAGCACTGTCTCCTCTTTTGATGGGAGAGAGCGTGAGGAATTTCAGAAGCTGACTGGGGCACGGTGGCTGCAACATAGGAGGCAGATGGCAGAGGAGAGTGACAGAGATGAGGCCTGAGAGGTAGGTGTGGCTGGCTGTGCCTTACGAGTCACATTAACATTTTAGATGTTATACTAAGAAATTGGCAGCCTCTGAGACTGTGTTGATCTGGCTTTTGGTTTTGTCTCTAATGGTGATGATGTATGCTTATGCAAGAGTTGTTTTTCACTGCTTTATATTGTAAAGCTTTAGAGAAAAAAGAAATACATCCTTTAGAGCTGGTATGACACTCTGCCCCATTGTTGCCAGGTTACAAGTATTGGATTTAGGTTTCTGCCTGTCACAAAGTTACCATAGCCATGGGCCATAGCCCCTGAATGGGAAAAGGGATAGTGAAGGTTACTGACTTGCCTCTTGTGACTGTGCTAACATGTTGGCCAAGCTGGAGACCATGCTCAGTCATTTAGAGCTCAGTGTTTTCAATGCTGAAGTGGAATGTTCACTTTGTGAGTCAGGGGATGTAAAGATCAAAATGTCGTGGTCCTGCCCTTAGGAGGAGTTCATGATATTCTTCTCACCTCCTATTCTTTTCCAAACAGACCCAAATGAAAGGAAAGATACATGTTTGAGAAAAAGCAACATTTTAAAAAAAGAGTAGACGTTGTTGGCCATGTAGCCCAACCATGCTTTGATAGAATGGTCATTTTCCACTTTAAATTTATTATTAACTTTGAACATTTTATTTATGCTCAGAAGCTCAATATGTAGGCTTTAGTACACTCTTTAAAATTATACTTTGTCTTGAGTTTATGCTAAGTATAATTTCTGTTTTAAGTAGGGAAATTTTAGGAGCATGGGAGAAGGGAAAGAATGAGATATCCAGGGGCTTAGAATTTATAAGGGCTCAAAGAGAGGCTGTTCATTGATAGATACTCCAGAATAGACACGGGCCCTTGAAAAGCTTGTACCTTTGGGGAAAAGTAGACCAGGAAAATCTCAAGCCAGAGAAGGACTATGAAGCTTCTTTTTCCAGTTACACATGGAAATAAGAGGTCTTGCATGAGAAACCTAAATCAACCCTATGTCTTAAGCAGGTTTTGAGTCTAAATTTATACTAATTGCATTGTGGAGCAGGTCTAGCCAAGAAATTAACATGACAATCAGTCTCTAATCTGTCTGTCTATCTACTTACTTACCTACCAGTCAGGCCAAAGAGATTCCCACAAGTAGGTTAAAAAAAGTAAAGTCTGATAACAAATAATTAGTAAGAATGAATGAATAAATAAATAGCACAAAGGAACACTCTACCACAAGGAGGAGTACTCATCACATCAAATGAGAGAATACCCTAAGAAAGTGAGATAATGCAGCAATCTGAAAGATATTTTACCATAACGTGTTTAAAATGATTAGTAATTAAAAAAAGAAGAAATTGAAATCATAAGGAAAGAATACAGTACTTTGAGAACAAAAGGACGGATTTGAAAAATAATCATAAGGGACTTCAACAAACAACAAAAAAAGTCATTAAATGTAGATTGCTTTGGCCAAATTAAGCAGCAAATTTGACATAGTCTGAAGAGACTTAGTTAGAATATATGACTGAGAAAATTATCACAAAATCCAACATCTATAAAGAGACATATCCCCTACTGTAGAAGTGAGGTTAAAAATATATATATATATATATGTATATACATATATATGTATATATTTTCTGAAATATTTTCAGAAATATATATATGTGTATATATTTCTGCCATATATATATATATGGCAGAAAATAGGAGGGAGTTTTAAGAGAGCCAGAGGCTATACTGCAATGATTGAACACATTTCTGATAAGAGCTTTAGGAGGAGAGAATAGAGAGATTGGAGGAAAGGCAAAACTTAGAATTTTCCAAAATTGAGGAAAAATATGAATCTTGTTTCAAGAAGAACAGAGAGCCTTGAACAGACTAAATAAAAATAAATTCTTATCTAAATGCATTGTACTTAAAATAGTAAAACACCAGAGCCAAAAAGAAGAATCTTAAAGGCAACTAGAGAAAAAAGATTACCTCTAATAAAACAAGTATGTCAATAATAAATTTCTCAACATGGAAAGTCAGAAGGCAGTGCAAATAAGTTCTTCAAGGAACTGTCAACCTAAGAGAAAATAGCTGTCAACCTAGCTGAATTATCATTCTAGAATGAGGCAAAATACATTTTGAGACAAAGACTGAAAGTTTATCTATCTCAAACTTCAAACAAAAATATATTAAAGAAAAGCTTAAATGTGAAGAGAAAATATTTAAATCTTTACAAGAGAATATAAGGGAACATTTTTGTGATCTTGGGGCATAGAAGACTTTGTTAAACAGGCCCTAAAACCACAAGCCTAAACAGGAAAAGAGAGACAAATTTTGACTAGATTAAAACAGTATGCTTTTGTTCAACAAAAGACATCATACACAAAATTTAAAGACAATCTACTGAAAGATAATGACAATGCATGTAACTATTAGAAGATTAATATCCAGAATACAAAAAAATAGCCCCAAATCACTAACAACACAATAAAAAATGGACAGTGGATATGCAAAAGCAGTTCGCAGAAGGCAGGACTCGTATGTCCAATGAACATATGAAGAGTAGCTCAGGCCAGGTGCTCTGGCTCATGCCTGTAATCTCAGCACTTTGGGAGGCTGAGGCAGGAGGATTGCTTGAGCCCAGGAGTTCCAGACCAGCCTGAGCAGCATAGAAGACCCGATCTCTAGAAAAAAATTTTTTAAATTAGTTGGGTGTGGTGGTGTGTGCCTGTGGTCCCACCAACTTGGGAGGCTGAAACAGGAGAATCAGTTGAACCCAGGAGATTGAGGCTGCAGTGAACCATGTTCACACCACTGCACTCCAGCCTGGGTGACAGAGCAAGACCCTTTCTTAAAAAAAAAAAAAGAAAAAAGAAAAGAAAATAGTGAAAATATCACTATGCTGGTAGGAATATAAACAGTAATTCAATGTGGAGGATAAATCAATAACTATCTATTGAGAATCAAAGGAAGCACACTACTACCAGTAATTTTTACTCTACATAGATATCTTAAGGAACTCCACACATGCACAAGAAGAATCATACAAGGGTATATATCACAGCACTATCTATTATATGAAAAGTTGGAAACAATATTGTTTTCCACAGTAGTCTAACAGATGAAAAATTCATTTTCATTCATTCAGTATAATGAACTAGATGTATAATCTGTTAACATGGATAAACCTCCAAACCTACTGCTGAGTGGAAAAAAACAAGTTATGACATGATACATCCATGATTCTATTTCAGTAAGAATTAAAAACCCATAAAGCAATGTTATATGAATACTAACATATGTAGTGAAAGTATAAAAGTGTGTGTATAGACTTTAGAACAGTGGTTCTGGAGAGGAAGAGATGAAAAGGGATAGAGGTTGGGCTTTAAATTATTTTCTTAATACAGAAAATTATATCACTTTAAATCTGTGTGGTCAGTAATGTGTGTCTGTTATTGATATGGTTTGGCTGTGTCCCCACCCAAATCTCATCCTGAATTGTAACTCCCACAATTCCGACATGTCATGGGAGGAACCCAGTGGGAGGTGATTGAATTATGGGGGCAGGTCTTTCCTGCCCTGTTCTCATGATAGTGAATGAGTCTCATGAGATCTGATGGTTTTAAAAAATGGGAGTTTGCCTGCACAGCCTCTCTCTTTTTGCCTGCTGCCATCCACCTAAGATGTGATTTATTCCTCCTTGCCTTACACCATGATTGTGAGGCTTCCCCAGCCACGTGGAACTGTAAATCCATTAAACCTCTTTCTTTTTTAAATTGCCCTGTCTTGGGTATGTCTTTATCAGCACCATGAGAACAAACTAATACCGTAAATAGGTACCAGTAAAGTGGGGCATTGCTGAAAAGATACCTGAAAATGTGGAAGTGACTTAGGAACTGGGTAACAGGTAGAGGTTGGAACAGTTTGGAGGGCTCAGAAGAAGACAGGAAAATGTGGGAAAGTTTGGAACTTCCTAGAGACTTGTTGAATGGCTTTGACCAAAAACCTCATAGTGAAATGTATAATAAGGTCCAGGCTGAGGTAGTTTCAGATGGAGATGAGGAACTTGTTGGGAACTGGAGCAAAGGTGACTCTTGTTATGTTTCAGCAAAGGGATTGGTGGCATTTTGCCCCTGCCCTAGAGATTTGCGGAACCGAACTTGAGAGAGATGATTTAGGGTATCTGGTGGAAGAAATGTCTAAGCAACAAAGCATTCAAGAGGAAATTTCTAAGCAACAAAGCATTCAAGAGGTGACTTGGGTGCTGTTAAAGGCATTCAGTTTTATAAAGGAAGCAGAGCATAAAAGTTAGGAAATGTTTCAGTCTGACAATACGATAGAAAAGAAAAACCCATTTTCTGAGGAGAAATTCAAGCAGGCTGAAGAAATGTGCACAAGTAACAAGCCGAATGTTAATCCCCAAGACAATGGGGGAAATGTCTCTAGGGCATGTCAGAGGTCTTCACAGCAGCCCCTCCCATCACAGGCCCAGAGGCCTATGTAAAAAAAAAAAATGGTTTTGTGGGCTGGGCCCAGAGTCCTTTTGCTGTGTACAGTCTAGCGACCGAGTGCCCTGTGTCTCAGCCGCTCCAGCCTTGACTAAAAGGAGCCAAGGAACAGCTCGGGCTGTGGCTTCAGAGTGTGCAAGCCCCAAGCCTTGGCAGCTTCCATGTGGTGTTGAGCCTGTGGGTACACAGAAGTCAAGAAATGAGGTTTGTGAACCTCTGCCTAGATTTCTGAATATGTGTGGAAACACCTGGATGCCAAGACAGAAGTTTGCTACGGGGGCGGGGCCCTCACAGAGAACCTCTGCTAAGGCAGTGCAGAAGGGAAATGTGGGATCAGAGCCCCCACACAGAGTGCCTACTGGGGCACCACCTAGTGGAGTGGTCTCACTGTCACCTAGCCTGGAGTGCAGTGGCACAGTCACAGCTCACTGTAGCCTCAGCTTCCTAGGTTCAAGTGATCCTCCCACCTCAGCCTCCTGAGTAGCTGGGACTACAGACACATGCCACCACACCGAGCAAATGCCACTGTCCTCCAGACCCCAGAATGGTAGATCCACTGACAGCTTGCACTATTTGCCTGGAAAAGCTGCAAACATTCAATGCCAGCCTATGAAAGCAGCTGGGAGGGAGGCTGTACCCTGCAAAGCCACAGGTGCAGAGCTGCCCAAGACCGTGGGAACCTACCCCTTGCATCAGCATGACCTAGATATGAGACCTAGAGTCAAACGAGATCATTTTGGAGCTTTAAAATTTGACTGCCACACTTAATTTCAGACTTGCATGGGCCCTGTAACCCCTTTGTTTTGGCCAATTTATCCCATTTGGAACAGCTGAATTTATCCAATACCTGTACCCCCATTGTATCTAAGAAGTAACTAGCTTGCTTTTGATTTTACAGGCTCATAGGCAAAGGGACTTGCTTTGTCTCAGATTACACTTTTGACTGTGGACTTTTGGGTTAATATTGAAATGGGTTAATATTTTGGGGGACTGTTGGGAAGGCATGATTGGTTTTGAAATGTGAGGACATGAGATTTGGAGGGGCCAGATGCAAAATGGTATGGTTTGGCTGTGTCCCCACCCAAATCTCATCTTGAATTGTAACTCCCACAATTCCCATGTGTCATGGGAGGAACCTGGTGGGAGGTGATTGAATTATGGGGGTGGATCTTTCCTGTGCTGTTCTCATGATAGTGAATGAGTCTCATGAGATCTGATTGTTTTAAGAAACGGGAGTTTGCCCACACAACCTCTTTCTTTCTGCCTGCCGCCATTCATGTAAGATATGACTTACTCCTTGCCTTCCGCCATGATTGTGAGGCTTCCCCACCCACATGGAACTGTAAGTCCAATGAAACCTCTTTCTTTTTTAAATTGCCCAGTCTCAGGTATGTCTTTACCAGCAACATGCAAACGGCCTGATACAGTTATATTTTATTCAAGTTCATATGAAATATTTTATATTTTAAAATAAAATGTTTAAAATGAATGTGCAGAGTAAAAATAAAATGGAGGAAAGGGTGGTGAGCCAAGGACGCCTGCTGATGAAAGAATCTTCCATTCCAGGAGCTTATCAGGACCTGGAGTCTGTGTTCTAACCTCCCTGCCACAAGCAAAGGACCTTTTACATTTGAAATGTTAGTTCAAGGGATTCTGTTGGCTTTTCTGCCAAGCTAGAAACGTGGCTTTGGGAGTTGGTAAACAATTAAACTTTTGGGGGTAATTTCAGGTTTTCAAGAATCCTTTTTCTGACTACTAAAGGCAGTTGTTAGAAATAATGCTTTACTGTTGTGTAACAGTAGTCCTCAGGTACTGGATCATCAGATAAGAGAGACTAAGGGTTCTGCAATCTTAGTAGATGATGAATAACAGATAAAGTGTTCCTCAGGTCCAGTGTCTAGGCCTTCAGTGCAGGTTCTCTTGGGCTGGGGGTGTATTTCGGGGGGTGGGGGTCCTCTAGGAAATAGTAACCATCAGATAGAAAGGAGACAGCTATCTAGCTCATAGGACTGGCTCATAGGCAGAAAGCACCTACTGGCCAGTGAAACCTGAAGTGTGGCACCTCTCTTTCTTCTTACAGCCTTCCTGGATCTTTCCCCTGTGAGATGCTGCTGCCCTAGGTGTAGATTTTCGCCACAGTGTGCCTGAATACATTGTTGGAACCTGAGGAAGTTTACAAAATTATTTCAGTAATTTGCAGCCTTTTAGAAGAAGTGACTTGTGCTAAATGCCAATTAAGTACTTCAAAACCAGTAACCCTGGACAGTTGAATTCTCTTTCCAGTTAAAACTGGTGAAGCTCCAGACAGTATTTGTTTTATTTAAATGAACTTTTAATTTTAGAATAGTTTTACAGTTACAGAGAAGTTGCAGAGATAATACAAAAAGTTCCTTCACACCCCTGCACCCAGTTTCCCCTATTGTTAACATCTTACATTACTATCTAGACAGTATTTTTAAGACATCAATTTCTACCTTGTTGGGGATGTGGACATGTTTTATTCACAAATTTGATACCTCAAAGATTCTATGGACATGAAGGTATATAGCACAATTAAATGATTTTTCATATATAAAGTAACCTGAAAATAAAAACGAGTGCCTTAGCAAAATAATGGACATCTTTTAAAATTACTGCCGTGGTGCTTCATACATCTCAGGGCTCCACAAATATTTATTGAAAGAAAGAGCAAGTGAATGCAGATGCATTGTCTCTCTGTGTCCTATAGAGAACCTCAAGTTCTTAAAGCTTTCAGAAAAGGTCAAATTACCTCGTATATAACTTGTTCTGCCTTACCTAGGTTTGAATTCTTACTACTGATTGGCTTAAGACATAATTTATCCTTTCTTTGTTTTTGAAATCAAAATGATTTTGAGCAGGGTCTGTCACCCAGCCTGGAGTGCAGTGGCACAATCATGGCTCACTGTAGCCTCAGCCTCCTGGACACAAGTGATCCTCCCACCTCAGCCTCCTGAGTAGCTGGGACTACAGATGCATGCCACCATGTTGAGCTAATTTTTGTATTTTTTGTACAGATGGGGTTTCACCGTGTTACCCATGGTGAACTCCTTGAACTTCTGGGATCAAGCAATCCACCTACCTCGGCCTCCCAAAGTGCTGGAATTACAGGCATGAGCCACTGTGCCTGGCCAATTTATCCTTAATGATACAGGATTTTTCTCAGCCCCTTCACCAGACTCATAAAAGAGGCACCTCGTCTACTTGGTCCACTGTGCTCAACCCCTTGCTGGAGGGAGCACATGAGCAAGTGAGCATAGAATCTGGCAAGCTGCTCTGGGTGCCGAGACAGGAGCAAGCGCTGTGTGGGGCCCACAGCCAGACTAGGCATGTCACCTTGAGGGGAATGCAGTGGCACCTGGGTGAGGGTGCTTGTGATCCTGAAGCCCTAGAAAGGGGTATTACAGCGCTCCTTTAGTTCTGCTGTCTGCAGATGGTGGTATGTTAGTAGCTCAGTTGGCCCCTTGCCTCGTCATGTGGAGCAGTTGCCCTCCACCAGCAAAGGCAAAGGGCTGGTGTAACAGCCTTTCTGGGTACCCACACTTGGTGGGTCCCAAGCTCTTGTCCAGCATCCAAGAAGAATGAAGTCATATGGATGATTGAAAGATGGTGAAGGCAAAGAATTTTACTGAGTGATGAAAATGGCTCTCAGTGGAGAGGGAAGCTGGAGGGGGGATGGGAAGGGCAGGTGGTCTTCCCTGAAGTCAGGCCGTCTCCTCCTCTACCGACTGAGTCTGGTGTCTTTATAGGCACAGGATAGGGAGTGTGTGCTGACTGGTTTGGAATTACGCAAAAAAGGTTAAAGCGAAGACACCACTCAAAGGAGAGCATAACAGTGTAGAAAACCAATTAGGAAAGGGTGGGTATATGTAAAATAGGGGAAGGGTGGGGATCAATCAGAGGAAAGTGTGCCAAACAGGAGGACAAGTTCTCAGTCCGGTCCTAGGAATTAACTTGTAGCTTGGCTTTCAGGCTTTAAACTGTCTTTGGCATGGAGGTGGGGTTTCACTGGGGGCTTGCCCCTATCTGTCTAGGCATTTGGCTGCCTCCTGTTGCTATAATTAATATCACAAATCCTTGGTGTTACCTCCATATGGCCACTTACTTTAAACTACCAGTAGGTAACAATAAATGCCTATTATTTGCCCTGCCCACTGTATCCTGGTGAACACTAAAGCATACACTTTTGGGGTTTTTTTAAATACTTTTTTCTGTCTTTAAGACTATAGATTTTGCTTCAGTATACAATTGACCAATGCTATATCCTATACTACTTTGTCAAAGAAGGTTTCATCTTGGGGTAATACCAACATAGGCATTATTATATGGAAAAATCATCTTTCGTAGTGCCCAAATATACTTTTTAAGTCTATAATCCAAGTAAACAGAAGAAACTGGAATGTTTTCATCAAGAAAAATAAAAAGGATTTATTTGGAAAGTAGACTATTCAGCAATTAATCTTTTTATGTATTTCAGGATTCAGCTGTGGAAATGGCTATGTCAAAACAACTTTCTCTTAATGCTCAAGAAAGCATGAAAAACACTGAAGATGAGCGGAAAGTCAATGAGCTGCAAAATCAACCTTTAGAATTAGATACTATGTTAAGAAATGAACAATTAGAAGAGATAGAGGTATGGAAACATAAAAACACTGACAACATGATTGCATCATTTATCCAGTGCAATACAATATATTTTAATTGCCAAAAACTTGCTTGTACAGAGTGAAAAGTCTTATTTAACCTTTGCCTGATGATCAATTTGGTAACTGTATAATTATGTACTAAGTAAGTTGTATAAATCTTTCCATTTAGAAAGTAGAAGAGTTAAAGGGACATTAGTCTTCTTTCTATTTCACAAAGTTCCTAAAGACTTAGTGAGAAAATTTGGAGATTTTGACTTGCCATCATTCCTTTTCTTACAAGTATATATTCTTCTGATTCTGACAAATGTATTTTTCCTAACAATCAGTTCTATGAGGTTCTTCCCCCTTTGTTTTTACATCTGTGTTTACATAGTTATGTTTATGTATTTATGTGCTTCCAGCTTGTAAAGTAATCTAAAAATCCAATACATGGCCATATTTTAAAAAGTGAAACAGCAGCCAGACATGGTGGCTCATGTCTGTTATCCCAGCACTTTGGGAGGCCGAGGCGGGAGGACTGCCTGAGTCCAGGAGTTGGAGACCAGCCTGGGCAGCATTGCGAGACCCCATCTCTACCAAAAAATACAAAAATTATTTAGGCAAGATGATGTGTGCCTGTAGTTTCAGCTACTCAGGAGACTGAGACAGGAGGATTGCTTGAACCCAGAAGTTCAAGGTTGCAGTGAGGTGAGATTGTGGCACTGCATTCCAGCCTAGATGATGGAGCGAGATCCTGTCTCTAAAAAAAAAAAAAAAAAGCAAACTATAAACAACCCATGCAATTTTAGCTAAGTTTCCACAACAATAAACACGCATCTAAAATAGGAAAGATGGGTGATGTATGTAAATAATAAAATTAAGATGAATTTCCCTTTAGATATTGCAGAACTCTTTAAGATAATAGAGTGATCTGACTGACATTAAATGCTGGACCAATGGTGAATTTTAGACTGGATTTTAACATGATTCTTGGGAAGAAAAACCTTTTAAATATTAGGGATGTGGTAGCTCATGGCTGTCATCCCAGTCCTTTGGGAGGCTGAGGTAGGAAGACTGTTTGAGGCCAGGAGTTCAAGACCAGCCTGGGCAATATAGCAAGACTCTCGGCTCTACAAAAATAAAAATAAAAAAAATTATCTGGGTGTGGTGACATGCACCTGTAGTCCTAGCTACTTGGGAGGCTGAGATGGGAGACCTGAGCCCAGGAATCTTAGGTTACAGTGAGCTATGATTGCACCCTGCACTCCAGCCTGGGTGACAAAATAATAATAATAATAATAATAATAATAATTTTTAAAGGTTACAACTTTAGTTACCCTGTGTGCAAATGAGTTACCCTCTTCCTGAGATAGAGTGTGTTATCTCAAAGAGGAAAGAAGATGAATGAATTAATGCATAAATAAGTGAGTGTTTATTGACTGATCTGTGTGACTTATTTTTAGAAATTATATACCCAGTTGGAAGCAAAGAAAGCAGCCATTAAGCCACTGGAACAAACAGAATGTCTTAACAAAACAGAAACTGGGGCCTTGGTTCTCCACAATATAGGATATTCGGCACAGCATTTGGACAATTTGCTTCAGGCACTTATTACTTTGAAGAAAAACAAAGAAAGCCAATATTGTGTCCTCAGAGATTTTCAGGAATACCTTGCTGCAGTTGAATCTTCAATGAAAGCCTTGTTGACAGACAAGGAAAGTCTTAAAGTGTAAGTGTAAGAATTTAGGACTTGCATTCTTTTTATTCAAGCACAACCATCTGCCACCTTGGACAGGCCCAGGGTTTTAAGAGTTTATATTGTGAAAGGAAATTATGATTTTAAAACCACAGGATGGAATGTTATTTCATATGGATGCTGTCTTTGTTTGGGCTGCTATAACAAAATACTGCAGACTAAGAGGCTGATAAAAAACAAAATTATTTCTTACTGCCTTGGAGGGTGGGAAGTCCAAGATCAAGGCAGCAGAAGATTCAGCATCTGACGAGGACCTGCTCTCCAGTTCACAGATGGCACATCTTAGCTGTGTCCTCATGTGGTAGCAGGAGAAGTGCAGCTCTCTGGAGTCTCTTTTATAAGGGCTCTACTCCTATCCTTAGGGGCTCCACCCTCATGACCTAATCACTCCTCAAAGTTCCTAACTCTTAGTGCTATTACATTGGTGATTAGGTTTCAAAATATGAATTTTAAGGGACACACATTCAGACCATAGCATTTAAGGAAACTGTTGGTTTCATGCAAAAAATAATTTATATAATTGAATATGTTTTACAGAGTAATTTATGAAACAATTCGCACTATAAATATCTACAAAATAGGTTTATGTTCTATGGAATTCAGTATTATTTTTGTCAAGAATTCTAAACTATGTGGGCAGGGGAGACAAGCATATGTAATTGTTTAGTACCAGCATAATTAGTTAAATAGTTTGGTATATATTGAATATATATGTATTGGAATGGTTCTTTTAAAATATATGCACTTCTTTTGGCTTTGAAAATGATGGCAAATGGTATTAAATTTAGTCTTCATATGTAAATATTTTCTCATTATCAAAAAAGTTTATTTTAGGCCAGACGTGGTTGCTCACACCTGTAATCCCAGCACTTTGGGAGGCTGAGGCAGGTGGATCACTTAAGGTCAGGAATTCGAGACCAGCTTGGCCAACATGGTGAAACCCTGTTTCTCTAAAAATACAAAAAAAATTAGCCAGGCATCATGGCATACGTCTGTTATTCTAGCTACTTGGGAGGCTGAGGCAGGAGAATGGCTTGAACCTGGGAAGTAGAGGTTGCAGTGAGCTGAGATCACACCACTGCATTCCAGCCTGGGTGACAGAGTGAGACTCTGCCTCAAAAAAAAAAAAAAAGATTTGTTTTATACTTTTATCTAAATGGGGTTTACTTTCAGTAACAGCCCTTGAGGAAACAATTTTAGATTAGCTTGATGATTACAGCTTTTTAGTCAATATTTTTCCCTTTGTTGAAAAGATGACAAGGGGGTTGGATATTATGGCAATATCTCTCATTCCTAGACTAACCTTTATACAAGTACTTTACAATTTACAAAATATTTTTATGTACATTCTTCCCTTCACTTCATTTTTTTCCTGTGGTTATTCATTTTTGGGATACTCATTTTCTTTGCTTTTTTTTTTTCACTCAAAGTAAAAGCCAAGATACTCATTTTATAGGAGAGTTTTCTACACCAATTGAAAGCCACAGTAAACAAGATTCTGATTTTTATTTTAAGGATAGATTATTTTTACAGACAGCCTAATTTTTTCTGTGAATTTAGAGCAGAATTAATTTCTTCTAATGATATTTATCCACATTTTAATGTAGAATAAGCATTAAATATTAACAAGCTCTATTTTTATTCTTTTTCTAGAGGACCACTGGACAGTGTAACGTATCTGGACAAAATTAAAAAATTCATAGCATCCATAGAAAAAGAGAAAGATTCTTTAGGCAACTTGAAAATCAAATGGGAGAATTTATCAAACCACGTGACTGACATGGATAAGAAATTGTTGGAAAGCCAGATTAAGCAACTTGAACATGGTTGGGAACAAGTGGAACAGCAGATTCAAAAGAAGTATTCTCAGCAGGTAGTGGAATATGATGAATTTACAACCCTCATGAATAAGGTACAGGACACTGAGATTTCTCTGCAACAGCAGCAGCAACATCTACAGTTAAGGCTGAAGTCTCCAGAAGAACGGGCAGGGAACCAAAGCATGATTGCCTTGACCACTGACCTCCAGGCTACCAAGCATGGATTTTCTGTTTTAAAGGGGCAAGCTGAACTTCAGATGAAGAGGATTTGGGGAGAAAAAGAAAAGAAGAATTTGGAGGATGGAATAAATAACTTGAAGAAACAATGGGAAACATTGGAGCCATTACACTTAGAAGCAGAAAATCAGATTAAGAAGTGTGACATAAGGAACAAGATGAAAGAGACTATCTTATGGGCCAAGAATTTGTTGGGTGAACTTAATCCCTCCATTCCCCTTCTCCCAGATGACATTCTTTCACAGATCAGAAAGTGCAAAGTGACACATGATGGCATTCTAGCTAGGCAGCAGTCTGTGGAATCGTTGGCTGAAGAGGTCAAAGATAAGGTTCCTAGCCTTACAACCTATGAGGGCAGTGATTTAAATAATACCCTAGAGGACTTACGGAATCAATACCAAATGCTGGTTTTAAAATCAACTCAAAGATCACAGCAATTAGAATTTAAGTTGGAAGAAAGAAGCAATTTTTTTGCTATAATAAGGAAGTTTCAACTTATGGTTCAAGAAAGTGAAACACTGATAATTCCCAGGGTGGAGACAGCTGCCACGGAAGCTGAACTAAAACATCACCATGTTACTTTGGAGGCATCTCAGAAGGAATTGCAAGAAATTGACAGTGGAATCTCAACACATCTTCAGGAGCTAACAAACATCTATGAGGAGCTGAATGTGTTTGAAAGATTATTTCTGGAAGATCAGTTGAAAAATCTTAAGATTAGGACCAACAGAATACAAAGATTCATTCAGAATACATGTAATGAAGTGGAACACAAGATAAAGTTTTGCAGACAATTCCATGAAAAAACATCAGCGCTTCAGGAGGAGGCTGACAGTATACAGCGCAATGAACTATTACTTAATCAAGAAGTAAATAAAGGTGTTAAAGAGGAGATCTATAATCTTAAAGACAGACTCACCGCTATTAAGTGTTGCATCTTACAGGTATTGAAACTTAAAAAAGTGTTTGACTATATTGGACTAAACTGGGATTTTTCACAACTTGACCAATTACAAACCCAAGTATTTGAAAAAGAAAAGGAACTTGAAGAAAAAATTAAGCAGTTGGACACATTTGAGGAAGAACATGGCAAATATCAGGCATTATTAAGTAAAATGAGAGCTATTGATTTGCAAATTAAGAAAATGACTGAAGTAGTACTAAAAGCTCCTGATAGCTCTCCGGAAAGCAGACGGCTCAATGCCCAAATTTTAAGTCAGAGAATTGAGAAAGCCAAGTGTTTATGTGATGAGATAATAAAGAAATTAAATGAAAATAAGACCTTTGATGACTCATTCAAGGAGAAAGAAATACTACAAATAAAGCTGAATGCAGAAGAAAATGATAAGTTATACAAAGTTCTCCAAAACATGGTATTAGAACTCTCACCAAAAGAATTGGATGAAAAGAATTGTCAGGACAAACTAGAAACTTCCTTACATGTTTTAAATCAGATAAAATCTCAATTACAGCAGCCATTACTTATAAATTTGGAAATTAAACATATTCAAAATGAAAAGGACAATTGTGAAGCATTTCAGGAGCAAGTTTGGGCAGAAATGTGTAGTATTAAAGCTGTGACTGCTATTGAGAAACAAAGAGAAGAAAACTCTTCTGAAGCGAGTGATGTGGAGACAAAACTACGTGAGTTTGAAGATCTTCAGATGCAGCTTAACACAAGCATTGATTTGCGCACAGTAAGTTTTAAAAATTATGCAGTTAGTGGCTGGGTGCGGGGGCTCACGCCTGTAATCCCAGCATTTTGGGAGGCCAAGGCTGGCGGATCACTTGAGGCCAAGTAGAGACCAGCCTGGCCAACATGGCAAAACTGCATGTATACTAAAAATACAAAAAAAAAATTAGCTGGGTATGGTGGCACATGGTTGTAATCCCAGCTACTCAGGAGGCTGAGGTACAAGAATCACTTGAACCAGGGTGGCGCAAGTTGTAATGAGTCAACATCCCGGCACTGCTCTCCAGCCTGGGTGACCAAGTGAGACTCTGTCTCAAAAAAATAAATAAGTAAAATAAAATAAAATTGGGCAGTTAGTGCATCTATTTTTATTTTGTGATTTTCTGTTTTGCTAATGTCTGTAATTCCAAAGAAGCTATAGGTTCTACGTAGAAATTCTCTACAGAAAGATAGCCATTTTCAAAAATTACAGTGAACTGGTTTGTAATCGTGACTCATACTGCATCTACATGCAGTGCCTTCTAGTTTAGAAAAGGACAAATCTGACTCTTATTTCTGTTTTCCTCGTAGTCTCTGTTGAGCTCAGAACATTTTTAAAAATTTGTTTTCTGTTTTGTTTTTAGAGGTAGTAAGATATAATGGAAGAATTATGGTGTAGAGGGAAGAACACCAAATAATAACTAACATTTATGTAGAACTTACAGTGTTGGAGACACTGTGCTAAAAATTTCATGTTGAATTTTTATAGCAACTCTGTGAGATGAGTGCTATTATTAGCCCCGTTTAAAAATAAGGAAATTGAAGTTTAGAAACATGAAGATTTTTCTCAGAGTCCTGAGAACAGTAACAGAACCAGAGCAGGGAGCATCACATGCTCATGGTCCATGGGCCAAATCCTTCCCGCAGTGCCTGTTTTTTATAAATAAAGTTTTATTGGAATATAGCCATACCCATTTGTTTTTGTATTGACTGTATCTGTTTTCATGCTATAGCAGCAGAGTTGAGTAAGTTGTGATTATTTCCTCACCTCTGTTGGAAAGTGACGCCAACACACTCCCTTCCCTTCCTTTTGGTAGAGTGGATATCTTAGGCATCATTGAAATTCACGCTGTGCTGAATGTAATGCCATACATAGTGTTTTCAGATTGATCACATTAAATTTTTAGAAGTGGAAGTTAACTCCCTTTTCTAATTCAAAGAGTTATTATGAGATACTATATCTGGAATATTTTGATAGGTGTAAATGCTATGGCAATGTAAAGTATTATGAACCTATATTCCTTAAATAGTTTTGTAATAAATGAGTAATTTGAGTATTTCTCCACTTGAATTTTAATACAGTTTCAGGAAACAATGTGCATAAATCCCAAAAATAATAGGATTAGAACTGAACTGGAAGGGACCTTTATTTATTTCAACTATTTGTTATTTCAATGAGATGACTCAAGTCTGGAGACATTCATTCAATGATGTACCTAAACTAAAGTTAGTGCAGAGAAATTAGTTTAAAAACATAAAAGGTCTAGAGATTTTGTTTTCTTTTCATTTGTTCACAAATACTGATTAAGGTTATATACATTAAATGTAATCCATTGTTTTATTTAATTTGTAGTCTAGTACAAGAGTTCCAAAGCAGGAAGATACATTAATAGACATTATTCTTGAGATGTTATTTTGAATTTAGATTATTTTTCTTATTAAATCTGAAAATAACTTTTTTTTTTTTTTTTTTTGAGATGGACTCTCACTCTGTCACCCAGGCTGGAGTGCAGTGGCGCGATCTCGGCTCACTGCAACCTCCGCCTCCCGGGTTCACACGATTCTTCTGCCTCAGCCTCCTGAGTAGCTGGGACTACAGGCGCGCGCCACCACACCCAACTAATTTTTGTATTTTTAGTAGAGATGGGGTTTCACCATACTGGCCAGGCTGGTCTTGAACTCTGGACCTCGTGATCCACCCACCTCGGCCTCCCAAAGTGCTGGGATTACAGTTGTGAGCCACCACGCCGGGCCTGGAAACAACTTTTTTAATACAATGTTATTTGCTTAAAAATAATAGTGTAATATTGTCAAACTGTAAAATGAGAATGCTAACTCTTATAAGACTCAGAGACATGTATACATATGTAACAAACCTGCACATTGTGCACATGTACCCTAAAACTTAAAGTATAATAATAATAAAAAAAGACTCAGAGACATATTATCTATGTACCACGAAAACTTAAGAATGACAGGAATTCCAAAAGTTTGACAATTTTGTCACAGCATTTAATCTCCTATTCACTAGAATGTCTTGAATGATGCTTATGAAAATCTAACACGCTATAAAGAAGCAGTCACCAGGGCAGTGGAGAGCATCACTTCCCTCGAAGCCATCATTATACCCTACAGAGTAGATGTTGGTAATCCAGAAGAATCTTTAGAGATGCCTCTTCGAAAACAAGAGGAATTGGAATCCACAGTAGCACACATCCAGGACCTCACTGAGAAACTGGGAATGATATCCAGCCCCGAAGCCAAACTACAACTTCAGTATACTTTACAGGAACTAGTTTCTAAGAACTCAGCAATGAAGGAAGCTTTCAAAGCACAGGAAACTGAGGCAGAAAGGTAGGTCCTCTTCCAAAGGTAATCTTTAAGAACATAAAATATTGTTTCAAGATATAATTAAACTATATTTTAATAGTTTTAAGAACATAAAATATAGGTTTTTTTCTCTGTCATTAACACCTATGCATTAGAGATAATTTGGAAAATATGGTTAAGTAGAAAAAAATTACAATGTAAAGAAAACTCTGGTAAATATTGTATTTCTTCTTTTTTTTTTTTCCTATTTAATATTGGGTACACACAACAGATTGTTTATAAAAGTATATGCATGGTATAAGTAATAATGATAAAACTAATATCTTTGTACCCAAAAGGACATCGAGTTCTCTTGTGTGCTCCTCCTCTCTCTTCTCAGAAATAACCATTCTCCCAAATTTTGTTTACCATTTTCCTGACTTTTGTTGTACTTTTTTTTTTTTTTGAGACAAAGTTTCGCTTTTGTTGCCCAGGCTGGAGTGCAGTGGCACGATCTTGGCTCACTGCAACCTCCGCCTCCCGAGTTCAAGTAATTCTCCTGCCTCAGCCTCCCGAGTAGCTGGGATTACAGGCATATGCCACCACGCCTGGCTAATTTTTTGTATTTTTAGTAGAGACAGGATTTCTCCATGTTGGTCAGGCTGGTCTTGAACTCCCTGTTGTACTTTTACTATGTGTTTGTGTGTCCTGTTTTCACAATTTCAAACTAATACCTAGTGTGTGCATTCTTCTGTTATTTCTTTTTTTTAATTTTTAATTTTTGTGAGTTTATAGGTATATATATTTATGACATATATGGAATATTTTGATACGGGTAATCAGTGTAATAATTGCATCAGGGTAGATGAGATATTCATTTCAAGCATTTATCTTTTGTGTTACAAACAATCCAACTGTACTCTTAGTTATTTTTAAATGTACAGTTAAATTATTATTGAACGTAGTCACTCTGTGGTGCTATCAATACTAGATCTTATTCATTCTTTCTATTATTTTGTACCCATTTACCATCTCCCTTCCACCTCCCCCACTACTCTTCCCAGTCTCTGGTAACCATCCTACTACTCTCTATGTTCATGAATTCAATTGTTTTGATTATTAGATCCCACCAATAAGTGGGAATATGTGATGTTTGTCTTTCTGTGCCTGGCTTATTTCACTTAACATAATGACCTCCAGTTCCATTTATGTTGTTGCAAATGACAGGATTTCATTTTTTTTTAATGGCTAAATAATACTCCTTTGTGTGTATATACCACATTTTCTTCATCCACTCATCTGTTGATGGACACTTGGCTTGCTTCCAAATCTTGACTATTGTGAATAATACTTCAATAAACATGGGAGTGCAGCTATCTCTTCAATATACTGATTTCTTTTGGGTATATGCACAGCAGTGGGATTCCGGGATCATATGGTAGCTCTATTTTTAGTTTTTTTGAGGACCCTCCAAACAGTTCTCCATAGTGGTTGTACTAATTTGCATTACCACCAACAGCATATGAAGATGCTGTTTTCTCCACATCCTTGCCAGCATTTATTATTGCCTGTCTTTTGGCTAAAAGCCATTTTAACTGGATGAGATGATGTCTCATTGTAGTTTTGATTTGCATTTCTCTGATGGTCAGTGATGCTGAACACCTCTTCATATCTGTTTGCCATTTGTATGTCTTCTTTTGAGAAATGTCTATTCAGATCTTTTGCCCATTTTTAATTGGATTATTAATTTTTTTCCTATAGAGTTATTTGAGCTCCCTATACATTCTGGTTATTAATCCCTTGTCAGATGGGTAGCTTGCAAATATTTTCTCTCATTCTGTGGGTTGTCTCTTCACTTTGTTGATTATTTCCTTTGCTGTGCAAAAGCTTTTTAACTTGATGCTATCCCATTTGTAAATTTTTACTTTGGTTGTCTGTGCCTATGGGGTATTATTACCAAAGAAATCTTTGCCCAGTCTGGTGTCCTAGAGAGTTTTCCCCAATGTTTTCTTTTAGTAGTTTCATAGGTCTTAGATTTAAATCTTTAATCCATTTTGATTTGAGTTTTGTATATGATGAGAGATAGGGGGTCTAGTTTCATTTTTCTGGATGAAGATATAGATAGATAATCCAGTTTTCCCGGAACCGTTTATTGGTATCTTTCTATAGGTTTGGGAAGTTCTCTGTTATGATCTCTTTGAGTAAACTCTTTGAGTAAACTTTCGACCCATTATCTCTCCCTCTACCTCCTCTTTAAGGCCAATAACTCTTTTTTTCTTTTTTGAGACAGAATCTCACTCTGTCACCCAAGCTGGAGTGCAGTGGCACAGTCTTGCTCACTGCAACCTCCCAGGTTCAAGCAATTCTCTTGCCTCAGCCTCCCAGGTAACTGAGATTACAGGCACAAGCCACCACACTGGCTAATATTTTGTATTTTTTAGTAGAGACAGGGTTTCCCCATGTCGGCCAGGCTGGTCTCGAATTCCTGACCTCAAGTAATCCGCCCTCCTCTGCCACCCAAAGTGTTGGGATTACAAGTGTGAGCCACCACATCCAGCCTAATAACTCTTAGATTTACCTTTTTGAGGCTATTTTCTAGATTTTGTAGGCATGCTTTATTTTTTTCTATTCTTTTTTCTTTTATCTCCTCTGACTGTGTATTTTCAAATTGCTTGTCTTCAAGCTTAGTAATTCTTTCTTCTGCTTGATCAATTCTGCTGGTAAGAGACTCTGATGCATTCCTCAGTATGTCCATTGCAGTTTTCAACCCCAGCATTTCTACTTGATTCTTTCTAATTATTTCAATCACGTTGTTAAACGTATCTGATAGGATTTTTAATTCCTTCTCTGTTATCTTGAATTTCTTTGATTTTCCTCAAAACAGCTATTTTGAATTCTCTGTCTGAAAGGTCACATATTTCTCTCTCTGAAATTGGTTCCTGGTGACTTATTTAGTTTGTTTGGTGAAGTCATGTTTTCATGGATGGTCTTGATGCTTGTGGATGTTTGTCAGTGTCTGGGCATTGAAGTGTCAGGTATTTATTTAAGTCACAATCTGGGATTGCTTGTACCTGTCCTTCTTGGGCAGGCTTTCCAGGTATTCTAAGAGACTTGAGTGTTGCGATCTAAGTTTTTGGTCGCGGTAGTCATATCTGCTTACAGGATACCCCAAGCCTAATAATGTTGTGGTTTTTGCAGAGTCATAGAGCTACCACCTTGGTGGTCTTGTATAAGATCTGGAGTAATTCTCTGGATTAAGAGGCAGAGACTCTTGTTGTTTTCCCTCACTTTCTCCCAAACAAACAGAATCTCTGTGTTGAGCTGCCTAGAGCTGGGGTAGGGGTGACACAAGCACCCTTGTGGCAACCACTACAGAGAGTGTACTGAATCAGACCTGAAGTCAGCACAGCATCAGCACTGGGCCTTGCCCAAGGCCCTCTGTAAACAGTATCTGGCTATTGCCTACGTTTGCTCAAGGCCCTTGGGCTCTACAATCAACAGGAGATGAAGCCAGCCAGGCTTGTGTCCTTCCCTTAAGGGTGGCGAGTTGCCCCGCACCTAGGTGAGTTCAGATATGCTGTCTGGGAGCCATTGCCTAGAGTTGGAAACCTTAGGAATCTACCTGGTGCTGTGTGCTACTGTGGCTGAGCTGGCACCCAAACCACAAGACAGAGTCCTTCACATCTTGTCTCCCCTTTCCCCATGTCCACCACCACTACAGGCCCACAGAAAGTACTGCCAGGGTACTACTCATGTTCACTAAAGGCTCAAGGGGTCTTCAGTCGGCTTGTGGTGAATGCTGCCAGGCCTGAGACTCACCATTCAGGACAGTGGGCTCGCTCCTCTGGCCCAGGGTGGGTCCAGAGATACTGTACAAGAGCTAATACCTAGACGCCAAGAGCTCACTTAGTACTCTTCCCCACTGTGGCTTAGCTGGTACCTAAGCTCAAGACAGTCTCCTTTACTCTTTCCTCTGCTTTCTGAAGCAGAAATGGCCTCTCCTGGTAGCCACCACAGCTGTGAATGTGCTGAGTCCCACCTGAAGCCAGCATGTCTCAGTCTCACCCAAGGCCCACAGTGTGTACTACCTGGTTGCCACTGTTGATTATTCAGGGCCCTAGGGCTCTTTAGTCAGCAGGCAATGAATCCTGCCAGGGCTGGGTCCTTCCCTTCGAGGAAGTGGGTTCCCTTCTGGCCCAGGGTGTGTCTGGAAATGTCACCTAGGAGCTAGGGCCTGGAATGGGGGCCTCATGACTCTGCCCAGTACCCAGTCCTACTTAGCTGGTATCCAAGTTGCAAGGCAAAGTCCTCTTTACTCTTCCCTCCCCTCTCCTCAAGTAGAAAGAAGGGGTCTCTTTTGGAACTGTGAGCTGTGGTTCATGAGGTTGGAGGAGGGGTAATTCCAAGGACTCCCTTAGCTGCCTTGGCTGGTGTCTCACTTGGTCACATGCCCCAACAAGTCCACTGGCTCTGATTGTAGCACAGCACTAGGACTTACCTAGGAGTTGCAGTCTCTGTGGTCTCGACAACCTTTCAAGTTTATTTAGAACCCCAGAGTACTTTAGCCCAAGGTGGCGAGGCTTGCTGCAATTCTAGTTTCAACCACTGGGATGGGCAGTTGCCCTCTGGCTAGGGCTAGTCTAAATGCTTCATGGGTGCTGGCTGAGTTTTGTCCTATGTTGGCAGCACTGCATTCCAATGCAAAGCTCCCCAGTTGCTGCGCTTTCCCTCCCCCACGTGCACGGATTCTTTCTCCCTGCCATGCTGCTGCTGCTGGGGGATGGGTGAGGAGTGGCATCAGCAATTCAAGACTGCCTTTTTTATCCTCTTCCATGCCTCTTTCAGAGATATGAACTAAAAACTAGTTACTGTGATTGCTCTCGTAATTTTTGGTTTTTATGAAGTTGCTTTTGTATGGAGATAGGTGTCAAATTCGGTGTTCCTGTGGGGAGGATGATCAGTAGAGGCTTCTATTCAGCCATCTTGCTCCTCCTGCATACCTCACTTCATTTTTTCAAACCCATCATTATGACTCTGAGGTTTATTCATGTTCTTAGTAAAATTTATTTACTTAGCTATTGATGGACATTTGGATTGCTCCCAGTTTTTGCATTCAGAAACAGTGCTACTTGGGAAAATTTTTAAGTGTAATAACTTCCCTTGGGTAAATATCTAGGAGTGTGATCATTCAGAACAAAAGGTTATGTACATCTTACATTTTTAATGCCAAATGATTTTGCCAATTTCCACTCAAACCAGCAGCATATAAGTATTCCAATTGTCCCATATCCTTGCCAACATTTGATATTGTGAGACTCAATTTTTGCCAATCTGATGAGTAAGAAGAGGTATTTCATCGTGGTTTTAATTTGCACTTCTGTTACTGCTAATTAGTTTGATCTCTTTTTTTGAATGCTTATTGGTCATTCATGTTTTCTCTTCTGTAAAATGCTTATTTAAGCCTTAACCCAATTTTATTGGTGGTTTTTTCTTACTGATTTCTAGGAATTCTATATTTTAGAGAGTGGTCCTTTATAGTTATATGTGTTACAAATATTCTTGCAGAGGGAGTTTTCTATTAGACACCCATCCTGGGATTGGCTCCCAGCTTTATGGTCTGTCCCCCACCTTTCAGTAGGAATCAAAGAAAATTGAAACTCAAGTGCCCTCAAGGCAAAAAACTGGTCCTACAACTTTGCCTATTTCTGTATATTTCCATTTTACAGTTTGACTCCCTAATTCCTTGTCAATTTATTCATGCGTTTTAAGAGTTGTTTTTTAAGAATAATTTGATATAGAGTTTTTAGTTACATTCAATGGGGGATTTAGGCTGTGTCTGTTTTTGTATGCATAATTTTAGTGTTTTAAAATATATATGCTATATATAAAATATCAAATATCCAGCTTTATTTTAAAATTTTATAACAGTTCTTTTCTTGATTGTAACAAATACTTTCTAAAAGTAATGTAATTACTCTATAATATTGTATACGATGAATTGTTTTAATTTCTTAATCATACCTTTGTTAGATAAGGGTATTCCAATGTGTGATGTTTTAATTAATAGTCTAGTGAGTAAAGATGTTTTACTGTGCAAAAGATTTAGGATAAGCTCTATATGTTTAGGATACAGTTCTTAAGGTAAATTGCAGAAGCTGCATTAATGGGTCAAAGATGGGAATAGTTTTAAGACTAAGTGGTTTTCCACAAGAATTGTACCAATTTACAGCTCATCAGTGTGTTTGAGAATGCAGTTTTCATTTTACTGAAGTGAACTTTAAAAAAAAAAAATCTTCATTTTAGAGGACGGCCCTTGCTTCCTTTTCAAGTTTGCATTTAAACCCATATGCAGGTCCCTTTGGGAATAAAAACTTCTTGGAAAACATTTTAAAATGCATTGCCTAGCAAAAACGAAAGTTGTCATATCTTTTCTTAAAAATTAAGTGTGGAATATTTATTCTGGGAAATTTTGAATTTATTGTGTTAAATAAAATTTAATACCACTTTTTTTCTAACTGTGACTCACTAGGTATCTTGAGAATTACAAATGCTATAGAAAAATGGAAGAGGATATTTACACTAACCTCAGCAAAATGGAGACAGTTCTTGGACAGTCCATGTCCTCGTTGCCACTGTCTTACAGAGAAGCTTTAGAGCGCTTGGAACAGAGCAAGGTAATAGTATTGGCAATTAGCCAGTAAGTCTGTGTGCAAAAAATTGCAGAACAAACTGGCAGAGGCAGCAGAGAATGTGGTCCTGTTAAGACGCGTAGAAATCTTCACAGTGAGTTAAATATCCATGAATATTCCTCAAATCGAAAGCCAGAGAGTAATGTTTTATATATATTTGAGACACAGTCTTGCCCAGGCTGGAGTGCAGTCATGCAGTCTTGGCTCACTGCAGCTTCTACCTCCCGGCTTCAAGTGATTTGATTCTCCTGCCTCGGCCTCCTGAGTAGCTGGGATTACAGTGCCCGCCACCATGCCCAGCTGATTTTTGTATTTTTAGTAGAGACGGGGTTTCACAATGTTGACCAGGCTGCTCTTGAACTCCTGACTTCAAGCCATCCTCCAGCCTCGGCCTTTCAAAGTGCTGGGATTATAGGCGCGAGCCACTGCGCCTGGCCTTATGTAATATATTGAAGCTTAAAAAGCCAGAAGGAAGGAAATGAAGCAGTGGTACTGAGAGATTTAATTAATCAGGTTCACAGACAGTCATCCCCCAATAGCATCCTGTCCTCACTGATGGCTTTTCTAAAGCATCACCTCTCATGTGACTTTGAGGGATACTGCTGGATCAGTGACAGAGCCTTGTTGTCCACTGATCGCTTACTGCAACTGTCATAAGCTCTGAATTCTGGTTACTTCTTAGACTGTTACAAAGCAATTTGAGCTTTTGCTTATTTTTATCTGTTAGAATCTGTGGTATTATGTTATTAGGATTTGGATGAGGACTTTCTAAATCATCTGTAGTTAACATTCCCCAAAAACAAAAGCGAACCAAGAAAAACCTTTCAATATTGTGTTGGTGGTTGATATAGGAAGTATTGTGCAAAGGAACTACTTAGTAAAATGTGAGACTTAAAAATAACAAAATGTACAGTAGTCCCCCTTTATCCACAGGGGATATGTTCCAAGACACCCAGTGGATGCTTGAGACTGTGAATAACACTGAACTCTATGTATATAATTTTTTTCCTGTACACGCCTATGATAAAGTTTAATTTATAAATTAAAGTGCAGTCAGAGGTCAACAACAATAACAGAGAAATTATAACAATATGCTGTAATAAAAGTTGGGTGAATGTGGTCTCTTTCTCTCAAAATATGTCATTGTACTGTTTTCACCCTTCTTGTAATGACATGAGACTATACAATGCCTGGGTGATGAAATGAAGTGAGGTGATGAAATGAAGTGAGGTAATGAAATGAAGTGATGAAATGAAATGATATAGCCATGGTGAGGTAGCGTTGGGCTACTATTCATCTGGAGCACAAGCATTTGATACCACAACAGTTGATCTGATCACCAAGAAGGCTACCAAATGACGCGTAGGTGGGGAACATATACAGCATGATGTGCTGGACAAAGGGAAGATTCGTATCCCAGGTGGGATGGAGAGAGATGGCTTGAGATTTCATCACACTAGTCAGAATAGCACTTATATATTTATATACAAATAAAACATACATTTTATACAAATAAATCTTACACATTTTTTCCTTCTGGAATTTTTTAGTATTTTTGGACCGTTGTTAATCACAAGTAACTGAAACCTTGAAAGGAGAAACCCAGATAATGAGGGCTGTTGTACTTTTAGATTTTTTTTTTTTTTTTTTTTTTTTTAAATAAGACAGGGTCTTGTTCTGTCACCCAGGCTGGAGTACAATGGTGCAATCATGGCTTATCACAGCCTTGAGCTCCTGGCCTCAAGGGATCCTCCCATCCCAGCCCGCTGAGTAGCTGGGGCTACAGGCATACACCACCATGCCTGGTTAATTTTTTAATTTTTTGTAGAGACAGGGTCTTGCTATGTTGCCTTGCTATGTCTTGAATTCCTAGCCTCAAGCAATCCTCCTGCCTCAGTCTCCCAAAGTGCTGCATGAGCCACTGTGCCCAGCCACTTATAGACTTTTTTTTTTTTTTTTTTATACGGAGTCTCACTCTGTTGCCCAGGCTGGAGTGCAGTGAGTGGCACAATTTCAGCTCACTGCAACCCTGCAACCTGTGCCTCCCAGGTTCAGTCAATTCTCCTGCTTCAGCCTCCTGAGTAGCTGGGACTACAGGCGCATGCCACCACGCCCAGCTAAATTTTGTGTTTTTAATAGAGATAGGGTTTCAACATGTTGGCCAGGATGGTCTCGATCTCCTGATCTCATGATCCACCCACCTTGGCCTCCCAAAGTGCTGGGATCACAGGCATGAGCCACTGCGTCTGGCAAATATTTGCTTTTGAAAGTATGTTCTTTCTTGGAAAAAAATGGTTTATGGGTCATTATTTGTCCCTGTAATCCCAAATTCATGCAGAATACAATAATACATAGATAATTCTCATCTGGTCTATATTGACTTCTAAAAGGATAAGAGGTGGATCATGCAATACTTATGGAAGATTGAAATAATTAATTGTTCAGGATTTAAAAGAGTTAGTAAGTTTCAGGAAAACCATAATAGTATGTCCCTCTTATTTTTTTTCTTTTCTTTCTTAAGGCCTTGGTGTCAAATCTTATATCAACCAAAGAAGAGTTAATGAAACTACGACAGATCCTTAGACTCTTGAGACTCAGGTGCACAGAAAATGATGGCATATGTTTGCTCAAGATTGTGTCGGCTCTGTGGGAGAAATGGCTGAGTTTGCTGGAAGCTGCTAAAGAGTGGGAGATGTGGTGCGAAGAACTGAAGCAGGAATGGAAATTTGTCAGTGAAGAAGTGAGTGCTTCATTTTCAACAAACCATGTAGTTTCTAACATGTTATTTAAATTGTTTTATTACTTTCACCTTGTTTTTCTATAAAACGAGTCCTTAGCCTATACCATTTGTGCACATCACTTATACATGATACATAAATGTTTATAGATGTCAGGCCTTATTAAGATAACCTGCAAGAACTTATTCAGATTATTTTATAGTAGTGCCTTTATTGATAGCAGATAATTCTTATTAATAAGTGACTACTAGCTGGTTTGAGTTTTACAATCTTTATTGTGAAAATAACCCCTCTCAGAAATAACTGTCTCTACATTATACTAAAGGTTTAGAATTAGGTAATATGTGTAATCACCAAATAATTTTGAAATTATCTATAATTTTCAACTATGGAAATTAACTGTAATTGTTAAATGTGGACCTAAAAATATATGAGGTTATGATGTTCTTTTTGAAAATAGTCTCAAAACCTGCATGATATATATCAATCACAAATGTTAATTTAACCTTGGTTCAGGATTTAGGTATGAACTATATTTAGAAAGAAAATTAATTTAGAAAGTTAAAGATAGCCGGGTGCAGTGGTTCACCTATGTAATCCCAGCACTTTGGGAGGCTGAGACAGGAGAATCGCTTGAGCCCAGGAGTTCTAGAACAGACCAGGCAATGGAGTGAACCCCATCTCTACAAAAAATAAAAAAAAATCTGGGCATGGTGGCACATGCCTGTAGTCCCAGCTTCTTGGGAGGCTGAGGTGGGAGGATCTCTTGATGAGAGGTCAAGACTGCAGTGAGCCATGATCATGCCACTGTATTCTAGCATTCCAGCCTGGGCAACAGAGTGAGACACTGTCTCAAAAACAAACAAACAAAAACACAACGTAAAATTATCTTAGGATGAAATGCTTAGCACTATTGTATTATCTTGCTTATAACTATTATCCTTAAAAATGAATTTTATGTCAGTGGTCCTGGTGAGGCCTGACTAGTGAATAGTCTCTTGAAATGTTAAAATAAACTTTGTAAATTACACTTTTGGTTGGGGCTGCTGGCACCAGTGCTTGCCTGTCCATAGTGGTACCATTTATTGAGTTACTATGCTGTGCTGAGAAGGCAGTTCACACCTGTTCTCACTGAATCTTTGCATTGTCCCTGGGAAGTAAATTTTATCACCATTTTATCGATGGGGAAACTGAAGCACTGATAGATTGAGTAGTGGCACAAGGTCCCCAGGTAGAGATTGATTAAGCTGTAAACCCCTGTAGGCTGGGGCTGGGGCTGTCCTGCTCACTGCTGTAACCTTGGAACCTGGCTAGGGCCCTGCGCTTAGTGGGCACTTAGTAAATATTTGTTGAGGGACATCTCTTATTCAAATTCAGGTCTGGGCTAATTCTAAGATTTTGCTCCTTTTATTTTATCACATTATTGCTATATACCCATTTACAATTATGTGTTATTAATTCAGACTCCATTCATATAGAACTTTCTAATTATTCACATAAGCATTTGACAAAATCTGCTAACAAAATATTTTTCAAAGAGTAGCACAAGCAAAAAAAAAATGCTTCCCTGTAATAACAATAATAAAAACAACTACTAAATTGAGCAATTATTGTGTGACAGGATAGTTCAGAGCACTATTCAAGAATTCTGTGAGGATATTTTTATTATCCTTACTTTGTAGATGAGGAAAGTGAGACACAGTGAGACTGAGTAACTTGCTCAAATTCACAAGGGGTAGAAGAGGATTCAAACTTAGACGCTGGTGCTTAGTCATTAATCTGTCAACTTACATGATATTTACATACATCAAATTGATATAAGATTTTAGTGTAGCTTTTATCCATTCAATAAAAAGTATATCATCTAACAGCCCATACATGTAAGCTTCTGTTAGCATGATTGGTGCTTTTATATATGACAAAGTGAATTTCTGCTTTAAACCTGTCATCTATAGTAACATAATAATCCAGTGTTTATGAAATAAAGTTTATATTAGCAGACTTTTTTAAAAATTAAATGCCTGTTTGTAAGTTTACAAATTAAAAACTAAATTTAAATTTTGATAGAACTTGTGTCCCCCTAAAATTTTACCTCCCTGTTTTCTTAAACAGAATCTCTTTACTATAACTATTCACTTGTGTTATTCAGAATCATCATTTTATGCTTCAATGATCATAATGTGCTAGAAGAACGTCACATTGTCAAAGATAATTGGAGATGTGAGGCCGGCTTCTTCCACTTGCACCAACAGTCATTTCTTTGTTGGGTCTCTTTTCTGCTGGTTCTGGGTTTTTTGGTCTCCTTCATTGGATTTGCTTATGATGCAACTATGGGTCCTTCTCCCTCTCTAGACCGGACTTTACAATTGACCGTGAACCTGAAAGTTTTATAACCAATTTGATTAGGATCCCATGTCTAAGGAAAATCATCAAGGTATTGCAAAGCCTCTTCTAGGTGGAAAAGTGAATGCACAGGCTTTTTGGCAACTATTTTACTGATGCTAGGGCTGTCTTCACACTTTTTAGTGTAAAATATGTTGTTCTGACAAGTGCACACGGTCACATGATCACCAGCAAAATCAAGGTTTAAGACAATTCTGTCACCCTAGAAGTTTCCCTCGTTCCTCTTTGTGGTCAGTGCCTTCCATAACCTCCAGCCCCTGGAACCATTAATCTGTTTCTGTTCTCATAGTATTTCCATTTCCAGAATGTCATATCCATGGACTCCTTACAGTTTGTGGCCTTTTGAGTTTACTTTTTTTCACTAAGCATAATGCACTTGAAATTCTTGCTGCTGCTTGTATTAGTAGTTCATTTCTCTTTATTCCTGAGTAGTATTGCTTTGGGTGGGTGAATTCAGTTTGTTTATTCATTCCCAAGTTGAAGAATTGCCTGGCTTTGGGGTAAAATTATTGTCCTAATAAAAATTGTGGCCAGGAGCAGTGGCTCACGCCTGTAATCCCAGCACTTTGGGTGGCCTAGACAGGTGGATCACGAGGTCAGGAGTTCAAGATCAGCCTGGCCAAGATGGTGAAACCCTGTCTCTACTAAAAATACAAAAAAAATAGCCAGGCATGGTGGCAGGTGCCTGTAATCCCAGCTGCTCGGGAGGCTGAGGCAGAGGATTGCTTGAACCTAGGGCGTGGGAGGTTACAGTGAGCCGAGATCATGCCACTGCACTCCAGCCTGGGTGACAGAGAGAGACTCCGTCTCAAAAAAAAAAAAAAAAAAAAAAAGAGATTGTTCTCCCTCTTGTATTCCCCCTTCTCAATCACTTACCAACTTCACAGTGGACACCAGAGCTTGGGACTGAGGCTTGCAAATGGTAGTTTATTTTGGAAAGTGATCCCAGGGAACAGGAGTGGTAGATGAGGGGAGCCGAAACAGGAAAGGTCTGAGCCTTTATTCTTTTTACTCTTACTGGATTGTGCTTGCTACAGCTGCCCATTTCTGGTTATTATCAAGTCAAATCTGCCAGTTTCTGGTGTGTAAGCACCAAGAGGTGCCCCATTAAATCCTGGATTACAGACACAGTTTTTTCAACCCTGATGCACATTGGAAACCCTAGATGTACAATTCCCCCATCTATGTAACAATTTCTTTATTTGCATGCTAGTTTCCAGCAGGGGGACAGAAAATGATACAATGGAAACCCTTATCTCATTTCCTGGTGTAAGTGTAGCTGTCTGGCAAAGAACTAGGACTTCTAATTCAACTGAATTTAGGTTTGAGGTGATGAGAAGCACCCATTGCGCACACCTAGGTCTCTTGGACAGTGGCCAGTCTACATCTGCATCCGTGTATTCTAGTTATTGGGTACCCAACTGGGTCATACAGCCCAAACAGCAGGGCAGCTTATACCACAGCCCAACCCTGCTGCGGTGCTTTTTCCCCAGGCCCCTCTCGACATTGGCAGCATTCTGATAAATGCATCTGAGCAGTAATCCCAAGGATAGCATATACTGCCTCCTAGACCCCAAAAGGTCCGTTCAGTGCTGTGTCTCTTTTTTAGTGGTAGAGTTGTAAGATTGAACAACTTGACCTTTATCTTAGAGGAGAAGTCCTGGCATGCCCCAGGCCACTAGACCCCTGATACTGGGGCTCCTGAATTTTCACAGGCTTTGTTTCTCAGCCTCTGGCATGTCTGACTGGACATTCAGGTCCTCACCATTTCAGTTAGCATGATATCATAAACATAGATGACTGGAGTGATATCCTGTAATGTCATGACTGCAAGATCCATGAATGAGTTTGAACGTGGAGCAGGAGAGTTAACCATCACTGAGGCAGGATTTGATAAATGAGTACTGCAGCCGAGGGGTGGGCCAGGGGATTCGAGGGGAGGCGTAAGAATGACCTGATTCAGGGGCCTTTGAGACTTTTTTCTACATCTTAGTTGAGTTCAGGGCTGGTGGAACTCCCAGTTTCTAGATATGTGATGTAATAGGTTATGTATTTCTGAGTTCTGTGTACACCACTATTGATAAATACTTCACTGGTTTGGTAATTCTGGCTGCTTTACCTTTGTTGTGTGTCAGGGTAATGAGAACCTGCTGGCCTTACTTTTTTAGCATACAGGGATTGGAAGTGAAAGAAAAGAGACCAGCAGAAAAATTTTCCATATCCAATAGTTGCCCAACCTCTTATACTTAGTGAAAGCAGTTTGGTGGAGCTCATGTGCTTATCTCAGGAGAAATGTTGCTTTATCCATCTGAAATCTGAAGGAGAAATACATTATTTATGAAGATATTCAACAGCATTTCCTTCAGCCCACCACAGCAGTACTCCATTTCAGTCACACATCTACATGAGCAATAGCTGGGCATTATGGGATTCTGATAGTAGAGGATTAATATTCCCAGCTATAGGAAAACAGACTAGGATATGGCACTAGGAACCCTTTGAAGAGAGAGCATACAAAAATTATGTCTACTTCAGGTCCTGAAATGTAATTGTATATTTTACTTATTTTAGTTCTTTTTGTTTTTTGAATTAGATTGAACGAGAGGCAATTATTTTAGATAATCTTCAGGAAGAACTCCCTGAAATTTCCAAAACAAAAGAGGCAGCCACCACAGAGGAACTCTCTGAGCTGCTAGACTGTTTATGCCAATATGGAGAGAACGTGGAGAAGCAACAGCTGTTACTGACTCTACTTCTTCAGCGCATCAGAAGTATCCAGAATGTTCCTGAAAGCTCAGGGGCTGTGGAAACTGTTCCAGCATTTCAAGAAATTACTTCTATGAAAGAACGATGCAACAAGTAAGATTTATGAAAAACTATTAAGGACGTGTGCTTGACAATTATGGCTCAAAATTTAGAAAATCTAAAAGTATAGAATAATGGCAAATGATACAATAGAATTGAGGTGAGACAACACTGATAGGTATAAAAAGGGATGGAACAGATTAGTAACTATAATTAAGCACACATTTTCCATCCTGGTATTAATGAGGGTGAATGTCCTTCCAATTTCCTTTTTTATCATTTGTGGGTTTTTTGTTTGTTTGTTTGTTTTTGCCCTTTTTCTAGTTTAGTAATGCATATTCATTATAGGAAATTCAGGCCGAGCGCGGTGGCTCACTCCTGTAATCCCAGCACTTTGGGAGGCTGAGGCGGGCAGATCACGAGGTCAGGAGATCAAGACCATCCTGGCTAACGTGGTGAAACCCCGTCTCTACTAAAAATACAAAAAATCAGCCGGGTGTGGTGGCAGGAGCTTGTAGTCCCAGCTACTCGGGAGGCTGAGGCAGGAGAATGGCGTGAACCCAGAAGGCAGAGCTTGCAGTGAGCCGAGATCGCGCCACTGCACTCCAGCCTGGGTGACAGAGTGAGACTCTGTCTCAAAAAAAAGGAAATTCAGAAAATGTGAAAATTACAAAAATTAATATAAAAATCTACCTTAATGTCACCACTCAGCAATAACCACTGCCAATCATTTTTTCTCCTTTTTTACTATGATTTTGTTTTTAAATAAATAGAGATCAAAATACTTGTACTGTTTTGTATTCTGCTGAGTAATTTACCAGCAAATCATGTTTGTCTTCCTATGCCATTAAATGTTCTTTTAAAATGTAACTAGCTGTGGCCGGGCATGGTGGCTCACGCCTGTAATCCCAGCACTTTGGGAGGCCAAGGTGGATGGATCACCTGAGGTCAGGAGTTCGAGACTGGCCTGGTCAACATGGTAAAACCCCGTCTCTACTAAAAATACAAAAAATTAGCCGGGCATGGTGGCGCACGCCTATAATCCCAGCTACTCAGGAGGCTGAGGGAAGAGAATCACTTGAACCCAAGAGGTAGAGGTTGCAGTGAGCTGAGATCATGCCATTGCACTCCAGCCTGAAACGTCCATCTCAAAAAATAAAAATAAAAAATGTAACTAGCTGTATAATATTCTACCATGAAGATATGCCATAATGTGTTAAACCAAGCCCCTAATAAGGAATCTTTAAATTACTTTTTTTTAATTTTCATAACAACACTGCAGTGAATATTCTTATGCCAGAATCTATATTTTCATCTGTGACTAATTCATTGAGAAAGATAGTGAGAAGTAGAATCACTGGGTCAAAGAATATAGTAGTTTTATGGCTAGAGGTGCTCTGAAGAAAAAGCAAACTTGTTTTTTCTCTCTACCCTTACACACCATGCAACAAAGCACTTCTGACACCATGTTGGTTATGGGGGTTCCCCACACATCAGGCAGTTCTCCAGCAGACACCAATTCATTTCTCACACTATCCACCCGGAGACAGCATCAGATCACACAGGCTGGGGGCTCAATCCATCCCACAAGAGGACCTCTACTTCAGATGCCAATCATCAGTAGTAGGTTGCTACCTATACTTCTCCTTTTTTTTTTTTTTGAGACAGAGTCTTGCTCTGTCGCCTAGGCTGGAGTACAATAGCATGATCTCGGCTCACTGCAAACTCGGCTTCCTGAGTTCAAGCGATTCTCCTGCCTCAGCCTCCTGAGTAGCTGGGATTACACGCATGTGCCACCACACCCGGCTAATTCTTTGTATTTTTAGTAGAGGAGGGGTTTCACCATGTTGCCCAGGGTGGTCTCGAACGCCTGACTTCAGGTCATCTGCCCGCCTCGGCCTCCCACAGTGCTGGGATTACAGGCGTGAGCCACTGCGCCCCGCTGGTACACTTCTGGCTGATAGGCTATAAATCAAGGGATCCTTTGATACCTTTCTTGGGTTCAATTAATTTGCTAGAGTGGCTCACAGAACTCAAGAAAACACTTTACTCATGTTTACCAGTTTATTAATAAAGGATATAATGAAGGATACAGATAAACAGCCAGATGGAAGAGGTGCCTAAGGCATGGTATAGGAAGGGGCCTGGGGCTTCCCTGCTCTCTCTAGGTGGTGGAACCCCCAGGCTTTCAGCAATCCAGAAGCTCTCTGAGCCCTGTCTTTTGGGTTTTTTTATGGAGACTTCATTATGTAGTCATGATTGATTATGTAATTGGCCATTGGCGATCAACTCAACCTTCAGCTTCTGTCCCCTCCCCCAGAGGTTGGGGGTGTGTGTTGGAGGTAGGGGTGGTACTGAAAGTTCCAACCTTTTAATCACATAGTTGGTTCCCCTGGCAACCAGCCCTCATCCTGAGGCTACTCAGGATCCCACCTAGAGTTGCCTTCTTAGAACTAAAGATGCTCCTATCACTCAGGAAATTACAAAGGGCTTAGGAGCTCTGTGTCAGGAACTGGTCAAAAATCAAGTATTAGAACAAAAGACTCTCCTAGCTAGCACTCCTATCTACAAGGGTATTAAGAGCTCTGTCTCAGGAACTACAGCAGAGATCAAGTATATATTTATTATATCACAATATCATAGATACTTACCAAATAACCCTCAGGAAAGATTTTACCCACTTCAGTGCCTCTTCTGATATTTGCTGCATCCATAGCAAAATGGGTCAGCTTAAGAGAAGAAGCCCAGTGGGATTGTCTGTCCCCAAGAGCCCACCTGTGATTCCATTCACACCTCTAAGTCATTTTCATGTGAGCTCAAGGATTACGTGGAGAAAAAGAGAGGACAGAAATGTCAGTTACAGTGTAAAGTGTGAAAAGAGAGTATTTGAGGCGAAAGATTTGGAGAGGTTTTTGATTAAGTGGTAGATTTTGTACCTGTTTTTATATGTGGTACATCCATTATTGAAAATTGTTACTTTTTTTCTTAGAGGAAATAACCATCCTTTAGTAGCTATTCAGGCATTTCATTAATTGTTGCAATAAAACTGTTTCATTTTATTCATAGAAGAGCAGGATAAAGAAACAATTATATTTTGACGTTCTCTTTTAGGCTTCTTCAGAAAGTTCAGAAAAATAAAGAATTGGTGCAGACTGAAATCCAAGAAAGACATTCCTTCACAAAAGAGATAATTGCTTTGAAGAATTTCTTTCAACAGACCACAACTTCATTCCAAAATATGGCATTCCAGGATCACCCAGAAAAGTCAGAACAATTTGAGGTAAGTGAGGAATGAATTAGTGAATGTGGCAGGTACAGGCCCACAGTCTTGTATCCAAAGTCCTTGGGGTAGAGATAACTCAGTGGCTGGGTTTGGGGGAGCGGTCTGGGGAGAGAGAGAGAGGCATAGGCAAAGGCCCTGTGGCATGGTATGGGCAGAACCAAGGGAGAAGATCAGTGTGGCTGGAGAGCAGAGAACAGAGTTGAAACAAGGCTGGAAGGTAGGCCAGTCTGGACCAAGCAGCCTTCTTTCAACTATGTTTCCAGTGTGTTTGGTGAACAAGGGCCTCAGACCACTCTTAAGTAGTATGTTACATTACTCCTTTAGTAGGACATGGCGCCTTGTCTCTGACAGGGTCTATGTACACCCTACAGGTCATCTGGAATCTCATTTCTTCAGAAGAATCTCCTCTTTCATTCCAGTCCAATAGTGACAGCCCAAAAGTATGTTTGGAAGTTTATTCAAAAGTCACGTGTTGGCCGGACATGGTGGCTCACACCTATAATCCCAGCACTTTGAGAGGTCCAGGCAGGCAGATCACTTGGGGTCAGGAGGTCAAGACCAGCCTGGCCAACATGGGGAAACTCCGTCTCTACTAAAAATACAAAAATTAGCCAGGCATGGTAGCGTGTGCCTATAATCCCAGCTACTGGGATGCTGAGGCAGGAGAATCACTTGGACCCAGTAGGTGGTGGTTGTAGTAAGCCGAGATCGTGCCGCTGCAATCCAGCCTGGCTCCATCTCAAAAAAAAAAAAGTCACATGCTGTCTAAACAGAACTTTTGGTTATTATATTGGAAAGTAAAGAAGCAGTCTTCATGGGGAAGCCTTCTAAGTGTACCTCTGAATGAAAGCCTGTACTCCTGGACTAGGTGTAGATAAAACGGGATGACACTTACTTATTAAACCCCATCTTTGAATGGCATTGTTCTCTAACTTTCTCTCTCTAGATTTGTCCTCTGCTGAGGATTAAGAAAAGGAAAACAATGACACATTACAGAGTCATTTAAAATTGTAATCATTCTTCAGTACAGTGACTCAATCCATGAACACAAATAATGCTACTGAACAGCTACTGTAAAAACAAAACAAACAACAAAAAAGCCACAGTCAAGTCAAGAAGTATTTTTCCACTTGATCTTTGGGAAACTTTCCCATACAAATGAGTTTCTCCTTTATAATTACTGCAGGAGAAGGTAGATCAGATTTGGTTTCTAGGCCACAACCAATAGACTATTTGTTCAGGTTTCTTTTATCTCCTAAAAACCTACATTCTTTGTATGGAACTGGAACCTTCCCTTTTGAAAGCAGTTGAGCTCTGCAGGGCTGTCTAATTACATGAAAGTAGACACTTCTGCTCCAAGTGTGGGGCTTTTAGTGGCCTTAAATCATTGTGATGATAATGGAGGAAGAAGTAGAAATAGCAACACGTTAAAACAACAACAAAAAACTTCTTTGAAACTTTTTTTTTTTTTTTTTTGCTGCTTGCAGCTTTTTAGATCAGGACTGCAATGGAGATACAATTAAATCCTAAAGGTACTTTAGAAGCAGGGGGTGTTGTAATGTCTTTTCTAGATAATGGTGTGACACTATGAAGAGATATCAAGTTTAATTCTTACAAATTAGAAAGCATCATCTGACTAAACTGAGTGTCTCTGGGGCTTAATCAGCTTGTATCACTAGTGGGGTTTTGTCATGCAAACTGCACTCCTTTAAATCATAAGGATGTGCTGGAAGGCTGCTTTCACTTTTTAGAATTAAACTTTTCCCCCAGTCTCGTGAGTATTGCAACTCTCTTAATGCTTTTAGGAGCTTCAAAGCATCCTTAAGAAAGGGAAACTAACTTTTGAGAATATTATGGAAAAACTGCGAATCAAGTATTCCGAAATGTACACCATAGTCCCTGCAGAGATTGAATCCCAGGTGGAAGAATGCAGAAAAGCTTTAGAAGACATAGATGAGAAGGTAATAATAATGTCTGTACTACTGTTATTATTTACGGAGCTGAATGACTATCAGGAGGAAAATATCATTTAATGTCAAATTCCATTTGCCAGGATTTCAGCTATAACTTCTTTTAAGAGTTAAGTGACCATCGTGTCTATTGAATGCTAAGATAAAGATGCTCTAAATATGTGACATAAGATAACAGAATTAGATGATTTATATGTATTTAATTGTCAAAATGCTTATTCTTCTCTTGCATTTTATAATACAGTTATATAATATTTTTTACTGGTTTTGTTTGCTTTTGTACAACCACTGTACAACCACTTGAACATTTTGGATGTTAATACTTTGCTTTAAAATACATTCTTTGAAACATTTTGACATTACAACTAAGGCAATAAGAATACAAATTTCACAACTCACTAGGAATAGCACTTAGTATGTAGTGTCTGTCTAACGATGATGTTAACAGAATTCTCATGAAAAGTACCTGAGCAAATCTTTATACCTGAAAGTCCAGATTTAAAGAAAAGGTGGAAAATATTTTATAATACTAGAAACATAGGAGCTTAGCAAGATATTTTGATTAGATTGTAGAAAGACAGCCCATATCAAACAGAAGAAAATTCTGTTTGGTCTGGTATCCACAGAAGGATTTTTTTTTTTTTTTTTTGTCTAGAATACTTACAACTTGATAAATAAAATAGATCTTAAACACAAAAAATTCAGATTTCAAACTTAGTTGCTAGAATATGTCATTAATTCTATGACAGATTTCTCAGGAAAATCTCACATGTAAAAAACATGTAAACTCTTAACGTATATTTATAACAAATCTTTTTTAGTTAACACACAAGAAAACCTATTTCGTACTTTCTCAAGGATCTCGTTACTATTGATTTTATTTCAGGAAAATACTAAATATTTTGAGAGAAACTAAATGTTATGCTCATGAATACTTATGAAAATCCCTAGCAGAGTAAATTAATAATCAAAATCAGTCGTTCAAATTCAAGGTAGAAAATTTCCGCTATGACCCTCTATATTTGTAACAAACAGCAACTAATTTTTATTGTGTGATACAGCTAAAGGAAGTTCAAGGATCCCGGGGGACAGACATAGTAACATTGTGTATAATTCAAATGGCTACATATGTTTCCTAAATCATGATCTGTCCTAATGTATCTCAATGGTATACATTTCTGCCAGGAGAATAAGTGCTCAAAATATCAGAAAACTTTTCTTGTGGTAATTTGTGACACAGCCAGCCATGAAAAGCTAATATGGAACCAAAGTGGGATTTTTTTTTTTTCTAATAATATTGACTGCAGTATGGTCTGGGGAATAAAGACATGATATAAAAGTATCAAGGCCTGATATTGTGAATAGAGCCTGGGACTCAATCTAGGGACTTGGGCGCTTCTTGGGACAAGTTCAGCTACTTCCTTGACATATGACTGTAGCAAGTCATTTAGTCTGTGTTACAGTTTCAGCATCTGTATACTGTCTGCACAGGATGATTTTAGTCTCAATGGTTATACAGATAGAGTTGTTTTTTTTTTTAATTTACAAAACAAAGGATTATACAAAAGCATAAAGTATTATTTGGTTATTTAGTAGCTGCTTGGAGAAAGCCTTATCAAATAGCAAAACAAGAACACACATCAGTCAGGTATTTGGAAAGTGATACATTCAACATTCATTTATTATCTTTCCTAGCTCAAGGTTTTTTTTGTTTCTTTTTAAGAGAATCGTTTAGATAAAAAAAAATTACGCTGTTCAGTAGCTAAGTTTCTGATGGCTGGGAAAACATCTACAAATGGTTACACAGAGAATAATTAAGCTCTGTGCATCCTCAAGAAATAGCAATTTTAGAAGGTTGTTTCACCCAAATGAATACTATGATTGGAATTACATTTTTTTAAAAAAGTCAGCTTGAGAGTAAGTTTGGTTTTACTGAAAACAGATCTATGCAGATAGATTCTCATAAAATGGAAAGATTGTATAAAAATAATTTATCCCCCAGGAATTCATTTATATCATTTGATCCATATGGAAATGTTTCACACAATCCACTCAGTAATTTTGCCCAACACAGCATATATCTGTAATACATGTTACAATACATGTATTACAGTACAAATAAAAAACCAATTTTTATTTTATTTAAGATGAGATTTAAAAGGTGAAGTAAACACACCTGCCATTTATTAGTCTTCCTATCCACCTTCTCATTAATGCATTTGCCAGAATTTCTTCCCCCAGCCCTTAAAAAATTTTTACAAGTTAAAACAGAGTGACTACCACTTTTGTTGTTCGAACCTATGAATAAAGTGCAGACAACCTCTCTAAGCCAAATGCGTCTTTGTCTCTTTCACAGATTAGCAATGAAGTCTTAAAAAGCTCACCATCATATGCAATGAGGAGAAAAATAGAAGAAATTAACAATGGGCTTCATAATGTTGAAAAGATGTTGCAGCAGAAAAGCAAAAATATTGAGAAAGCTCAAGAAATTCAAAAGGTAAAATCCTCCTTTAACTCCCTTCAGCATTTGGTACTTCTGACCCACTCCTGCCTTGTTCATCAGTCACCACAGGGTGAGTTCTTTGAATTAATCTGAAGCACAGAAATTGTAAACCAAATCCACAGGGGCATCACCTAGAGAGGCTTGATAGGGAAAGTTGCATTTAAAAATTATTCTCTTGGCCAGGTGCGGTGACCCACGCCTGTAATCCCAGCACTTTGGGAGGCCAAGGTGGGATGATCACTTGAGCCTAGGAGTTTGAGACCAGCCTGGCCAACATGGCAAAACCCCATCTCTACTAAAAATACAAATATTAGCTGGGTGTGGTGGCACAAGACTGCAATTCTAGCTACTCGGGAGGCTGAGGCACGAAAATCACTTGAACCCAGGAGATGGAGGTTGCAATGAGCCGAGATCATGTCACTGCACTCCAGTGTGGGTGACAGAGTGAGACTCTGTCTCAAAAAAATAATTCTGTTTTTCCATGGTGGGCATATACCCAAACTTCTGAGAGCCTGTGATTGTGAACTAGCATTTTCACAAGTAAAGGAAAGTAAGGATCTTATCTTGGGGATACTGATACTAAAAATCATTCAATAGAATATGAAAAATATTAAAGCTCTTTTTTAGACTGCAAAGGTTAAATAAAAATAAAAATTCCAAATTTATTTCCCTTGTAAAATATCTTACAAAATAAAATCTTAGGCAAAACTGTACATAAACACTATTCTCCTTCTTAATTCGCAAGTAAACTCCAGCATAGGGAAAGGATTCTTGTTCTAATCTATGTCTTAAGGAAATGTTTTAATAATTTGGGGCTTTTAAAATAGGTCAGAGTATGGCTCACTATTGGACAAATCTTAAGCAGAGGAACCTAATTTAACAAGTTAGATTTTCCTAGTCCTCAAGATAGGGAAAAAAATGTTCTTAAGCAAACATTAAGAATTGAATATTTTACCTTTGAAATTTTCCTCTGCCCAGCGAAGTTCAGATTTGAATCCAACCTATTGGTTTCTTGAGTCAAAAGCAGTTGCTCCTAATACATGTTTCTAGAGCTTTCTGCCTCTGCATTCATCCCAAGTCAGCAGATAATTTTCTTTTCTTTTTTTAAATTTTTGAGATAGGGTCTCACCCTGTCACCCAAGCTGGAGTGCAGTGGTGTGATCAAAACTCACTTCAGCCTTGACCTCCCTGGCTCAATTGATCCTCCCACCTCAGTCTCCCAAGTAGATGAGACTGCAGGTGTGCGCCACTACACCTGGCTAAGTTTTGTAGAGACGGTGTTTCCCTGTGTTGTCCAGGCTGGTCTTGAACTCCTGGCCTCAAGCAGCCCACACACCTTGGCCTCCAAAATTGTGTGAGCCACTGCACCCAGCCCAGATATTTTTCTTTGTTTTATTTTTTCACTTGAAATTATTTTGTAGATTAAGAGAGCGTGTGTGTGTGTGTGTGTGTGCGCGTGCGTGTGTGTGTATGAACTAGTGTAAATAGGTTCAAGTCTTTCCCCAAGCCCTTTTTAAACAGAATGTTTTGCTTGTCACTCTTGAGAGATGAGGGCTATATTGACCTTGTTTGTGTCAGTCATCTCTAAAAATGTCCAGGTCTTTCTGTTCCCCTACAGCTAATTTGTAGTGAAATGAATACAGTTGTAGTTAGGAGAGCTCAGGAAAAGTGTTTTTCAGTTTAGATCACAAATTGCTGGGTATAAATTAACAACTGTTCATGTGATGTTGTTTCTGTGATGTTTTAGTAGCATTTATAAATGTAAATACTGTGTGAAAACCAGGCATTGCCTCCATAAACTATGACCTCTTCATTCAAGTTGACTTACGATTTCCTTCTCCAGAAAATGTGGGACGAGTTAGATCTATGGCATTCCAAACTAAATGAGCTGGATTCTGAAGTTCAGGACATTGTTGAACAGGACCCAGGACAGGCTCAAGAATGGATGGATAACTTGATGATTCCTTTCCAGCAGTATCAGCAAGTATCACAGAGAGCAGAGTGTAGAACCTCACAGTTGAATAAGGTATGGCTGTGACTCGTAATAGCTTCATATCATGTGGTGGTATTGAGATGGTGTTAAAGCAAAACAATATATTCAGAAACAGTCAGTTTCTGTTGAATTATCAGTTTTGGACTTGAAGCTGGGGCCATGGTAGGCTTGTGTGGGTGCTGAGGAGACAGATTTCAATGCTAGTGCAGGCAGGAAGTCTGATTGGGCAGACAGAACCAAGAATCCAGAAGTTGACCACAGCAAGAGCCAGGCAAACTGTTGGGAAGTCCAGGCTCCCCAACAGGTGGATAAAGACCAGTAATGGGAATTTAGGGCAGGTGGTCTCAGGAGTCTAGTAAGGGAGACAACAATGAGAAAGACTGTCATTCGGGGAAAAGATACCCTCTCTACCCTCCTTCCAAATAGGAGCTGTGGTTGGCTGAGTTGTGTCTGTGATTTAGCAAGAGTGAGGCAGCATCCTAGTCTTAGAAGAACTGTAGGGCAAGGTCCTGAACAGGAGGACAAAGTACAGTCCAGTTTTTAAAATGAAGCATAAAATGAGAACCAGAATACTTGCAAGGCTAACCCAGAACTTTGCTGAGGCCCATAACGTTGGAGTAGAACTGATTAAATCCTTTCCACCTATGGTCAGAGTTAGTCTTAAAAGTCAGAAGTGTCATAGCCTAGAGCAGGTGAATAAGTAGCCCCAGCCATGGGGAGCAGACATCTGCAAGGCCTGACACACCCCTGACTAACAGCTATTGACTCTTCATCTAGGAGTCATTCAGCTCCAGTAAAAGGCATCTGACTAAGTTTGGTCCTGCATCTCTTTCCCAGGCCACAGTTAAGATGGAGGAATATAGTGACCTTCTGAAGAGCACTGAGGCTTGGATAGAAAATACCAGTCATTTGCTGGCCAATCCTGCTGACTATGACTCTTTGAGGACACTGAGTCACCATGCTAGCACTGTGCAGGTAAGTGTTCTTCCAGGTTTTCTGCCACTCATAGCATCTACATAAAGATTCGTGGCTTAGCTGATTGTCTTGGTGCTTTTTTCCTCCTTTCCTGAAATACAACCTTACCGCTAACCATGTCAGTGGCAGAAGGAAGCTTGAGAGAGTGGCAAGCAGTAGACATGGATTTTGGAGACCAGGATTCAGCTCTTACTGTCCTGATAACTACTTTATGACTTTTTGGATAATTTAGTATATCTTCTATGGACCTCAGTTTCTCCCCATGAAATAAGAATGTGGGCGGATCACAAGGTTAGGAGATCGAGACCATCCTGGCTAACACGGTGAAACCCTGTCTCTACTAAAAATACAAAAAATTAGCTGGGCACGGTGGCGGGCGCCTGTAGTCCCAGCTACTCGGGAGGCTGAGGCAGGAGAATGGCGTGAACCCAGGAGGCGGAGCTTGCAGTGAGCCGAGATCGCACCACTGCACTCCAGCCTGGGCGACAAAGCAAGACTCCGTCTCAAAAAAAAAAAAGAATGTGCATAGGATAGTGCTGATGGTTTTGGTTGTTAGAATTCTAAGATGCCCCCCAATATTCCCATCCTCTGGTGTATATGACCTGAAAGAATAATACTTGAATGTGGGCAGGAATATGAATATGATGGGATAGTCCCTTCATTGACTAGGTTACGTTATATGATTAAGGTAATGGGGTAGTCACTCCCATAAGTACTTGATTAACATGATTATAAGGCTCTCTAATATGGGATTTTGGGATTTGGAATGCTCCACCGGTAAGTATAATACTTACATTCCAAAATTTGAAAAAGTCCAAAATCTGAAATGCTTCTGGTCTCAAGCATTTCAGATAAGGGCTACTCAGCCTGCAGCAGAGTGCAGAGAGATTCTTCTTGAGAAAGCGGCTATATTGTCAGAGGGCCATGGAGCTAGGGCCCAAAGGCTTTTTCTAGAAGCTGAGAGTCAATGAGAGCCAGCAAGGAAACAGGGAACCCAGTCCTACAGCTGAATTTTGCCAACAACCTGAATGATCTTCAAAGAGAACCCCAAGCTCCAGATGGCACCGGACTGCATCCTTGTGGCTCCCTGTAAGGAGGACTCACCTCAGCTATGCCTGGACTCCTTACCCTTGGACACTGTGAGATAACTTTGTTTTGTTTTAAGCCATTAAGTTTGTGGTAATTAGTTACACAGCAATAGAAAACGAACCCATGGTTCCTTCCACTTCTAACACACCATGATTCCAAATTTCCTGTCCTTGCTGGTACTCCACACATGCCCCACGTGTCCATGCTGGCTTACAAAGTCAAAACAAATGAAAGTGTTTTCCCACTTGAGGCCTCGGCTGCAAAACATCTTCCGGATGCTGAGTACTAGGGAAGTTGCATTGCGCAGGTGTGTTTCCCTTCTCTTATTCTGCCATGAGAAGGAATCCCTTAGAGAAAAGCTTATTTGGTAACAGTGTTTACAGAATCAGACTTCCAAGGTGATTCAGCTCCTTTTTTTATCTTTGGAATGGCACAGTGTGTTCCTAAGTGAGCTGCTGACCTCAGACCTCCCTGACGTTTGAGAATCGTTGGCATATTTTTTTCTTACGGTAACAGTTGTAAAGATGCTGCATTTCTACCCATTTTTTTTTCTTTTCTTCCCCTTGCTTGTGATTTTTTTTGCCTTCCCCCACTTGGATTAACTTTCCACATCCCCAAAGTTTGTCATTTTTAAACTCTTTATCACCTCCCTGATTCACTATTTTTGAGGACTTTACCAAGACAAGAGAGAGGAATGATGCTTTTTTTTTTTCCTTCAAATGCTTATTATGAGTTAAAAAAAAAAACTGTACAAAAGTGAGCTCAGGCAAAAGCAGCTGGGATTTTGCTACCTTCTACTGATACACATGTAAAAATGTAAAAGCATCTCTCAAACTTCAGGACATTCTAAATTGCTAGACTTTCTTTCTGAGCTAGAACTGAGGAAAGGAAGTAGGGACAAGGAAGGCTCGGGTTTATTTCTATGTGTCCCGATGTGTCCTAATCTCCTCCTGGGAAGTAAGTCCCAAATAACTAGTCCTATGTGAAATCCTCATTTGTGCAATAATCTTACTTTTAGGATGCCCTTTTCCATTTTCTAGCATATTCAGGTATTAGTTTTTATATTGACTTTTAAAGAAGTGTCAGAACTCTCAACTAAGCTTTAAATGTTTGTTTTAATTGCACTATACCCTTCTACCTGGATTGCATTTGTTAAAACAGGTCTTTGTAACCTAAAGATAATTCCACAAATACTACTGTTGTAAGAATAACTGAAACATACATTCATAAAATGACATTATAAAAATAGAAAACTAATTTTTTTTTTTTTTTGAGACGGAGTTTCACTCTTTTTGCCCAGCCTGGAGTGCAATGGTGCGATCTTGGCTCACCGCAACCTCCACCTCCCAGGTTCAAGTGATTCTTCTGCCTCAGCTTCCCCAGTAGCTGAGATTACAGGCGTGTGCCACCACGCTGACCTTATTTTGTATTTTTAGTAGAGACAGGATTTCACCATGTTGGCCAGGCTGGTCTTGAACTCCTGACCTCAGCTGATCTGCCCACCTCGACCTCCCAAAGTGCTGGGAGTACAGGCGTGAGCCACCACACCCGGCCTGTTTTTTAAATCAAATTTATTGAGGTATAATTTACATACAGTAAAAATATTAATACACCTATTTTAAGTAGCAGTTAGGTAAGTTTTGATAAAAGTGCAGTTGTGTAACCACCACCGCCATCAATATAAGGAACATCTCCATCTCCCAAGACGTTTCCTCCTGCCTCTTTGCAGTCAATCCCCTTTCACCTGTCTTCAACCCTAGGTGATCACTCACTGTTTCCTATTACTATAGTTTTGCCTTTTCTAGAATATCATATAGAGGGAATCAAACAGTATGTAGTCTTACGTGGCTCACTTGTTTCACTTAACATAATGCCTTTGAGATTCATCCAGGTTGTTACACTTAATGCATAGTTAATTATTTGATTGCCAAGTAGTGTTCCAGTTTTGGAAATAAGTTTGGAAATGAGTAGTTTGTTTATCTACCAGTTAATAGATATTTGGGTTGCTTCCAGTTTTGAGCTATATATTAGCTATTTTTGTGTAACATATTACTCCATAAGTTAGCAGCTTGAAACAACAAACTTATTATCACAGTTTCTGTGGGTCAGGAGTCCATGGGCATGGCTTAGCTAAGTATCTCTGGCTCAAGGTCTCTCATGAGAATGCGGTCAAGGTGTCGACAAAGGCTGCAGGCTCATCTGAAGGCTCGACTTGTGTGAGGGAGGAGGTGGGATCTGCTTCCAAGCTCATTCCCGTGGCTGTTGACAGGCCTCAAAAGATCTGCTTCTACTTACAGACACGTGGGCTCCTCCAGGAGTCTGCCTCACACCATGGCAGCTGGCTTCCCTCAGCATAAACAATCTCCAAGAGAGTGAGAGAGAGCTGTCAAGACAGAAGCCACATTTTTTTTTTTTCTTTTAGAGACAGGGTCTTGCTCTGTCACCCAGGCTGGAGTGCAGTGGCACAATGTCGGCTCACTGCAGCCTCCACCTTCTGAGTTCAAATGTTCCTCCCACCTTAGCCTCCCAGGTAGTTGGGACTACAGGCGCACACAACCATGCCTGGCTAATTTCTAAATTTTTGCAAAAAGGTTTCACTTTGTTGCCCAGGCTGGGCCACAGTCTTTGTAATCTAACCTTGGAAGTGACATCTCATCATTTCTGCCACATTTTATTAGAATTAAATTAGTAAGTCTGGCCTGCATTCAAGGAAGCTGATATAAGGGTATGAATACCAGGAGGTAGGGGTCATTCAGGGCTACCTTAGAGGCTGCTACCATAGGCTATTATGAGCAAAGCTGCTGTGAATGTTTATATATAAATCTTTGTGTAGACAAATGTTTTCATTTTATTTCAATGAATAAATACCTAAAAGTAGGATCTCTGACTTTTACGATGTGTTTAAATAAATAATAAACTGAGAAATTGTTTTCCAAAATGGCTGTATCATTTTTCTTTCCCACCAGCAACATCAGTTCTAATTGCTTCATGTTTTCAACAGCGCTTAATATTGTCTGCCTTTTAAATTTTAGCCATTTTAGTGACTTGCAGTGGTATTTCATTGTGGTTTAAACAGGTTTTCTCTAATGACTAATAATTTTGAGCATTTATTTATGTCTTTATTGGTCATTTGTACACTTCCTTTGTGAAGTATCTGTTCAATTTTTTTTGCCCATTTAAAAAATTGCATTGTCTTCTTGTTGAGTTGTAAGTTTTTTGTAAAATATTCTGAAAACCATTCTTTTGACATATATGTCATTTACAAATATTTTCTTCCAGTCTGCGGCTTGTCTTTTCATTCTTTTAACACTGTCTTTCAGAGAGCAAATGTTATTAATTTGATGAGGTCCAATGTATCAATATTTTCTTTTATGGATTATTCTTTTGTGTTGCATTCTAAGAAATCCTTACCTAACCCAGGGTTACAAAGATTTCTTCCTGTGTTTTCTTCCAGTAACTTGATAGTTTTAACTCTTACTCTCTTAGATCTATGATTCATTTCATGTTAATTGTTGCATAAGGTGTGATTGAAGGATCAAAGTTCTTTTTTTCCATGGGGATATCCAATTGTTTCTGCATCATTTATTGATAACAATCACCATTAAATTACTTCGGCACTTTGTTGGAAATCAATTGACCTTATACATGTGCATCTATTTCTGGGCTCTCCCTTCTGTTCAATTAATTTATATGTCTATACTTTCACCAATATGACAGTCTTCATTACTATAGCTTTACAGTAAGTCTTGAAATCAGGTAGCATCAATTCTACAACTTTGTCCTTTTTCAGATTTGTTTTGGCTAAATCAAGGCCTTTGTATTTCGATATAAATCTTAGAATCTGCTTGTTAATTTCTAAATAAAGGTCTGTGGGAATTTTGAGTGGGATTGCATTAGATTTGTAGATCAATTTGGAAGAGAATTAACATCTCAACCATAGTGACTATTCAATCCAGGAACATGGTATATCTCTTTATTTCTCTAGGGATTTAATTTTTCTCAACAATGTTTTGTGATTTTCAGTATGCAGGTCTTTTTTTTTTTTTTTTTTTTTTTTTGAGATGGTGTCTTGCTCTGTCACCCAGGCTGGAGTGCAGGGGTGCAATAATGGCTCACTGCAGCCTCCGCCTCCTGGGTTCAAGCGATTCTCCTGCCTCAGCCTCCTGAGTAGCTGGGATTACAGGCTTCCGCCACCACACCTGGCTAATTTTTGTATTTTTAGTAGAGACAGGGTTTTGCCATGTTGGCCAGGCTGGTCTCGAACTCCTGACCTCAGGTGATCCACCCACCTCAGCCTCCCAAAGTGCTGGAATTATAGGCAGGAGCCACCACACCCGGCCCAGTATACATTTCTTGCATGTATACTGTTAAATTTATTCCTAAGTATTTTATGGTTTTTGATGCTGTTGTCAGTGATAATTGGTAAAAAAAAAAAAAAAAAAAGCATTGGTTTTAAGTTTTGTTTTCCTAAAAGTTTTCTCCTATAAGGATTTTGAATAAGATTAATATAAAATTCTGAATAACCCACTTAGTTTTAGTGACTTGTGACTGAAATTCTAGTTGTGTAAGTGAATGTTCTTTCTCCTATCAGTTATTTTTTATGGAATTACCTGAAGAGTACATTATCAAGCTGAACATTTTCATTAGGTGGCTGAGCTATTTTGACATCTTAAATTTGAAAGTTATTACATGTATGAAAGGGCTTATTATGTATAATAAAAGACACTTCTCTCTCCCCTATTATTAAAGGATTCCAAGTGTTTTAGAAGTGGACCAAGACCAAATATTTATGTTTCTTATTATGTTACAGTTATACAGGTAGATACTCTGAAGTCTTTCACTGTCATTGACAATAGAGGGTGTTCTGTTTTCATTATCGAACTAGAAATGACTAGTTTAAAATGTTGAGATAACTTTCAATTTTCTCTGATTTAAATATTAATCAGCTTATATCAGGATCTTGATGTTTCTCTCTATTTTTCCCATTCTGTGTTTATCTAGATGGCTTTGGAAGATTCAGAACAGAAGCACAATCTTTTACATTCAATCTTTATGGATCTAGAAGACCTGTCAATAATTTTTGAAACAGATGAATTAACCCAATCCATACAAGAGTTAAGTAATCAAGTAACAGCTTTACAACAAAAAATAATGGAAAGCCTTCCACAGATTCAGCGAATGGCTGATGTAAGTTTGCACCATTCATTTAATCATTCAGGATTAAATTAGAGGCTGGGCAATGGTGGCTCATCCCTATAATTCCAGCACTTTGGGAGGCCAAGGCGGGTGGATCACTTGAGGTCAGGAGTTCAAGACAAGCCTGGCCAACATGGTGAAACCCTGTCTCTACTAAAAATACAAAATTTAGCTGGGCATCGTGGTGCACACCTGTAATCCCAGCAACTTGGAAGGCTGAGGCAGGAGAATCGCTTGAACCTGGGAGGCAGAGGTTGCAGTGAGCCAAGATTGCGCCACTGCACTCCAGCCTGGGTGACAGAGCAGGATTCTGTCAAATAAATTAGAGTTATACTACTAACCAAGCACTATACAACTAATCAATGTGAAGGCACATTGATCTGGTAAAATGTCATGTATGTTCTCATTTGTGGAATTATATTTTACTTTACTTTGCAACCTGTAGTGTAACTATAACAAAAAGCATCTCCTTATTTTCAATCCAGAAGTGGTCTGTTTTAAAGAGTAAAGAATCCCGATAAAATAAGCTCAGTGTTTTCTCTTTGTCAAAGAGAAATACTACTGATTTTTAAATGCTGGATAGGAAAGAGGGAATTAAAAGAGATAGTTCTGGCTGGGCGTGGTGCCCAGCACGGTGGCTCACGCCTGTAATCCCAGCATTTACGGAGGCAGAGGCAGAAGGATAATGTGAGCACAGGAGTTTGAGACCTGCCTGGGTACTACAGTAAGACCCCCTTCTCCACAAAAAGGAATTAAAAACAAGTGTAAAACAGGTAGTCCCAAGTCTTTATTTACCAATAGCAAATATTTATTGAGGGGTTGTTATTTGCCAGCCTCTGGATTTTTATTTTGGCTTGAAACATCAGAAGCATTTATTTAAAGATAGAGTCACATAGTAGAGGCAATTAAAGTTCTTCATTATTTACATTTGTTACTCAGTTACATTCCCTACACCACACTCATGTATCTTCAGGGAATAGTAAGTGTTAAAGTAATTATTTTTGGTTACTGAAGCTCATTTCAAAATTTTTAAATGCTTCTATAATGTTTGATGAAAATTACCCTAAAATACATTGTATAATTCTATATACCTTCTTAAATAGTAGGTGCACAGAATAATGTCCATGTAATTTAACTTTTCCTCATAATTTGAAGATATCACTATAAACAGCTATTGTACATACTGCTTCATTTTCTTATAAAGTTTTGTTGGTCCCTGGCCAGGAACGATGGCTCACACCTGTAATCCCAGCACTTTGGGAGGCCGAGGCGGGTGGATCACCTGCGGTCAGGAGTTGGAGACCAGCCTGGCCAACATGGCGAAACTCCGTCTCTACTAAAAATATAAAAATTAACTGGGCATGGTGGCACGTGCCTGTAATCCCAGCTATTCAGGAGGCTGAGGCAGGAGAATCGCTTGAACCTGGGAGGCGGAGGTTACAGTGAGCAGAGATCGCGACATTGCACTCCAGCCTGGGCAACAAGAGCGAAACTCCGTCTCAGGAAAAAAAAAAAAAAAAAAAAAAAAAAAAGGAAAGAAAATGGTGAACATTATTTATTTATCTATAGTGCTTGGTTAGTTTTTCAGAGGTATAGATGGCAGACATTATTTGGCTAAATAAGAGAATAAAATTAATGCCAATAAACTGTTTTATAGATGATTAATATACAATATATATTGCATCAGTGTGTTCTTCTGAAATTCTAGGATGTGGTTGCTATTGAATCTGAAGTAAAATCAATGGAAAAAAGAGTTTCAAAAATCAAAACTATCCTATTATCAAAAGAAATATTTGATTTTTCACCTGAAGAACATCTCAAACATGGGGAGGTAAGCATAGATTATTATTTAAAGTATTTTCTTATGATACTTATTATGTCTTTTTCAAAATATAATATAATGTGATTTAAAAAAGCATTTAGTCTTACCAGAGTAATAGCAAAATAAGGTTGGGAAATTGATGGGAATAACTATAACTGTATATTTAAATCGTAGTTGTAGTACCACCTATGTAAAGATAATTTTCCTATAGGTTATTTTTTCATTTAAATCAAACTCAAGGGCTTGAGCACCTAATTCAGGCTGAACTGGGTTCCAGCCCCAGCTAGACTGCTCACTGGCTGCATGACTGAGTAATTAATGGTTTTTGGATTCTCTTTCATATCCGTGCACTGGTACTGAGGAGATTACATTGGCCAATTGTAATGTAAATAGAGCCCCTGACAGAGGAGCTGGGACATGACTAAACAGCAGGCAAATGTTGATCCCCTGCTCAGCCTAGTGATTGAGAGCATGTGGTTTAGGACTAGGGAGGCCTGGATTCTGTTCCCAGCTCTGCCTCTTACAGACTAAGCTTACCTGGATCTTCTAACTTCTGTGAGCCCAATTTCCTCACCTGTGAAATGGAGGTTAGGATACTTACCTCTCGAGGGGTTGTGAGGATTAAATGAAATGATATTATATGAGATATGACTTAGTACGGTGAGTAATCTCTTCTAATGTATTGGTTACATAAATCCAGATTTCTATGGATCAGATGTTATTAAAGCAAAATATAATTATACTCCTGGGACTCATGCAGCACAGTTCTGTTCAAGTCAGTAAGCACTTTTGAGGGCCTACTATACGGGAAGTCCTGTGCTAGGTGTAGTTGCTACGAAAGTGAGAGGCAGTACCTGCCCTTACATTGCTCACTGCCTAGTGACAATATACACAGCAGAACGCCAGTTCTACACAGAAAGTGGAGGGAGAAAAGGAAGAAAAAGTTGTCCAAATGCGTAATTTAGTATTGGTAGGTTACTCTTGCCCCAGTTATTCTTTCCTGAGACTTTCAACTCCCGGATCATGAGTGATATAATAGTTCTTTTCAATCTGAGCTAAGAAATTATTTTAAAAATGCAAACTATAAAAACTATACTGTATTTTAATTTTGAATAATTAAATTTAACAGTGGCCATTGTCTTTTCATTTCTGTAACATGCTCCTCTTATATAATTAAGGTCATACTTGAAAATATACGTCCCATGAAGAAAACCATTGCTGAGATAGTGTCTTACCAAGTGGAACTGAGGTTGCCCCAAACAGGAATGAAACCTCTGCCTGTGTTTCAGCGGACAAATCAGCTTTTACAAGATATAAAACTATTGGAAAATGTGACTCAAGAACAAAATGAGTTATTAAAGGTAAGCAGTTTCTGATGACATCCAACTTACTGGATGAAAATGTTCACCAAAAGCTGGTTTGGTTTTCACTTCTAATTGAAATTCATTATTATCCTATTATTGTAGGAGGTGGCATTTGATATAAAAGCATATCTTCATGCTCAAATGGAGCTAAGGTTATTTTTCTCAGTTCTTATCCTTTAAGACATTAAAGCATAGTTATGGTCTATTTAATTTCATTCCACAGTTGTTGACCTACATGGGCAAAATGCTGTGGGAAGAGAGTCAAACCTGAACAAGGCATTTGCAGCCTCTGAGGCCAACAGATCTGTAAAGTAATCATCACCATAGTAATCTCTGTGTTCATCTCAGTGACTCTCCTATTGATTTTCTCATTACCAAACGTGATGTAGGTAGAGTAGGCACTTTATCTTTATTTTTACAGATAAGGAAATTGGCATCAGGGTTAAGTGACTTGCTGAAAGACCACAGAGTTAACTTGTGTAGAGGTTAATTTATGTACACATGGAACAAGAATTTGAGTTTCTAAACTCCTGGTGTCATTTCTGCATATTGAGAGCTGATATTCTTCATCTTCTCCCCAGAGGGGTTTTGTGTTGTGGTGGCGGTGGTGGTGGTTGGGTTTTGTTAAATCACTACTCTCCATCAGGAATCATCATTAGTTAGGAATAATCTTTAGTTTGTATTCCTGGATCAATAATCACTCCCACAAGAACAGAAAGTTGCAGAAAGTCTGCACAGACTTCCAACCGTCTCCGTCAACCTCCTGCATGCTGCCTTTCCTGATTAGATGGGTCACTGTAAGGGTTATTTTTCATTTTTCATGACCGCCTTCTGGTTGTAAGAAGAAAAATGACTATATGTTTTTCCCTCTTAAATTTCATGCACATTTTGGTGGCCACTCTGTTCTCCTAAGGTTTGAGGAGACTGTAATCTCTGGTTTGAGTCTTAACTCAGTTTCTCTGGTCTGGCTGCTGGTCAACTGATGTCATTCTGTAACACCTACAGAGAGAAAAAAGATCTAGCACTCAATGTACTACCTTGTAATAATATAAAGAGAAAAAAATATAAAATTTGATCCATTATTTTCATCCTTTTGTGCTTTATTAGTCTCCTGGTCAGAAAAAGAAAGCCACGGTCCTAACTATGCTTTCAAGTGGCTTCTTCACAGACGAAATGGGTGAAATAGAAGAGGCAGTTCTGTTTTGTGCCAAGTTAGGTATCAAACTATGCTGCTCAAATTTTCCATCTCATTGTGCTGGTGGCAATCAGATGTCCCCTCATATATTTCAAAGCTAAGGAAGACAGTGGTGAAGACAATCATTAGAATATGGTACATTTCCTTTGATTTCTACTTTAGATATTGTAAGTACCCTCGTTGTAGAAAATAAGACAAATTCCTTTTGTGGAGAGAACGGGATGTAGTTCATTATTGAGGGCTGGGGAACAGATGTGCACAGTGAACATAGTTATTCATTTCCAGCCTATGGCTAAAATTATAGTTAAATATTAAAGAAAATACAAGGAAGAATTTCGTGTTGGCTAGAAACTTTGTAGTTTTAAAAGGCATTTTGCTTCATTATGTAGCATACCAAAGAAGTATCTAGTTTTTCTTTTGAAGTCTGTTTCTTTGTTTTTCATCGTGCTTAATCATATTATTTAGTCCACAGATAGGTCTGAGCTTTCCTGCTCCCCTAGCACTAGATGCCAGGTATTGTTCTGGTTAGTTCTTATTCTGCAAATTTAGACTGTTCTTGAACCCTCAGCCTCTTACTCGTAAAACACACATCACTGATCCCAAGGGGTACCAGGTGAAGATGAGTCTGGACCGGGAAAACCCATCATCACTGACCTCACATGCTCTGTTCAGTCTGAATTGTTATGTCACCTTTCTATGCGGAAAGCCCCCCCGCTCCCCCGGCCATGGAATATGTATTAAAATGGTGTATGTGACTTGTCAGTAACTTCTCAAAAGTTAGCAACTTTATGTTAACACGCCATAAAATGCTTTCCAGAATAAACCCACTGGACCAGAAATACTTAAGAGCAAAGGTGTGTCCAGTGAGACTTGTACTTTAAGCACTGCCCAAGGTGCCCTGGCATCTAGTAGAGCAAGAAGATCAGGTGTCAGCTTTGCAAACATTCTTCTCTCTGTTTAGGCTACCACGTCCTATTGAAATCTCAATGGGTGCATATTTGCTGTGAGTGATTAAAACTTCCATGGGGCTAGACAATGAAAATAGTCCATTAATCTGCTTAGATTATGACAAAGATTCTTTTTTGTGGGGGTTATTTTATAGGTAGTCATAAAACAGACCAATGAATGGGATGAAGAAATAGAAAATTTGAAACAGATCTTAAATAATTATTCAGCTCAGTTCTCCCTTGAACATATGTCACCAGACCAAGCTGACAAGCTGCCACAACTACAGGTATGTTTCTTTCATTCATAAAGGTATGTTTCATTTGTCCATCAGTGCATTTATTTAATACTTACTAAGCCTTTGGTGTCTAGGAGCCTTTCTAGTGGTGCAGTGTAACACCTGTTTCTCTGTAACAATTGAAGGTATTTCTGTGTGTGTTTACTTTCCATCCCTATTTCATAAAATAGATGATTATATAATTATCATTACTAAAAAGTGACAAAATTATAGCCCCTGATGTTTGATCAAGAGAAGCCTTATCTGTTTGTAGCCTGGGCAGTCCTAATCCCAGAAACTGAGCCAGGGCTGCCGCATCTCCTTCTTTAATGGAGGGCTTTTTAAGTGCCCATGGCCTCAGCTTGAAGCATTTTGATGTGAATTTGCTCTGGTACCAAAGAACCTGATATAACACACAGGATATTTGGACAACCTGACTTTCTGGGATAGAGTCAGGCAGTGTAGGCAGGCTGGGCTTCAGCAGTGAAGACCCTGAATACTATTGTAATGAAGAATTCCATATTCTAAGCAGTATTGCCATACTGACATATTGCCATATGTCAGAATTAACAGTGTCCTGTGGGCCGGGCGCGGTGGCTCACGCCTGTAATCCCAGCACTTTGGGAGGCCGAGGCGGGCAGATCACAAGGTCAGGAGATCGAGACCATCCTGGCTAACACGGTGAAACCCTGTCTCTACTAAAAATACAAAAAAAATTAGCTGGGTGTGTTGGTGGGCGCCTGTAGTCCCAGCTAGTCGGGAGGCTGAGGCAGGAGAATGGAGTGAACCTGGGAGGCAGAGCTTGCAGTGAGCCGAGATCGCGCCACTGCACTCCAGCCTGGGTGACAGAGTGAGACTCCGTCTCAAAAAAATTAAAAAAAATAAAAAATAAAAAAACAGTGTCCTGTGGATTCAGTTACAATGGTTTGCATGTTAACCATCTGTTGCTAGGTTTTTTCAGTCTTTGTTTTTGAAGTAGCATTTCTATAATAAAAAACAACAACAACAAAAAAACGTGATTGTATGCTAAGGGTAATAGAGAGCTGCTTTTTTTTCTTGCCATCAAATTGATACAGGCAAGCAATTAATATGGTACTCAAAAGAAGATTACACTACTCGCCAGCTGTGAGACCTGGGGCAAGTGATTTGACATCTACAGTGAAGTACAGGAGAGTGCAAGATGACACAGCTGTTAAATGGTGGATCAATAATTCCCACTCAGTAATGAAGACTCAGTATTGTAAAAATATTAGATTTCCCCTTATGCTAAAAAATCAAGGACCCCAGAGAGCTTTTGTTTATATGAATTATATCCATTGATAACTAAATTAAAACTCAGAAATGTAAAAACATTCATTTAGTTTTTAAGCAACAATAATAAACCCACTACATATTAATAGGAATAACTATTTTTATTTTCTTTTTTTTAGAGATGAGGTCTCACTGTGTTACCCAGGCTGTAGTAGAAGTAACATTTTTTTAAAGTAGTTATATTTTCTAAAACAAATAGTAATGAGAAGAGTGACATTGTTTTATGTATTTGTAATCTCTTTAATATCTGGCTTAATATTAGGTCAGTGCAAAAGTAATTCCAGTTTTTACCATTAAAAGTAATGACAAAAACCGCGATTACTTTTGCACCCACCTAATGGACAGATGTGGGTGCTGCAAATGTTTCTGCATTTGATCTGCTGAAGCATGTAGTTTTGTTTTAAGTATAGGAAGACAATCCAGCCTCTCAAAGACATGCACTTGGAAGATGGAGGAATATTTTAATAGTCCTTTTGAATAATTGTGGACATTTTTCTTTGAAACTATACTAAAACCCAACAAGTGCAAAGTATGTATTAATTGTAAAACGGAATCTAAACCCATGTCAATGAACTTTATACGTTTTTACATTAAAATTTACTGGCCTACTTTGTACTTCGAATGGATCTTCTAACAATGCATGATTTTATAACATCACGCTCGATCACTTGGAAAATCCTGATTAGCTGAGTTAGGCCGATCTTCCAAATGTTGACACATTGTCAATATTTCTTTAAATCATAGTTGTTAATATTAACACTTATCTCTTCAGAAAAAATCTTTTAGTATTTAAGGAAAGCAATACAGTTTATCAGCTGGCTTTTTTTCACGTAAAAATAGTGTTCTGTGAATAAAAAGGATAGTTCAGCTTACAACTCAAACAGTAGCATAAGTGCTTTTTCTCAACCATTGGCCCTTGGTATGCAGCAGAAGTGCCATATGCATACTTTCCATTTTTTCACAAAGAATACTAAAAATACATACTGCTGTGGTTTGAATGTTTTTTCCTCCCAAAAAATGTTGCCTCCCCTCCCCCCAACATTTTTGTTCATGTTGAAACTTAATCACCAACACAGCAGTATCGGGAGGTGTGGCCTTTGGGAGGTGATTGAGTCATGAGGGCTCTTCCCTCATGAATGGGATTAGGTGCCCTCAGAAAAGGGCTTGAGGGAGGGAGTCCACCCATTTTTGCCCTTCTGCTTTGTGCCGTGTGAGAACACGACAAATCTCCCTTTAGGAAGATGTAGTCTTCAATGCGCCATCTTGGAAACAGAGAACAGCCCTCACCAGACACCAAACGTACCAATACTTTGATCCTGGACTTCCCAGTCTCCAGAACTGTGAGAAATAAATTTCTGTTCTTTATAAGTTACCCAGTCACAGATATTCTGTTACGGCAGCACAAATAAACTAAGACACATATTTTTATCAAGGACATTCTTAAGGAAAATGGAATTTTTTTTACTATAAATACATCAAAGTGAAGAACCCAGTAACAACGAATATACTTGGTGTTCCTGCCTTGATTCATATTAGGTGCCGGTAGTTTTACCCACCATTGCTTTCATGCCATCAGTGCAAATGTCAGTATGGTGTAAAAGGCAAATAACATTTTAGTATTATGAAAATGATCTGGACCTCATGGACTGTGGCCAGGGGTCTGCAGATGCTGCTTTGAGAGCAGCTGCTCCATGTAGGACTGTGCCTCTACTCTGTTTGTGTTATCCTAGTGGCTGTAGTATTGCTCTTGTCAGGAGGCAGTGTACCTCTGAAGTTTAGTGTTTATTGAAAGTGGAACACAAAATGCAGCCAACTCAGATTTAAGTCAAACAGTTGTTATTTCCCAAAAGCAATCACAGAAATTTTGACTTCAGACAGAATAGGGGTATTGGCATAGAAATGTGTGCAGTACAGCCAGGAGAAAGCCCAGGCCTGTGCTCTGCTGTGTGCTAGTTGCAGCTTTGGACAAATCACCTTCTTTCTCTGGCCTTTAGAACTCTCTCTTGCAGGTGGAGACAGATTACGTTTCTCTGTTTTGTAAGAAAATTATTGCTTCTATGACTATCTGTAGGATGGGTGGATGGATGAACTGACAGCAAGAAAGGAAGACATAACAAGGAAAGAATAGGGGTCTAAGGAATATATTAGGAACAAATTTCAAACACATGAAGGTTTTCTAAAAAGGAGCAGGCTGCTTCTGATGCAGTACTCACTTCAGGAGCTCAGGCAAGTTGAATGACATCTCTCAGAGGTGCTAGAGAGGAGGATGTTAGTGTATTTGTCACCTGCTGTTTCTTCCAAAGCTAAGAATCTATAATCCTATAGTCATCTCAGACATACAGTGGGCATCTGCATATCTGCCATGAATAAGAAATTTGATCTGCACATATCAATAATATAAATGTTAAAAGTAACATCACGAAGCTTGAGATCATCTGTCCATCATTCCCATAATAAGATATACTACATGGTACCTTTATTTGTTTACCTATTCCTATTTAGTAGGAAGATTTTACTGTAGAAAAAGTAAATGATTGAGCAGGATAGACTCTGCTTAAAAAAAAAGTAAATGAATTTAGTAATACCAAAGAAGCCTTCAAAGATGATAATAAAAGAATGAGATTTCTGTCTTCATTTTCTCTCAGTGGTTCCCAAATGTTAGTCTGCTTAAGAATTTCCTGGAGAGACATGGGAACATGTCTCCTGGGGACATGCATTTTTAATATGCTTTGGGACACAATGGAAAGTCTGCATAAGGCACTTATGCAGTGTTGGTTAGTGTGCAGACTCCGGGGCCCTGCCCCGTGGATCCTGGTTCTCTCAGTCCTGTAGCTGGCCACTAGAGCGGTAGCTCCCAACCCTGGCCGCACACCACAGTCACGTGTGGAGCATGTTACAAGTTTCCATGCTTTGGCTCAACCCGCAGAGATTCTGATTCACAAGGTCTCTGGTAAGGCTGAGGCATCCTATAGCTTATAAACCCTACACAGGACCTTTGGAATTGTATCCAGGATGGAAAGGAGCTATACCGTACCAGAGACTAGCTTCTGGCTTTGTAAACCAAATAGCAAAGAAAAATCTTCAGCCCTTGTACCAAAGGAAGCAGGCTGCTCTGGGCCTGCAGAGGCCTCAGACTTCTCAAACCTATGCAAACACTCTTTCTACACAGGGAGAAATCGAACGTATGGAGAAACAGATTCTGAGTTTGAACCAGAGAAAAGAAGACCTGTTGGTGGACTTGAAGGCCACCGTACTAAACCTTCACCAGCATTTGAAGCAAGAACAAGAAGGAGTAGAAAGAGATAGGCTGCCAGCTGTAACATCAGAGGAAGGTGGAGTGGCAGAGAGGGATGCTTCTGAGCGGAAGGTGGGTATGACTTTAGGTTAATGCTGGCCCCACACTCCACAAGAGCATTAATGGGTAGTGTTTTCCACCTGAACGACCTGTGGCATCTATGTCTATGGCCTGTAGTAAAGGAATTTTTTAAAGTGGAAATACTCAACCTGAGGTTGTTTACTAGTGAATATAAATCCTCAGGGTGTGCCTGTTCTGGACTCCACCCAGAATTCTTAACACCTGAATTACTTTAGGACATGCTTATAAAATTTCACAGGCAGGTGGATCAAGCCTCCCTTTGAAGTATCTTCGTACAGAAAAGTCAGCCCTTTGCAGACTCAAGAAGGGCCCAGTGCCTAAGTCTTCTCTGCATTCACATCAATGAATCACATTCTTTAATCGTTTATGAAGGGGCACAGGGGGCCATGAAAATAACAAGACCTAAGGTTTGACTGACTCCGGATATCTGGCTGGAGGAGCTGAACGGACCAGGAGACAGGCTTCTTGTGGGGGTGGGCATCTTGGATAAAGTAAGTAAAAAATTAGCTACATAAAAATGCAGCTGGACTGGGATCTTGGTGATGTTGACTGGCAAGCAGACTGCAGGTATTCTTGTGCTGTGCCTTTCAGTTGAACAGAAGAGGCTCCATGTCTTACCTGGCAGCAGTCGAGGAAGAGGTGGAAGAAAGTTCCGTGAAGAGCGATGTAAGGGAAATGATTTTCTTGTTAAAGTTTGTTAGAACCAGATCTCTAAAAGAAGTCAATGAAAAGATCTTAAAGTGAATGGAAACCTAAGAATTTTTAAAATTAATGTTGATATTTTAAAAGTATGATTGAAGTAGTTCTCTTATGTTATTAATGTTTAAGTGTATGGAAACCTACTTCACTGTGTAAGAGTGAGATGAATGTAATTCAGACACTCTTGTTGGCATACGGGAGAAGGTGAAGAAGTTCTCTGTAGTATCCTGATTTCTGAGGACTTTCTCTGAAGTTTTGAGAGCATGCTGTTTGGCACTCCTGGTCTCATTTTTAGAACTGTATTTTTCCGCATTTCAATTACTCTTTTGCTCTAAAACAGTATTTCCAATGACATGAAGAGTTGTGTTAGCAAGTAATACTAAGAATTTGTACTACTTGATTATAACTGGTTGAATGAGACATTTTCAGTTGTCTTTTCTGACGTCAGTTTCCATTTCATACTTGAAAAAATAAGTTGCAATGGGTCTTAAGACAAAAGGAAGAAAATTGAAGCAACTTACAATTTTTGTGACTTACATGTAACCACCAGACACTTTTTGGGCTCATTTTATAGATGGTTAAATAGCTCCACTCTCACACAGAGCAGACCTCTTGTCCTAGAGTGTGTCGCTGGGACATGGTGGAACTGTGACAAGGAAGAGTACAACTTTACTGTGTGCTCTGTGACCATCAAACAACTTTGCAATCTGATTATACCCCTTCATGGCAGAGAGAACTACGAAAATAATGGAGGGACCAGGGGCCAAAAAGAGTGACTTCAGTACGATGTTAATTTGAGACATGTATTTCCTTCTGAGCTGATGTTTATAGTGTTGTTTGTCTTTGACAGCAACAAAAAAGTACATGTTCATCAAGCTGTGATTTTTTTTTCTTTTTTTTAATTATTATTATACTTTAAGTTTTAGGGTACATGTGCACAATGTGCAGGTTAGTTACATATGCATACATGTGCCATGCTGGTGCACCGTACCCACTAACTCGTCATCTAGCATTAGGTATATCTCCCAATGCTATCCCTTCCCCCTCCCCCTAACCCACAACACTCCCCAGAGTGTGATGATCTAGAACTAGAAATACCATTTGACCCAGCCATCCCATTACTGGGTATATACCCAAAGGACTATAAATCATGCTGCTATAAAGACACATGCACACATATGTTTACTGCGGCATTATTCACAATAGCAAAGACTTGGAACCAACCCAAATGTCCAACAATGATAGACTGGATTAAGAAAATGTGGCACATATACACCATGGAATACTATGCAGCCATAAAAAATGATGAGTTCATGTCCTTTGTAGGGACATGGATGAAATTGAAAATCATCATTCTCAGTAAACTATCGCAAGAACAAAAAACCAAACACCGCATATTCTCACTCATAGGTGGGAATTGAACAATGAGAACACATGGACACATGAAGGGGAACATCAAGCTGTGATTTTTTTAAAAAAATTGACAAGTAAAAATTGTATGCATTCAAAAAATTTGCCAGGTGTGGTGGCAGGTTCCTGTAGTCCCAGCTACTTGGGAGGCTGAGGCAGGAGAATTGCTTGAACCCAGGAGGCAGAGGTTGCAGTGAGCCGAGATCACGCTGTTGCACTCCAGCCTGGGTGACAAGAGCAAAACTGTCTCAAAAAAAAAAAAAAAAAATATATATATATATATATATATATATATATATATATATATTTATGACATGTATGATGTTTTGATACAGTACATGTATATATGCATTGTGGAATGGCTAAATTGAGCTAATTAACATACATGTTACCTCACATACCATTTTTTTTTGTAATGAGAAAACTTAAAATCTACTCTCTTCATGATTTTCAAACATATATTAACTATAGTCACCATGATATACAAAAGATCCCTTGAACTTATTCCTCCTGTGCCCTTTTTTTAATGTCCTTTGACAGACATTTTTGTAATCCCTGGTCGCTGGTAACCATTGTTTTATTTTCTGCTTCTATGAGTTTTTTTTTTTTACATTCCACATTAAAGGGAGATGATGTGGTATGTGTCCTTCTGTGCCTGGATTATTTCACTTAACAGAAGATCCTCTAATTTACCCATGTTGTTGCAAATGACAGAATTTCCTTATTTTTTAAGGCCAGATAGTATTTCAGTATGTGTATATAACCACATTTTCTTTATCCATTCATTTGTTGGTGGACACTTAGGTTAATTCCGTATCTTGGTTGTTGTGAACAGTGCTGCATTGAACATGGGAGTGCAGACATCTCTTTGACATACTGAGTTTTTTCCTTTGGATATGTACTCAGTAGTGGGATTGCTGGTTCTATTTTTAGTTTTTTGAGGAACTTTGATACTGTACCAATTTACATTCCCACCGACAGTATTCAGGGGTTCTGTTGTCTCCACATCCTCATGACCACTTGTCATTTTTATCTTTTTTATATAAGCCATTCTAACAGGTGTAAAGTAGTATCTCACTGTGGTTTTAATTTGCATTTCCCTGGTGATTAGTGAGGTTGAACATTTTTTCTTATACTCGTGGCTGTAATTTTAAAGATAGCATTTTAATTTTTCTAACTTTTACGTATTTTTAAATATTTATTTAGAGATGGGATCTCACTCTGTTGCCTAGGCTAGAGTGCAGTGGTTCTCACTGCAACCTCCAACTCCTGGCCTCAAGTGATCCTCCCACTTCAGCCTCCCAAAGGGCTGGGTTTATGGGTGTGAGTCACAGTGCCTGGCCTCAAAGATACCATTTAAGGTTACATTTACCAAAGCAGATTAAATTCCTAAAAGCACCATTTTAAAGATTTCCGTTGTGTGACGTGAGCCGAGCCCCTACTTTTAAAAGTATTTTCTAGGCTTTAGGAAGAGCAGCCACATTTGTAAACATGATATAGTTAGTAAAAAAAATACAGATAAAAAAATGGGGGAGGACTGCAATAAAGGGCTGTGGTTACACTGCCTGATAAGTTGAGTCTGGTATAAAAGACGTGAGTGAGTAGGGCACCGGTTATGACAGTAAGGGAAGCTCTTCCCTTTGCTAACCAATCGTTTACTGTGATAGAATGGAGATGAGAAGGCAGAGCCATCGCCTCAGTCTTGGTCTTCACTTTGGAAGCATGACAAGGACATGGAAGAAGACAGAGCTTCCTCATCCTCTGGAACAATTGTTCAGGTAATGCTGGGCGTATCAGCCACGCTTAGGGGTTACGAGGGCCCAGGGGGGAGCAGGGATCTCTTTCTGCACGACTTTCTTTCCCTACACCCCTGAGACGGACTCGCTCTGTCGCCCAGACTGGAGTGCAGTCGTATGATCTCAGCTCACTGCAACCTCCGCCTCTTAGGTTCAAGCAATTCTCCTGCTTCAGCCTCCCAAGTAGCTGGGATTACAGGCACACGTCACCACGCCCAGCTAATTTTTGTATTTGTAGTAGAGACGGGGTTTCGCCATGTTGCCTGACTTTCTATGTTAGCTTTGCTTCCTCTCTTCCCTCTTTCCTTTGTTTGGTTTTCAGCAAGCACTGCCTAAACCTTTAAAATGCCCATTTGTAGCTCAGACAGGAATAAAAATAAGGATAGTAAAGAACTATTTTGTTTAAAGGAATGCTTAGGGAGGGAACCTGCATGGGCTGAATTTTTTTTTTTTTTTTTTTTTTTTTTAGCTGACAACCATTGTATATATTTATGGTATACAACATGTTTTGAAATGTGTATACGTTGGAAATGGCTGTATCAAGCTAATTAACATATGCATTACCTCACATATTTGTCATCTTTTCAGTAATTAGAACACCTAAAATCTAGTCGCTTAGCAACTTTTAAGTATACAATACATTATTATTAACTATAATTGCCATGTTATACATAGATTCTCTTGAACTTATTCCTGCTGTTCAACTGAAATTTTGTGTCCTTTGACCAACATCTCCCCAGGCCCTCTCTCAGCCCCCAACAGCCCTGGTAACCACCATCCTATTCTCTGCTTCTATGCAGTCCATATTTTTTAGATTACACATGTAAGTGAGATCATACAGTATTTATCATTCTGTGCCTGGCTTATTTCATTTAACATAATGTCTTCCGGTTCATCCATATTGTCACAAATGACAGAACCTCCTTCTTTTTGAAGGCTGGCTAGTACTCTGTTGTGTATATATGCCACATGTTCTTTCTCCATTCATCAGTTGATGGACACTTCGGTTGCTTCTCTATCTTGGCTACCGTGAATCTTTGAAAGCTTCTCACATTACCTTTGCACAAATGCAAAGACAGCCTTAATGAGCACCTGCTTGGTTCTATTTCTATTGTGTACTTAATAACAGGAGAGTACTTTTTTTGAGGAAAACTCCATATATGTGAAAATCCAAACTGACCAAACAGATACCTCAAAGGAGCAGCTAAAAGCTTCACTGCACTGTTTTACCAAAGCATGTAAATTAACATGCCACTCTTTTGGGAGTTTTGGGTGGAGGGTCTCTCCATAATCTTTTTTTTTTTTTTTTGTGGAACAAAGTAGTATGTAAGATAAATTAGATGCGCTAAGTCTTTTTACTCCTTATGACATTCTAAATATTTTCCAGTCTCTCAAATGGTCTCACTTTAGAAAATCATTGTAAGGCTATGTGAAAACTACGTGCTTCCTTTGCTCCCGGAAGATCTCTGCATCCTCGTGATCCATAAACCTCTCACTCCTGCCTCCTGTCCAGGGCTGACCCCTCCCCCTGCTCTCAGGCCAACTCTTTCCTTAATCATTGGCGCCATTCTCTGCCTATACCTGCCTTGTCAGTCTCTGCCTCTGGCTAGGTTCCTTCCTTCTCTACCTCAGTACTCAGGCTTCCCCTCCCTAACATGTTCTCTTCCTTGTGGCCCCACTACTTCAAACAGAGAGATAGTTCCAGAACCAGCCTGCATCTTCAGTAGCTCCACAGAAGGCTTTGGTCCCTGGGATGCCCTTTCTCCATGCCTCTCTGTAGACTTCCTTCCCATCCACAAAGACCCATCTCAACTTCCCCTGCTCCAAGAAACCTCCTGACATCCTGCAAAGGAAATTGCTGTCTCTTTCCCTGTTTTCCAATAGGATTCTGAACCTCAATTATGACTTAGCACATTTTTATGAATACACCTGATACGATTTCATGAGTGGAAAGAAGCTTATCGTTTATATCCTATACTCAGCTCAGTATGGTACTTTAATGAACTGAATTTCTGGATCCTGCTTCCCATGTCAATTACTACACTTCGTCTTTCATTTGCTACTGAAGGTCTTTCCTTGGTGTTCTACTCCCTCGGCCCCTTTTGTAATCTTGTTTCAGCCTCTGGCTATGCTTAAACTGCCATTGACTTCTGGAGTACAAATTCAATACCCTTTTATTAGTCCTAATCCTTATTGACCTCTCTGGGAGTGACCACCTCTTCCTTCTTTAACTGCGGTGTTCCTTTAACTTTCTTAATTCTGTTCTTCCCTGTCCCTTCTACCTCTAGTCCCTCCTCCATCTCCTTTTCTTGCCCCTCTTTCTCTTTCGTCTGTGATGGTAGGCATTCCCCCAATGTTCTGTCCTCTTCCTTCTCCCTGTTTTCTCTTTTTTTTTTTTTTTTTTTTTGAGACAGAGTCTCGATCTGTCGCCCAGGCTGGAGTGCAGTGGTGCGATCTCAGCTCACTGCAACCTCTGCCTCCTGGGTTCAAGCGATTCTCCTGCTTCAGCCTCCCGAGCAGCTGGGATTACAGGTGCCCGCCACCATGCCTGGCTCATTTTTTTTGTTTTTAGTAGAGACAGAGTTTTGCCATGTTGGCCAGGCTAGTCTTGAACTCCTGACCTCAGATGATCCACCTGCCTTGGCCTCCCAAAGTGCTGGGATTACAGGTGTGAGCCACTGCGCCCGGCCTCTCTGTTTTCTTTCAGGGCAATTTTATTTCCTCTGAGAGCTTGTGGTCACCTCTATGCCAGTGATTACCAAACTAAATCTCTAGTCTTGGCTTTTCTCTTAAATCTATAAATCTATTCCACATTTCTATCCTCGTGATAGACTTTTTTGGGATGGAGTTTCTCCAACTCAAACCTATTTTACCACCTTTCCTTCAAAGCTTGCTCCTCTTACTAATTTCTCAGTGTCTGCTGTTGGTGCCACTATTTTCTCAGAGATAAACTTTGGAGTTCTACTAGGTGCCTCATTTCTCTCACCTGTCACATCCTGTCAGTGGCCAATGATGTCCATTCACTGTGTACAGCCTCTCCTCCCATTATTTTTGCCATCGTCTTATTTCAAGCAATTCTTATTACTTCCCTGGACTTTTGGAGTAGCCCTCTAATTGGTTTACAGTCTCCAATTGTTTTTCCTAATACATCTTATAAAATACTGATGACTTTTCCTAAAACCAATCATGCGAAACCTCAGCCTAAAATTCTTCATGGAGTTTGATTATCTACTGAAGAAAATGCAAACTTAGCGTGACATTCCAGATTTTCCTGGTCCCCGCCTACCTTTCTAATTTTATCTAATCTCTACCTTTAATTCTTGGTTTATACCTTTCTGATAACAGTCACTGTTTTCAGTAGAAGCTGAAAAGACACTAACATTTTGTTAGGAAATGCTAAATGCCTTATATATGTCACTTAATTGCAAGCATAGGTAAGATAGGTTTTATTCCCATTTTAAAGGTGAAGTAACTGAGGTTTCAGAGAGTTCAGGTTAATTTGTCCAAGATCATACAACTTGCAAGTAGAGCAATCAAGGTTGGTTGATTATAATATCCACATGCTTTCTGTCACGTTGTGTTAATTCTTTGTGTACATGTCATTTTCCCATTGCTTAACTTTGGTTAATCTTAAAAGAAGGATTGCTGAATCAAAGTATATATCCATTTAAAATGTGACACACATTTTCAAACTGCCTTCTAGAAAGGTTATACCAGGCTAGGTGCAGTTGTCTCATGCCTGTAATCCTAGCACTTTGGGAGGCTGAGGTGGGCGGACAGCTTGAGCTCAGGAGTTCAAGACCAGCCTGGGCAACATAGTGAAACCCTGTCTCTGTAAAAAATACAAAATTAGCCGGTCGTGGTGGTGCATGCCTATAGTCCCAGAGATTGAGGTGGGAGGATCACTTGAGCCTGGGAGATGAAGGTTGCAGTGAAGCTAAGATTGCACCACTGCACCACAGCCTGGTGACAGAGTGAGGCCCTGTCTCAAAAAAAAAAAAAAGAAAGAAAGAAAAAGAAAGGCTATACCAACAATATTTCTCCTAGGTATACATGGAATTGCATTTCCAGACCCCCCCCCCCAACCAACACACAAGCTGATTTTTGATATTGTCAGTCTTAGCCAAACTTAGCCAGTGGTTTAAATTAATTTATGTTCTAAGAATGTTGAATATCTCTTTAGATGCCTATTGGCTTTTGTAACTCTTCTTTTGCGACTTGCTTGTTCCTACCATTTGACTGTTTTTCTATGTAGGGGTTGATGTTTTCCTTATTATTTATAGAGTAATTAATATATTAAGAATATTGGCCGGGCATGGTGGCTCACGCCTGTAATCCCAGCACTTTGGGAGGCCGAGGCGAGTGGATCACGAGGTCAGGAGATCAAGATCATCCTGGCTAAAACGGTGAAACCCCATCTCTACTAAAAATACAAAAAATTAGCTGGGCGTGGTGGCGGGTGCCTGTAGTCCCAGCTACTCGGGAGGCTGAGGCAGGAGAAGGGCGTGAACCCAGGAGGCGGAGCTTGTGGTGAGCCGAGATCGTGCCACTGCCCTCCAGCCTGGGCGACAGAGCGAGACTCCGTCTCAAAAAAAAATATTAACACTATGTGTAATAGTTATCCCAGTCTGTCATTTCTCTTTAACTTAGATTATGGTATCTTTTGTGGTGCATATTATTTTATTTTTTTATGTAGTCAATACTAATATTATTTTCCTTTCTTGTCATGCTTCCCCACACCTAGAATTTTTATGGCATAACTTTGAGAATACAATGAGAATTTATTGTTAGGGGTGATACAAGGATTCTAGTTATATTTTTCATAACTAGAATTTATTGTTAGGAGTAATACAAGAATTCTACTTATATTTTTCATAAAATGCCTTGGTAGTTGTTCCTAAATGGAATAAATTCACCTTTTCCCCACTCTTTGAAATGTGGCCTTTATCATATAATTAATTGATTAATTATTTTGATAGAGACAGGGTCTTACCATGTTGCTCAGGCTGGTCTCAAACTCCTGAGCACAAGCAATTCTTCTGCCTTGGTCTTCCAAAGTGCTGGGATTATAGGTGTGAGACATCACACCTGGCCATGTAATTTAAATTTTCATAAGGACATACTTTTAAAGAATACTTCAACAAGACAAAGCATACTTCTGGAAGAATTTACTTAAGTACGTAATTCTCTAGATTGTTTATGTGCTCATTAAGAAGAGAAGTGTGGAGAATGCAAGTCTTTCAAATAAAGACAGTCTTGGGGAAGCTGATTTTTTCCCTAATGAACAAACTTTTTTCTAATCGTATCTGACTTCTCCATATCTGACTTTTTTGCAAGCAGGTAGTTTGTAAAATGAGCATGCGCAGAAAGAAGAATTCATGTGGCACCAGGGCAGGACCCTTTCTGGAGCTCTGATTCTTTTCTTTACAGGAAGCATATGGGAAAATAAGCACCTCTGATAATTCCATGGCACAAATCCTCACACCAGACTCACTAAACACTGAGCAAGGCCCAGAATGTTCCCTAAGGCCCAACCAAACAGAAGAGGTAAGTCCTGGTTGGTAATAAGTAAACTGCTCAGATAGCTGGACTAGCACCTAGAGATGACCAGTGTTCTGTGTCCTGCAATACCTTGTACGTCAAGCTAAGTGTTCCTTGTGAACTTTAACATATGAAGATATGTGCTGTCAAGCTGTAGAACTGGAAGACTTGTCATCAGATATTTACAAAGAAAATAGGCATGGCATAGAGAATTAGACGCTTTTCACTCATTTACCATTTGTCATCATGAAATAGTCTTTCTGTTGATGACTACTTCTTTAATCTGTAGATAGAACTTATGGGGGCAAAGAAAGTAGAGAAGGGTTAATATTGATTAATAGCCTGTTACATAAAAGGCATTTATAGTTATCTGTTTAACCCTCAGACTGTATAAGGTAGGTTCATACCTACCATATGTTTACAAATTAAGAAATCAAAATTCAGGGAGTAAAAATATAGTTAGTGGGCCAGGCATGGTGGCTCAAGCCTATAATCACAGCACTTTGGGAGGCCAATGCAGGTGGATCACCTGATGTCAGGAGTTTGAGACCAGCCTGACCAACAGGCTGGTGAAACCCCGTCTCTACTAAAAATACAAAAATTAGCCGGGCGTGGTGGCACATGCCTGTAATCCCAACTACTCAAGAGGCTGAGACAGGAGAATCGCTTGAACCTGGGAGGAGGAGATTTCAGTGAGCCAAGATTGCGCCACTGCACTCCAGCCTGCCTGGGCGATTGAGCAAGACTCTGTCTTTTAAAAAAATGTATATATATATATATGGCTTGTGAATGGAGGAATAAGGAATCAAACCCAGAATATTCTAATCTGGCTTCCTAATTTGGAATCTTGTACCTCAGTTGTTCTCAATAAGGCCTTACAGCAGGGTGTGGGGGATGGGTACTATTTCCCAAGTTAATTTTGGTGTTTAGCTGGACCTAAAGCTCCAAGGGTCTCATCAAATAGCTCCTATAAAAGATATTGGCATGTTTTTGCTGTTTTTATTGTTTAATTATTGCATCTCTTTTCTTCTTTTATACTGAGTTCTATTTATGTTTTTTTCTCCCAATCTTTTGTCTAGTCTTACAAAAATATCTCTTAGTTCTCAAATTGTTACTCCTTTCTCTTCTTTCTTTCCCTCCCTTTCATTCTCTGTCTCTCTTAACAATATATGTCTAGGAAGGTGGACAAATGTCAGAGGTTTACACCCAGTGGCAATGCTTAGGTCTAAGGAAGTTGCTGACCTAGTCAGTATGTTTTTTTGCTGTTCAGAATTAATCTGGGTTTTGTTCTGGGGACATGGTCTCACTCTTCACCCAGGCTGGAGTGCAGTGGCCACAATCATGGCTCACTGGAGCCTCAACCTCCTGGGCTCAGGTGATCCTCCCACCTTAGCCTCCCGGATGGCTAGGACCACAGGCACACACCATCACGCCTGGCTAATTTTTGTATTTTTTCAGACACACAGTTCTGCCATGTTGCCCAGGCTGGTCTCGAACTCCTGGTCTCAAACCATCTGCCCACCGTAATGTTATTTTTGACATCTAATTAAAAATCAGATGTAGCTTCAATGGTGTTTTAGCTACAGTAGCCATTCTGCTTAATATTGTTTCTGCTGGTGTGGATAACCTCTAGGGTCTTTTCCCTGGCCATGTGGATACTAGATAATGATGACAATAAAGAGAAGGAGGAAGAAAAAGGAGGATAACAAAATACTTACTGAACATTTAATATGGGCCAGGTACTGGGATTTTACATATACTATCTCTTTTAATCATTAACAACAGCTCTATGAGATAAATATTACTGTTACCCCACTTTACAGATGGAGAAACTGAGGCTCAGAGAAGTAAGATGCCCAAGGTCATTTAGCTAGTAAGTGGCAAAGCTAGGATTCAAACCCAGATCTTTCTGACTCTGAGTTTAAAACCTGAGCTTTGAACTATTAGGCTCCAGTGACTCTCTTTTGAACTAATTTATGTATGTGTGTATTTGTATTTTCTTCTTAACTCAGAACTTTTGCTGGGGAGGAATTCTTGGAGCAGGAAAAATAGATGTTACCCTTTACTACAGGAGGAATTTGTCCACTTCTGATTATTCAGGGACACCTTTACTGGCTCCAAGTTCCATACCTCTTGGTGACTGTCTTCCTGCCTTTTAGTGATTTCTGTCTCATTGGCACAGCACATCACTAATGAGAAGGAAAGTGGGGACTTTGCAGAAACCAGGCAGCCAATGTCATCAGCCTTCTATCAGCCTCAACAAACCTTTTGTTTCAGAGGTTAAGTGTATTGACCAAATGATAATTGCATAATTTTTAGTAAAATTCTGAGTCATTCTTGACCCGTATTACAACCAAGGATAAATATTTAGTATGGAAAAATGTGAAAATGTGAAATCAAGCTAGGCATGACCTCAGAGTAAACCACCACCATGCCATTCTAGGGGCATGCTTTTCATTTATTCATGTGCAGTTAGGTACTGTACTTTAGGTATGCAGTTTTACATTTCATAAGCAGTGGGGGAGATATGCAGGTATAAGCAGTGGGGGAGATATGCAGGTATTTGTAGAATTGACTGAAATATTAAGGAGAAAATGTAAAGGTTTGCTATTTTGGCATGAAATGTAGCAATAGCCAGAAAATCAACTTGCATTTTAACTGCAGTTTTTTTTACTGATTACTGATTACTTCACTGATTACTTAGATCAGTGTTGTGTTGATGCAGAAGTGAAGCAATGTGATTCACCAACTGAAAAGTTAACTTGGATACTAAAAGGTTGGTGAAATTATATCAAGAATGTGGACTTGTAGATTCCAAAGTGTAGTGAAAGCAGGAATTGCTTTTGATTCTGTTTACTAGTTGTGTGACCATACAGTGCCTGCTCATGGTAAGAGCCCAATAAAGGCTAGCTATTATTAATTTACAGTTATGCTTTAGAGAAGACATATTTATTTAATAAGAAATACTTATAGTAATACTTTTTACACCCCCCCCCCCCCGCCAAAGTGTACAATTATAAAACATCCATTTAAATAAGTTTTGCTTTTAGAATTTGGGGCTATCATATAGAGAAGGTATTTTACAGGGATGCTACTGTGTAAAAAACAAGGGAACTCTGAATTAAAAGATCACAGAGCTGTGTGACCTTGGGTTAGTAACTTGGGTGCTTCTCAGAAGCAACATGGTAAAAAGGGAGGCATGTGGGCTGATTGAACATTCTGTGCACTTGGATTTCTTAGACTTTAAAAAGAGGTGGGTGAACTGATCTCTAGTGGGTTCCTCAGGCCACCCTCAGCTCTTGAAGCTGTATGGTTGGAAATATTCTTTTTGTCTTCTCTTCCCCTTTGGATTCTTTTCAGGTTCAAATAACTAGCAAAAAAAACCCAGATTAGTCATGCAGCTTGCTTATTTCCTCATTAATTTGGTGAGTTCATGAGAAAGCAGAGAAACTCAATACTGTCATTAAAAAAAGTGTGTGGAGGGCTGGGTGTGGTGGCTCATGCCTGTAATCCCAGCACTTTGAGAGGCCGAGGCAGGAGGATCACCTGAGCCCAGAAGTTAGAGACCCACTTGGGCAACATGGCAAGACCCCATCTCAAAAAAAAAAAAATGTGCGTGGCATATAACAGGTGCTCAAATAAAATTTTTGAATAAATAATGAAGGCAGGTGGTAAATCTGTGATTACAGATTAATATTAATAGATTGTCTTAGATTAATTAATATTAATAGATTGTTCTCTCAAGTGGCAAAAAAAGGAAAGGGAATTCCAAAATCTTTGTCTGTAGCAATATCTGAAAACTAGATATAGCAATATCTGAAAACTAGAAGGGAATTAATCAGATGACTAGAAATTGATATCTGGAAGTCTGGAAGCAAAATCACACAACTGTTGCTTTTTTTAAAAAAAAATCAGGGCCAGGCGCTGTGGCTTATGCCTGTAATCCCAGCACTTTGGGAGGTCTAGGCGGGTGGATCACTTGAGGCCAGGAGTTCAAGACCAGCCTGGCCAACATGACAAAACCCTGCCTCTACTAAAAATACAAAATTAGCCAGGTATGGTGGTGTGTGCTTGTAATCCCAGTTCCTTGGGAGGCCAAGACAGGAGAATCACTTGAACCTGGGAGGCGGAGGTTGCAGTGAGCCGAGATCATGCCACTGTACTCCAGCCTGGGTGACAGAGGGAAACTCTTCCCAAGAAGAAAAAAAAAGGTCAGGATTAAAAAAGAAAATTAAAACAGTTGAATCCAAGCATAGACTTGACTATATATGAAGTTCAGAAAAAGCACAACACAAGGAAAAGTTTCCTTGAGAAGGTTTTCAAGATTCTTGAAGAAAATTATAATAATAGATTAATGAAGGCAGGGAAGAAATGGCATTTTGGCAGAAAACAGCACATGTATGTGAAGATAATAGATGGTGAAAGGTAAAAAGTACAACCCAAGACACTTGTGCCAGACCAGCTTTCATAATACTCATCAGTGTGCATGAAAATGAACAGCATTCTCATGCCTGACACGTGTTTGTTACCACCTACCAATTTTGTTCGCTCTTTTACACTGAAAGTTCTATGTCTAAACAAAATTCCGTAAACATTGAAGAATGTGCATTTGAGTTAGGGTATATATTTGCAATCGATTCCCATTCAAAGTTTGTCACTTGGCTAGAATTACATTTTATTATTAGATGCTAACACGTTAACAAACTCTTATAGAAAACATTGTATTTTATCATAATCAATAAAATATTTTTTGAGAGCAAAAGGTTTATACAGCAAAACACAAATCCTTATTCCTAAAGGAATTTCTCTAGAAGTATCGATACTACTTTTTCCATATTCTGAGGAAGGATAGATAATACAGTGGGAGGTAAATACATCTCTCTATCCAATTATCTTTTGCCTCCAGGTTGAACATATCTAATATATAATTACTGGAATACTTTCATTTGGTATCTGGGAGAAAATTTTCCAATCAGTTGATAAACAACCCAGTTATTTCAATGTAAAAAGAACACACCACACTTTCTTTATACTGTGAGCATCTAGTCCTTAACTCAATCATATTCGAGTATGCAGAAGGGGAAGGAAGGTATTTTAGGGATTCCTTCTGAGGAATAGGAAAAAAGTTTCCAGGTTACCCCACTGAAGTTCATTACTTGACTCAAGCTGTTTTTATTAGGGAAAAATTTAGATAAGTAATACCATGTATGTTTTTAAAAAGCTAAAATTTTTATAATCTAACTATTTGAGAAGATGTCAAGTTAAAATTATGTGGTATATTTTATTGTATCCCTGCTGGGAGGTAAAGATCGTGTTCTGTTTTGTTTTGTTTTTCTGTTGGAATAGAGTGTGCAGCAATGTAAGCATTGCTTAATCATGTGTCACGTAACGCTAAACACTGGCCAATTCCCTTAAATGTTTCGGACACACACACACCCTGTCACTCACATTCTCACCTGTCTCCTGGGGCTCACCGGGTAGTGAACTGTGAGCCTGTTTGCGTCCTCTGTGCCCGGGAATACTGTACCTGCTTACTCGCAGATCGGCTGCTTGGAAACCTGTGGCACCAGGTCACGTGATTGTTGCTATGAGTGTGGAGGTGCATTTCTCTTTTCTTTCTTCCTTCTTCTGTCCTGATTTTGTTTCTTTTAACTGGGGAAATGTTGCAGGTTCCCAGGTCTTTGCAGGCCCAAGTCTGAAAACTTTGGACTCCCTGGCTTATCTTTGGATTTCTCTTAGGGCACCACACCTCCTATTGAGGCTGACACTCTGGACTCTTCTGACGCGCAAGGAGGTTTGGAGCCCAGGGTGGAGAAAACTAGGCCGGAGCCCACAGAAGTCCTGCATGCCTGCAAGACCCAGGTGGCCGAGCTGGAGCTGTGGCTGCAACAAGCCAACGTGGCAGTTGAGCCGGAAACATTAAACGCAGACATGCAGCAGGTGCTGGAACAGCAGCTGGTAGGGTGCCAGGTAAGACTGAGAAGTCAGAGTTCATGGTTTGCCTCTCCACCAATCATCTGCCAAGATTGGGTGAATTTCTCTTAAAGCAACACTGTTTTTCTTTCTGTTACTCTGACCCTTACATTTATCTTGGCCTCAGCTTTTAGTTCTCAGGGTAATTCTTTGAAATGCTTTATGGAACTATCTTATTTGAGGGGACAGTAGTGTTCAGAATCTAGGAGTCTAAATCCAGCTCTGTCACATTAGCTGTGAACTTCGGGAAGTGAACTTCTCAGCCTCATTTTCCTTATATAGTAGGTTATCTTATAGGATTTTTGTCAGGATTAAATAAGGTATTTAAAGTAGTGTCGCAGGATTTAAATAAGGTATTTAAAGCAGTGTCATAGGATATAAAGTTATCTCATAGGATTTTTGTCAGGATTAAATAGGTATATAAAGTATATAACAAGTGCTCAGTAAATGCTATTATTTTATTCAATTTTAGTAAGTAATTAGAATATTCATTCATCATAAATGAAACCAAAAGTATTAATTTGCAAAATTGAAGATACAGCATAAAAGGGCTTTGCAACCATTTTACTAGGAATGCCCTGGGTTTTGCTTGGGAGGGGCAGGGATATAAACTTCCTTGCCGCTAGTCGCTCTGAGTAAAGCTTGCCGGCTCAGCCCGAAGGTTGGGGTTTCTAATCCCTCCAGGGAGAGGCTAGAATGATGACATTGCAACAGCATAATCGAGTGTCACAAGAGCAGGGGCACGCGAGCTGCTTGCAAAGGCCTCTCTCCCAGCTGCACTTAGGAGACCAGACTTGTCTTTATCATATGGGCTTGTCTGCCAGGATGAAGACATCCTCTTGTCTCAGAGTTCGCATATCACTAGCCCTGCCACAGGGAGCGTTTCCTGCTGTAGCCTGTTATGTTGTTGTGGGAAGCCTGCCTTTGATCCACAGTTGTGCATTCTCCCCTTCTATGTAAGCCCATAGTCTTAACAACATCCAGGAACCAGACAGACAGGCCAGCCTCCTTTTCTGTGCATCTCGGCACCTCTGATCTCAAAAGTCAGTTCTTTTTTTTTTTTTTCGGGGTCTCACCCTGTCACCCAAGCTGGAGTGCAGTGGAGCAATCATAGCTCATTGCAGCCTCGACTTCCTGGGCTCAGGTGATCCTCCCACCTCAGCTTCCTGGGTAGCTGGGACTACAGCCCTGCACCACCACACCCGGCTACTTTTTGTATTTTTTTGTAGAGATGAGAGGTCTCACTATATTGCCCAGGCTGGTCTCGAACTCCTGGGCTCAAGCGATCCACCCAAGTCAGCCTCCCAAAGTGCTGGATTACAGGCGTGAGCTATCATGCCCAGCCCAAAAGTCAGTTCTAAAGGGATAGGTTCACTCAGATACTGGCACTGCCGCTTGGCCTGGCTGATGAGGCCCAGGGGAGCCTGTGAATGCCATAGAGCGTCATACAGCACAGAGCAATGCTATGCTAAACTCAACTCGAGGCAGTCCAGATTTTGAGTCCCACCCACTTAAGGCCATTCAGGATTGATTTGCCAACTGATTATCTACTGACTGGGTAGACCCTATGCCAACTCGTTGATTATCACCAGAATCCCATCTTCATTGCCACTTGTAGTGAGTTCAAGGATTTCCAGGCTGCTCAAGGAAAAGACATGACTACCAGGTGGCAGTTGCACCCAACAAGCTTTATTTGGGCAGCATTTTGGCAAGATTATGATCGTGAGAGACAGGGAAGCTCTTTACTGCAGGAGACCTTCCAGAGGCTAAGGCATAGACTGGGGGTCAGGCCACCACCCAGAGGGGGAGGAAGGCAAGGGAACTCCCAGGGGAGAGGAGAAACGGAGAGGGAACTTATGTGTCTAGCGATGTCTCAGCACAGTGGAGGGTCTCTGGGTCAGAGAGCGCCGAAGGGCAGCAGAGGCTTGGGATTTTTTTATAGCCCAGGGTTAGTCTTATCCGTGGCTGGCAGATGTTGGGTGCAGTTTTCAGGGGTATGCAAAGCAGACAGGCTCTAAATGGATTAAAATATGCTTATTTGGGCTGCATTTAAAGCCGTCAAATGTGTAAAAATTTGAGTCTGGTGCTGGCACTTTTTGAACTTACTGCTTCTGACCTGCTTTGAAGAAAAACCACATGGGGCCAACATACAAAGGCATCTTTGGCTCATTTATATAACATAACACAATAAAGTTATTATTGAAACATATAAAAACCTTAAAGTGGTCTGTAAAAACACAAAATTCCAGTGGAAAAATGGCCAAAGGACAGGAGCAAACAGTTCAGTGAAGATTATGGACCAGGAGTGGTGGCTCACGCCTGTAATCCCAGCACTTTGGGAGGCCAAGGCGGGTGGATTGCTTGAGGCCAGGAGTTTGAGACCAGCCTGGGCAACATAGTTACACCTTGTCTCTACAAAATAATTTAAAAAAAAATTAAAAAATAAACTAGCTGGGCATGGTGGTGTGTATCTGTAGTCCCAGCTACCTGGGAGGCTGAGGCACTAATATCTCTTAAGCCCAAGAATTCAAGGCTGCAGTGAGCTATGATTGCACCACTGCATTCCAGCCTGGGCAAGAGAGTAAGACACTGTCAAAAAAAAGAAAGAGAAAGGAAAGAAGGGAGGGAGGGAGGGAGGGAGGATTATGCTTAGTAATGTAATATTTGAGAATTGTTTAATTTTGATTATTAAAGACATAAATTAAAACAGCTGTCACATTACATTAAAAAAATATCATTCTGGAAAAATAGATACTCTAATGTCTGGTAGTTCTATCTAATTGGCTCAATGTTTTGGGAGGTCAGTTGTCAACATATAAGCTGTTCATCTTCTTTGAGTTAAAAGTACCATTACTTTTTTTTTGAGGTGAAGTCTCGCTCTCACCCAGGCTGGAGTGCAGTGGCACAGTCTCGGCACACTGCAACTTCTGCCTCCTGGGTTCAAGTGATTCTCCTGCCTCAGCCTCCCAAGTAGCTGGGATTACAGGCATGCACCACAGCATCTGGCTAATTTTTGTATTTTTAGTAGAAACGGTTTCCCCATGTTGGCCAGGGTGATCTCGAACTCCTGACCTCAGGTGATCCACCTGCCTTGGCCTCCCAAAGTGCCGAGATTACAGGCATGAGCCACCGTGCCCGGCCAGTACCATTACTTTTAATTTACCTTCTGAAAATAATCCCAAATGAGAAAAATAATTATAGAAGCATTGATTACAAAAGTGAAGAACTAGAAACAAAGGGGTAACAAGAGGGAAATTGGTAAGTGAATCATGGGATATCAACTTGTAGCTGTTAAAATGAAAATCATGAAACGTGTGGAGACAGATGAAAAAGTATGTAATAGTTAAGTGGGAAAAACAGAGCATAAAATTATGCTACATTTTGTTTATAGCCACTGTACAGTCTATGGGTACATATTGTTTAAACTTAGAAGAATCTATAGAGGACATAAGTAGAGTAGTCCCACCTTTGTCTGTGGGGGTTGTGTTACAAGACCCCCAATGGATGCCTGAAACCGTGGATAGTACCAAACTCTGTGTGTATTATGTTTTTTCGATCTGACAACTGAGATGGCTACAGAGTGAGTATCCCTTATCCCCAAATGCTTGGAACTAGAAGTATTTTGCATTTGGTTTTTTGGGAGGGATTTTGGAATATTTGCAAATACATAATGAGATATCTTAGAGAGAGGACCCAAGTCTAAACACTAAATTAATTAATTAATTTCTTTATTTATATTAGAGTTAACAGGGTCTTGCTCTGTTACCCAGGCTGGAGTGCAGTAGCATGATCATGGCTCACTGCAGCCTTGACCTGACGGGCTCAGGCAATCCTCCTGCCCCAGTCTCCGGAATAGCTGGGACTACAGGCGTACACCACCATGCCTGGCTAATTTTATTTTTTGTAGACTCAGGGTCTCACTGTGTTGCCCAGGCTGGTCTCAAACTCCTGGCCTCAAGTGAGCCTCCTGCCTCAGCCTCCCGAAGTGCTGGGATTACAGGTATGAGCCACCATGCTAGGCCTCAATTTATGTTTTATCTATACCTCATATACATATCCTGAAGGTTATTTTATATAATAACTTTAATAATTTTATACATGAAACAGAGTTCAACTGTGACCCATCACATGAGGTTGGGTGTGGAATTTTCCACTTCTGGCATGGTGCATAAAAAGTTTCAGGTTTTGGAGCATTTTGGGATTTTGGATTTTCAGATTAGGTATACTCAACCTCTACTAAGTAACTAATGAGCCGAGTGCTGGAGTATGAATATGCTGGACAAAGGGATGATTCACATCCTGGGCGGGATGGAGCAGGATGGTGTGCAATTTTATCACGCTACTCAGGTGGTGCAAAATTTAAAATGTATGAATTATTTATTTCTGGAATTTTCCATTTAATATTTTTGAGCCCTGATTGACTGCAGGTAACTGAAACCACAGAAAGTAAAAGCATAGATAAAGGGGCCTGTTACAGCTTGCTTGGATGAAGGAGTTATAGGATAAATTATTTGCAATTTTGTTTTAAGAATAGAGTTCGTCCTTAAGGAAAATTTTTAATTCCTTAAATTCGCTCAATGAATGGAACTTGTTCTTAGTCACGCACCGAGTTTTAGTACAAATGATCATGGTGCTGGAATGTGAGTTTGTCTGTTGCTGCTGACGTGAGTGCCCAGCCAGCTGGCATGACCGAGCAGGCTGCTGAGCCCCAGGAGAGGGCAAACTTGATCTGTTGAGCAGGAATACAATGACCGAGACTTACTGGGAAACTTACTTCATCCAGCTGATATATTTTTAGATTTGTGTGAATTGGCCGGTTGTATCAATAACTAAATATTTCAGGTTCCAAATTATTTCTTCTATGGTGTTGTGAGAGTTTGGAGGCTTATTTGTCTTGAGAAAGAGAAGGAAAAGAGCAAGGGAAATAATTTTCAAACAGTTACGTGGAATTCTTTTTTAAATTCCTACTCCACACTTGGATTGCAACATAAAAGATTAGGAAGGTAGGCGAGGCATGGTGGTTCATGCCTGTAATCCCAGCACTTTGGGAGGCCTAGGTGGGCAGATCACGAGGTCAGGAGTTTGAGACCAGCCTGGCCAAAATGGCGAAACGCCATCTCTACTAAAAATACAAAAATTAGCTGGGCGTGGTGGCGCACTCTTGTAATCCCAGCTACTCGGGAGGCTGAGGCAGGAGAATTACTTGAACCTGGGAGGTGGAGGTTGCAGTGAGCCGAGATCACACCACTGCACTCTATCCTGGGCAACAGAGTGAGACTCCGTCTCAGAAAAAAAAAAAAAAAAAGATTAGGAAGGTAGGGGGAAAATAAGAATATCTGCACTTTTTAAGCACAGATGTATCAAGCACTGGCCAAAGTACATGGATTTAATTCATTCACTCCTGATAATGACCTTAGGAGGTGAGTTCGGTTATTATCTTCATTTTACAGACTACTAGAGGCACACTCCTCTAAAGTAAGGTGCCTGTGTTTACACATCTACTAAGTGGTAGGACTGGGATCTGAAACCAGATAGTCTAGTTCCAAGATCTGTGTTCTTAACCACTATCCTCTGCTGGATACATTCTGCTATGTTTTGTAAGGCGACTATAGAGTCATTTACTTAAATTATTTTACAGAGTGACATGTGTAATTGGGATTGGTTTGGTTGCATCCCTACTGAAAAGTACAAGAATTCTGTGGAAGTTTTTGTTTTTCCAGGGTTTCTTCCATCCTGTGTTTCTGGGACTTCTTGTATACACTTAAGTAAAAAGAGTAAGTCTTAACTTGTTTGCAGGCACAATACTTCTTCAAGAACAACATTATGAATAATTAAATGCTTTTATTTCCTAGGCTATGCTAACAGAGATTGAGCACAAGGTTGCCTTTCTGTTAGAGACTTGCAAAGATCAGGGCCTGGGAGATAATGGAGCCACTCAACATGAGGCTGAAGCGCTTTCCCTGAAACTGAAAACAGTGAAGTGCAATTTAGAAAAAGTCCAGATGATGCTTCAGGAGAAGCACAGTGAAGATCAGGTAAAAAATGACTATCTATGGACATTCATCTTGATACACATATGTGGCAGACCTGCCAGAAGAGAACTCTGGTTGGAAGTGATGAACCAGCTACAGAGAAACTGTACTAAGTGTGAAAGAATTTCACACATTAACACCATAGATGAGTACACTGGCTTGTTATTTTTATTTCATTCTACTTTGCAGTTTTCCTGTCTAGGTTGTTGTTGGTGATGGCGGTGGTTTGGTTTGTGTTGGTTTAATGTAGCTGAGTGTTCTTGTTGGCAGTGAGGTCTAGTGTAAGGCTTCTTCGTAAAAGAAGGATGTATTATAAAGGAATTTTGTGACTCTAATTGACTGGAAAACAAAGCTTTCATAGATGTGACTAAAATTTGACATCAGAAACATAAACCTGTTTCCAGGATACTTTGTTATTCATTTGCAAGTATTTATATATATAATCAAAGTATCATATAAAGTGTTCTCATGATTTTTAAAAGCACTCTGTGTTTATAAATGCAAATGTGCATCTTATGAGTAGATCTTACTATAAAAGATTTGCATGTGCTTATGAGTGGTTCCTACTTAGAGATTTATGTTCACAGAAATAAGACTGGCTGCAGATACATAGGCCATATGGTTCCCCTTTCATCCTAATATGTTCTCTCTTTTTAAAAAAAATGTATTTTAGCCATAGGGGAAATTTGAATTTATAATACTGTTTCTCTTTTTGGTACTTTTTTATTTGGTATTTGTTTTTAAGAAAAAAGGCAATACATTTTCTTGCTTTTAGTAATTCATTGGATGAATTAGCTTGAAGAAGTAAGATGATCACTTCACCAAATGTAGTAGTTTTTGAAGTTGTTATGAAATAGGTACATTAAATCATAGTAGGCTGGGTGTGGTGGCTCACGCCTGTAATCCCAGCCCTTTGGGAGGCTGAGGCAGGCAGATCACCTGAGGTCAGGAGTTTGAGACCAGTCTGGCCAACATGGTGAAACCCCGTCTCCACTAAAAATACAAAAATTAGCTGGGTGTGGTGGGCACAACTGCAATCACAGCTACTTGGGGGGCTGAGGCAGGAGAATCCCTTGAACCCAAGAGGTGGAGGTTGCAGTGAGCCAAGATCATGCCCTTGCACTCCAGCCTGGGCAACAAGTGCGAAACTCCATCTCAAAAAACAAAAACAAAAAATTATAGTATATAATTATAGCAAATAACAAAATACCATCATTTATTTCATGTAAAATTTTTCTATGTAGTCCCATTATTAGAATTGAGATAAAGTGGAGTTTATTTTTAAAAATAAATAGCCTGCCATTATGAAATGTTTTGCAGCATCCTACCATTCTAAAGAAATCCTCAGAGCCAGAGCATCAAGAAGCTCTCCAACCAGTTAACCTTTCTGAATTGGAATCCATTGTAACTGAAAGGCCACAATTCAGCAGACAAAAAGATTTCCAGCAGCAACAGGTAATTCTAGCCCCCAACAGTTGTAGGGACTAGAATATAACTTTTTAACCAGGCAAGGTGGTGCAAACCTACAGTCCTAGCTACTTGGGAGGCTGAGGTGGGAGGATCACCTGTGGCCAGGTGTTCGAGGCCAGCCTGGGCAACATAGCGAGACCCTGTTTCAAAAACCAAAAAAAAGGCCAGGCACAGTAGCTCATGCCTGTAATCCCAGCACTTTGGGAGGCTGAGGCAGGCAGATCATTTGAGGTCAGGAGTTCGAAACCAGCCTGGACAACATGGTGAAACCCTAGCTCTACTAAAAATACAAAAAAATGAGCCAGGCATGGTGGTGCAAGCCTGTAATCCCAGCTACTCAGGAGGCTGAGGCACAAGAATCACTTGAATCCAGGAGGCAGAGGTTGCAGCGAGCTAAGATCACACCACTCTACTCTAACCTGGGGTGATAGCGTGAGACCATGTCTCCAAAAACAAAAACAAACAAACAAAAAAAAGCTTTCTATATGGAATTTCTGCAAAGTGTGGCATGTGGGTGTTTGTGTGTGTGCAGAAACTCTGAGAGTTTTCAGCATTTACCATAGCATCTGCTTTGCTTTCAGCTGCTAACACTGGGGACACCATAACTTTGCTCCTTTATTAACTTACATCTTATATCAGCTGTCTTCAGGGTGAACTTCTGTAGTTGCGACTCTGCTTTGCCTGTCTTTTCAAAATGTGTTTGTATGTCTTTGATGATTTTCCATGTATGCGGTTTAAATAACAGTTATTGTGTGAATATTTTAAATAGGTTTTTGGGAAGTGAGAGTTTACAAGAACAGGAATGCAAGAAAGAGAAATAGTAATTAATGATTTAGGAACTGGCTCAAAATTAGATTTATCTCAGCAGAGGAAACTAGTGGGTACTAATCGAAAAGCTTGATGGATTGGACCATTTGAATCTCATTCAATTACAGGTTCTGGAGTTAAAACCAATGGAACAGAAAGATTTCATCAAATTCATAGAATTTAATGCTAAGAAAATGTGGCCCCAGTATTGCCAACATGATAACGATACAACTCAGGAATCATCTGCAAGGTAAAACATTTAAAAATAGAGTTGGTCATTCAGTGGTTTTATGACTGGGAGAATTAAGAGTGTTTCTTTTAAAAATTGCTCATAGAACTGTGAATGTAATACAAAATGTTTAGTGTTGATTATTCTCTTCACCTTTTGTTCTTCTTCAAAAGCAACCAGGCATCCAGCCCTGAAAATGACGTTCCAGACTCGATCTTGTCACCCCAGGGCCAAAATGGAGATAAGTGGCAATATCTGCATCATGAACTCTCATCAAAAATAAAGCTCCCACTCCCTCAGCTTGTGGAGCCTCAGGTCAGTCTGTATCTACATGGTGCAAATAGCCTGTTTATCTTTGAAAATCCAACAAGCATTCATTAAATAAACATGTATATTCTCCAGAAAGCAAAGTTGCCAAGTGAGTTTTTTACTTGGCTGATACATTTTCTTGATCTTGGAAACCTGCATTAGGAACCCTTCCTTTGTGCTTCTGTAGCACCCAGGGCTTCCCTCATCAGAGCTGTTATTTATAACAACTATCCGCCTGTTTGTTTATAGTCTGTATTCCCCATTAGATGGGGAAGAAAGACAGATCATGTCTGCCTGGTTTGCATTTGAGTGCCAAGCACCGTACCTAGGACATCACAGACTCTCAGTTACTGTTTGTTGAATGAATAAAGGAATGAATATGTATTTTAAGAAACACTTGGCCAGGCGCGGTGGCTCACGCCTGTAATCCCAGCACTTTGGGAGGCTGAGGCAGGTGGATCACCTGAGGTCAGGAGTTCAAGACCAGCCTCAACATGGAGAAACCCTGTCTCTACTAAAAATACAAAATTAGCTGGCCGTGGTGGTGCATGCCTGTAATCCCAGCTACTCAGGAGGCTGAGGCAGGAGAATTGCTTGAACCTGGGAGGCGGAGGTTATGGTGAGCTGAGATCGCGCCATTGCACTCCAGCCAGGGCAACGAGAGTGAAACTGCGTCTCAAAAAAAAAAAAAACACTTTAAAAACTATACAGCGCTACAATGAGTGTCATTCATTCATCAGAAAATTCTTTGGAATCTACCATGTGCCAACGCCTGTGCCGATGGCACTGGCCAATCGGTGTTCCCTGTGATTGGCCCTCCTTATCACTGCCGTCACAGGCTCTATCAGGCTGGCTTGCTGTGTCAGTCACTACTGTCTCTCTCCAGACAGGGAGCAGGTGAGCAAAACAGCCCCACTGCGCACAAGGCAGGCTTCTGCCTTCCACCACATACTCACATTGCCTGGGCAAAGGTTACCCGTGATTTCCCAATTTCCCAGTCTGATAGGACTTCTCAGCTGTCCTCTTTCCCGCTAAGGACCTTATTTGACCAATTAAAGTTCAATCAAACTCATCAGTTGGCCCTTAACCTTGGTTTCTCCATATTACACTGTAACGTGTACATAGGTCTCTTGCAAACAGGAGAACTCCACTCATTATTAGTTCTTTCCCCAAGCAGAGTCATCTACCACCTCACCCTGTTTCATTTTATTTGTCAGCTTTCCAGTTTGAGAAAGGAGCTAATTCTGAATCATTCACCCTTCTGAAATCACAGCTCATTTTCAGTACTTATTTAGCTTTTCAATAACAAATCAAGATGCAAACCCATCCCTTAGAAGAGACTTGAATTCTATTCTAATAGTTGGCTGTGTCAAAAGTAAACTGGTAAATAAGCAGCTAGCCCTGTAGCGTGAATGTTGTTATTACTAAACTGAAAGATTAATGATTTCACACACACACACACACACCACCTTTTTTTTTTTTTTTTAAGAGACAGGGTCTCAGCTAGGTGCAGTGGCTCACGCCTATAATCCCAGCACTTCAGGAGCCTGAGGCGTGTGGATCACCTGAGGTCAGGAGTTCAAGACCAGCCTAGTCAACATGGTGAAACCCCATCTCTACTAAAAATACGAAAATTAGCTGGCCGTGGTGGTGGGCACCTGTAATCTCAGCTACTTGGGAGGCTGAGGCAGGAAAATTGCTGGAACCCAGGTGGCAGAGGTTGCAGTGAGCTGAGATTGTGCCATTGCACTCCAGCCCTGGTGACAACAGCGAGACTCCGTCTCAAAAAAAGAGACGGGTTCTCGCTGTTACCCAGGGTGGAGTGCAGTGGCATGACCAAAACTCATTATAGCTTTGAACTCCTGGGCTCAAACGATCTCCTGCCTCAGCCTTCCGAGTAGCTAGGACTACAGGTGTGCAGCACCATGACCAGCTACTTTAAAAATTTTTGTATAATTTTTTTTTTTTTTTTTTGCAGAGAATGTATCTTGTTATGTTGTACAGGCTGGTCTTGAACTCCCTTGCACTCCTGGCCTCTAGGAATCCTCCCACCTCTACTTGCAAAGTACTAGGATTATAGGCATAAGCCACTAAGCCCAGCCTTTCCTCTCATTTTGATATCTAAATGAAACCTCAAGTATCTAAATATAACTAGTCATGACTTTTCAAAGCTGTCCAAAATATTAAAACTTAATTGTTTTTTCTTATAAATGGCAAGATAGACAAAAATGTTCACCAAGAAAGTGGCTCAGAAGACAGCATGCTAAGGCATCTTTTTCTATTTAAATTAATATCAGCAGGCTGGACATGTTGGCTCATGCCTGTAATCCCAGCACTTTGGGAGGCTGAGGCAGGTGGATCACCTGAGGTCACGAGTTCAAGAATAGCCTAGCTAACATGGCAAAGCCCCGTCGCTACTAAAAATACAAAAATTAGCCGGGCATGGTGGCAGGCACCTGTTATCCCAGCTACTCGGGAGGCTGAGGTAGGAGAATCTCTTGAACATGGGAGACAGAGGTTTCAGTGAGAGGAGATCATGCCACTGCACTCCAGCCTGGGCGACAGAGCAAGACTCCATCTCGAAAATAAAAAAATAAATTAATTAACATCAGCAGGGTCTAAAACTGTCAGTAATAGGGTTTTCCTTTGTCAAATAGGTTTCCACAAATATGGGTATTCTACCCAGCGTGACTATGTATAACTTTAGATACCCAACAACTGAAGAACTGAAAACCTATACCACCCAACTTGAAGACCTGCGCCAAGAAGCAAGTAACCTTCAGACACAGGTAGAAGCTGCACACAATGTGTTTTCCTCATTGTAATAACATAAACAAAGGAGATATCATCATTGTGACTTGGTCATAATTGTCGTCACTGAACAAGTCATGGAACACATAATGGAATGGGTCCTAGGATTGCAAATTGAATTGATCTTGCTTGCCAACTCTAATATATTTTGTAGTGGTTCCCTAGGGACTGTGTGCAAAGGATTCTGAGTCCAGGATCAGCAGGAAAGAGGATCATGATTGATGAGTGCCGTCTGCAGTGGTGATCTGGGATTGGAAGGGTGAAGAGGAGAGTAGGGAGGGAGTATAGGCATGGTTTTCAACCCTGAGCAGACTTAATACTGAGGTAATTAATGCTAGGTTATGTGAGGTGTCTATCAGAGAAGATAGTAGGAGACAGGGCCCAAGTTGGAGTGATGACTAGCTATGGCATGCTCCTAAACTACTTATAACTGTTCAAGAATTCAGGGTAACTGTGGGTAAAGAAAAAGAGGTGGCCCCAGCAGCTTATGCTAAAACAGATCTGTGGCTCCCAGACTCACCAGGCGCAATGCATGACACTGGGGACGTGCTTGGAGTCATACACCTAAGCCTTGATTCTCACAATCGGCTCATAAATGACACTTTCCCCCTCCTCTGCAGCCTGCTCCTGTTTTTAAGACACTGTACCTCCTCTTTGTAATCAACCCCTTCAAGCTTCTCTTTTGTGACTTCTTTTCCTTCTCCCAGCTATACTTGATTTCATTAACCGCTTTCTCCTACATTAGAATGTGGAGGGTGGGAAACAGTGGTAAAGGAGACAGTGTAATTTATCTGGGACCACACTTTCACCTGGATCGCCCTGCTAAGGGATCCTTCATCTCATGATTTACCTTTTAGTTCCATGCAGTACTCAAATAACTACCTAACGTTGAGCTTCTTAAACTCATTTTTCTCCAAGTTTAACATCGTAAGTTTATTTATTTGTTCTGCTACCTAGTTCACAAAGCGTTTGAAGCAACTTATTACAAAAGAAGCATAACATAAATCATAAACTATAATGGAAACTAGGCAAAATATAGGTCTAGGAAGGCAAAGGTATCTTAATTTTCTTTTTCTTTTTTCCTCTTGATTCAGGAAAATATGACAGAAGAAGCATATATCAATTTGGATAAAAAATTGTTTGAACTATTCCTGACCCTCAGTCAGTGCCTCAGCAGTGTGGAGGAGATGCTGGAGATGCCCAGACTTTACAGGGAGGATGGTTCTGGCCAGCAGGTGCACTACGAGGTAGGGCACTTCTCACGAGCCCATGTGTTGGCCATTACAGCAGCCCCGTGAGTTAAGCCCACGTGGAAGCCTCTTGAGGTCAGAGCTCATTCATTGTCTTCCTTCCTCTCCACTCCAGACGCTGGCTCTTGAGTTGAAGAAACTTTATTTAGCGCTAAGTGACAAGAAGGGTGATCTTTTGAAAGCCATGACTTGGCCTGGCGAGAACACCAACTTGCTCCTTGAATGTTTTGACAACCTTCAAGTCTGCCTGGAGCACACTCAGGCTGCAGCTGTCTGTAGAAGCAAGTCCCTGAAAGCTGGCCTCGATTACAACCGCAGTTACCAGGTATGATTCCGAGCACACAGCCTATTTTGGCACTGTTTTAAGTTACAGCATGAACCCCTAATGCCTATTCCTATTCCTGGTGACATTTGTTAATAAGAATTGCTAAGGGAAATGATGAGACTCTTCTGTTTGTTGCTCATGGTTGGAGATCATTTGAAAGTGAAGCCCTGGCCGAGTGCAGTGGCTCACGCCTGTAATCCTAGCACTTTGGGAGAGGCCAAGGCAGGCGGATCACCTGAGGTCAGGAGATTGAGACCATCCTGGCCAACATGGTGAAACCCCATCTCTACTAAAAATACAAAAATTAGCCGGACATGGTGGTGTGTGCCTGTAATCCCAGCTACCTGGGAGGCTGAGGCAGGAGAATTGCTTGAACCTGGGAGGCAGAAGTTGCAGTGAGCTGAGATCACACGACTGCACTCCAGCCTGAGCGGCAGAGCAAGACTCCATCTCAAAAAAAAAAAGGTGAAGCCCTTTAAAGTCTTGACCGAGCGTAGTAGCTCATGCCTGTAATCCCAGCACTTTGGGAGGCCTAGGTAGGTGGATTGCTTGAGCCCAGGAGTTCAAGACCAGCCTGGGCAACATAGATCCCATCTCAAAAAAAGAAAAAAGTAAAAAAATAAAAAATAAAAAAAGTAGAGTCTTGAGTAAGAATTTGTTAGGATGAGCTAAAATAATGTTTCATTTCTTGTATTACATTTAGCCATTTAACAATTAAAATGGTGGGGCGGGGGAGGCATTTGTTTTTGTTTTTCTAGCTAGAGGGAGCCATTAAGGTTTTTGAGCTAAGGAATGACAATCCGTGTATGTTTCAGGTAGATTCCTCCAGCAGTTGTCTAAAGTGAATTGGAGAGGCAGAGACTCCAGGCAGGTAGAAGAGTTAGGAAGCTACTAAAATTATCTAATGAAAAAGAAATGAAACCCAATACTATTTATGAATGAGGCTTGCCCATAAAAATCAAGCCTGAATCTGACCAAGCTGCTAGAATCCAAGTAAAACAGACACAAGAAAAGAAGAACAGGTTAAACAGCACACTGGGAGTGCAGTCTGCCAAATCCAGCCTGTGGGAAACTGTACTGAACAAATGACCCATTTTTTCACATACACACATTCAAGAAACAAAAAAAGTGGTCAGGGATTCTGCAGGTTAAGAGAGATCTAAGATGTATTTATCCATCATGACATGTGGACCTCATTTGGATCATCATTGAAACAAATCAAAAAGAAAAATTATAGGCAATTAGGGATATGTGAATTCTGTCTGGATAGTTAAATCATATTAAGGAATTATTATTGATGGCAGGGGAGGAGTATGTTGGAGTAAAGAGAAGGATCTTTATCTTTTAGAAATATATACTGAAACGTATACTGATGAAATGACTTGAGACCTGGGATTTGCTTCAAAATAGCCTGAAGGAAAGGAGATTAGGTACAGTTGAGAGCTGGAGGGAGGATGTAGAGGGAAGAAGGTCAGCCATGAATCAATAATTGTTGAAGTTTAATGATGATAAAATGGGGATTTCTCTATTTTTGTATTTGTTTGAAATTTCTAGTGTCACAAAAATTATAAAAACCAACTAAATATAAAAAAAGATAATGAAGGCCTAAATGAGATTGCTCAGTTTCCGACATTTATCTTACAGAATGAAATAAAGAGATTATATCATCAGCTCATTAAGAGTAAGACATCTTTACAACAGTCTTTGAATGAAATCAGTGGGCAGAGTGTTGCTGAACAGCTTCAGGTAATCAAGTCAAAATAATTCAGACTGACTTAACTTTGAACCACAGAGCTTTGCATATAAGCCGTGCTTCTGAACTACTTTCCTTTGTGAGCAGCAGCAAGGCTTAAGTAAATAAATAAAAAATGAGAACTATTTATGTTGACTTTTTAAAAACATCTCCTAATTTTCTGAAGCACAATGTATTAAAACAAAAGGAGGCCATTTTCACTTATCAACCATGACAAAATGTGTATGTCCAGTGTTGGTAAGGGTATTGGAAAATGAGACCCTCATCCTCTTGCCAGGGGAGCCCTGGGGATCCTTTGTCTGTATATCAGAATTTTAAACATGAATACTCTCTCTTCCAGCAATAATTTGACTTCATGTATTTAGCAAATATTAATTGAGGATCCACTATGTTCCAGCACTGTTTGAAGTGCTGAACTTGTACTCCTCCTAAGGATATAAGACAAGTGCATAAAGATAAATATTTTGGCCAGGTTGGTGGCTCACGCCTGTAATCCCAGCACCTTGGGAGACTGAGGCAGGTGGATCACTTGAAGCCAGGAATTTAAGACCAGCCTGGCCAGCATGGCAAACCCCATCTCTATCGAAAATACAAAAATTAGCCAGGTGCAGTGGCACACGGCTGTAGTCCCACCTACTCCGGAGGCTGAGGTGTGATAATTGCTTGAGCTTGGGGGGCGGAGGTTGCAGTGAACTGAGATTGTGCCACTGCACTCCAGCTTGGGTGACAGAGCCAGACTTTTGTCTCTAAATAAATAAATAAATAAGTCATAAATATTTAAGGATGGACCCAGCAGCTCTGCTTGAATTAAAAACTGTATATAGCCCAAAAGTCCATTGAGAGCTGACTGATAACAAAAGCAGGGTACACCCTTACAATAGCATGCTGTGTGTCTGTTTCGAAGGAGCTAGATATGTGTATACCAATGTGAAGAGATGCTGAAGAGCTGGTGAGTGAGGAATGCTAACCGCAGGACAGAATGCTGTGGTGCAGTTCATTGAGTTTAGGGATATGCATGTCTACCCCTACTGGTATGGAGCATGTTAGGAACTTGGGACCTCTGGCAAGATTGTTAAGGAGAGCAGGAGGTGAGGGAGCGGGAGCTGGGATTTTTGCTTTTCCCTTCATCCCTTTCTGTACTATTTAATTCTTTTTAGATAACTATGTGTACTTCTCTGACTTACTGAAGGGTTTTCTTTTCTTGTATTGTCTCTCACTTAGAAAGCAGATGCATATACAGTGGAGCTGGAGAACGCCGAGAGCCGAGTGGCCAAACTAAGAGATGAAGGGGAGAGGCTTCATTTACCTTATGCTTTACTCCAGGAGGTTTACAAATTAGAGGTATGCCTGAGCAGAAAACATTGACTCAGCACTGTGATTGTGAGGAGCCAGATCCTTTTCTTCCACCAGCAGAGTTTAGATTTGTCTTTCAGTTATTGCCCCGGTTGGATGAAAATGCATGTGTGCACCTGCTCTTCTCTTTTCAGGATGTACTTGACAGTATGTGGGGAATGCTAAGAGCCAGGTACACAGAACTCAGCAGCCCTTTCGTCACTGAGAGCCAGCAAGATGCTTTGTTGCAAGGCATGGTGGAACTGGTGAAGATTGGGAAGGAAAAGCTTGCTCATGGCCACTTAAAACAAACCAAAAGTAAAGTGGCGTTACAGGCTCAAATAGAAAATCACAAGGTGAGACAGACACATGGGTCGGGTGACCCCTTCATAGACTAAAATCTTAAGGTATTTCTGAATGTGAACAGAAAGGATCCATTTTTCTTCTTTGTTGAAATTTAAGCTATTCATTCTTTTAATAAACATCTATTAGAATGCTTAATGTGTACCAGGAACCCTGGTACATGCTAGGAATTTGGGTTATGAGTAAAAACAGACACAGTTCCTTACATTCACAGAGCTTTCACCTGATTGAGAAGATAGATATTTATCAACAAGTCTTCAAACAAATTTAAAATTAAAATGAGGATACATTCTATGAGAGCATTTAATAGCAGAAGGTGACTTAGGAAAGTTAGAAAAGGCTTTCCTGGCCATGCGCAGTGGCTTATGCTTGTAATCCCAGCACTTTGGGAGGCTGAGGCGGGTGGATCACCTGAGGTCAGGAGTTCGAGACCAGCCTGGCCAACATGGTGAAACCCTGTCTCTACCAAAAATACAAAAATTAGCTGGGTATGGTGGCAGGCACCTGTAATCCCAGCTACCTGGGAGGCTGAGGCAGGAGAATTGCTTAAACTCAGGAGGCGGAGGTTGCAGTAAGCTGAGATCACGCCCCTGCACTCCAGCCTGGCGACACAGCAAGACTCTATCTCAAAAAAAAAAAAAAAAGAAGAAAAGGCTTTCCTGAGAACTAGAATCAAAAGGAAAGTGTGTTATTATGTAGTATAAGACTATAGTAAATCCTTTGATTTTTAAAATTCATTTCATTAAACAAAAACTTCTTGATCACCAACTAAAGATAAAGAGTAATCTAGGTGCTGATAATTAAAAATGTGTAGGACGGTTCCTACCTGAGGTAAGCTTATGGTCTAGCATTTGGAAGGTAGAGCTTAGTCTAAGAAAAATTGAAAGGTAAATATTGTATGAAGGATGGAGGGGAAGAGGAGAAAATAATATTGATTATCTGCAGTGTGCTAGGCCCCTTGCTAGATGCTTTTATAAACGTCTCTATGTATATGTCCTTTTCAAGGCTTAGGAGAAGGGATTCACATAATATGGAGGGATCCCTCCAGACAACTGTAAATGGAGAAGAACCATGTGAAATAAAGCCTTCCTCTTGAAAGGTTCTTGAAGTTCAAATACAAATACAGGAAGCTTTATGTCCAGGATTCCTATAAAGCAGCAAATTCCCTTTATTTAGTCATTCTCTTGAGTAGAAGTTAAAGCCAGGGTTAAGGAGACCTGTCTTTCGAATATGTGGGTTGCTTGAGTTTGCACATCTGTCCATCCAACTTGTCTTGAAATTCATCAGCCACAGTGACATCTGTTTTTTGTTTGTTTGTTTTTGTTTTTGTTTTTGTTTTTTTAAGAGACACGGTCTCACTCTGTATTCCAGGCTGGAGTGCAGTGGTGTAATCATAGCTCATTGTAGCCTCGAGATCCTGGTCTCAAACAATCCTCTCACTTCAGCCTCCTGAGTAGCTGGGACTATAGATGTGTGCCACCACACCTAGCTGGCATCTATCTTTTTGTAGCATTTAGACTCAAAACAACTGATTTAGAAAGATCTATCTGGAAATTGAAATTGACAAAAATGTTTGTCATTTAAAATGGATTATTTAGTGGAAAATAACACCTAAGGGTAATACTTTATAATTTGTTGAAGTTCCACTAGTGTTCAAAGACTGAGTTTTTTTGTTTTTTGTTTTTTTTTCCTTTTTGAGAGGGAGTCTTGCTCTGTCACCTAGGCTGGAGTCCAGTGGCACAATCTCGGCTCACTGCAACCTCCGCCTCCCGGGTTCAAATGATTCTCCTGCCTCAGTCTCTCAAATGACTGGGATTACGGGCATTCACCACCATGCCTAGCTAATTTTTGTATTGCCATCTTGGCCAGGCTGGTCAATTTGACTCTACACGGATGTCCTGGGATTTTGGATTTAAAACAAAAATAACTGGATATAAAGTTGAAGTAACTTGGTTTTTAAGAGTTTTCACAATTTCAAAGTAAATATTAAAACTTTCTCCATCTCATAGGTTTTTTTCCAGAAGCTTGTTGCTGACATGTTGTTGATCCAAGCATACTCTGCCAAAATACTTCCTTCTTTATTGCAAAACAGAGAGACATTTTGGGCAGAACAAGTAACAGAAGTTAAAATACTAGAAGAAAAGTCACGCCAATGTGGTATGAAGCTGCAGAGTTTGTTGCAGGTATTTGGGTTATGTAAACGTTGTACTGAAGCTGGGAATTGCTGATTTTCCATCACCACCCCAGGTGTTGAGAAGAAGTATCTAGTTATCATTAAGCTATAGTTAAATGGAAGCCTGACAGTGAGGAATGTGGACCCCTGCTCAGGTTCTGAGGCCGCTCCCTGAAGGAAAAGTTGGCTGGGATTTCTCATACATAGATTGGGGATGGTACTGCGTCTCTCTGCCTTTTAGGTTCATGTATGAATAAGCAAAACGATAAGCACTTTGAGACCTTGAATGAGATCATTTGGGTGAAACAGTTATTGGTTTAAAAACTGTACTTCTTCAAGAGAACAGGCCCAGATGTCCTAAAATGGATGACAATCTTGTCTAAACTCAAAGAAAAAAATAAGCATGCATAAAGCTCCTTCTCAGTTTTGAGGCATTCCCCTCACACCTTTCATAGCCAATGTTAGTACTTAAAGGAAATAAAATAGGAAGGAGGCCGGGCGCAGTGGCTCACGCCTGTAATCCCAGCACTTTGGGAGGCGGAGGGGGGCAGATCACGAGGTCAGGAGATCGAGACCATCCTGGCTAACACAGTGAAACCCCGTCTCTACTAAAAATACAAAAAAAAAATTAGCTGGGCGTGGTGGTGGGCGCCTGTAGTCCCAGCTACTCAGGAGGCTGAGGCAGGAGAATGGCGTGAACCCGGGAGGCAGACCTTGCAGTGAGCCTAGATTGCACCACTGCACTCCAGCCTGGGCGACAGAGCGAGACTCTGTCTCAAAAAAAAAAAGAAAAAAGGAAGGAAATGTTTAACTTGATAGTGTAATATGGTGTTATTTTTTTTGCTAACAAAATTTATTTTCTAGTTAGTGTGTCAAGTTGATATTTATAATATGTCATGGTATTTTTTAAAAAAGACTCCATGGACCCAGTGAGTGTTCTATAAAAGCCAAGTGAGCCACTATGTGAATAGATATGGAAAAGAGTGAGGTGGTTCTTTTCCTAACAGACAATGTTTGGAGTCAATAACTCAGCTCTGTGGTGTGTTGGGGTCCTCGGGGTGGGCATCCATGGAAACGGGGCAAGCTAAAAGATGACAAGACTAGGGCTAAGGCAGTTGTCCTCCCCTGATGAAGTGTAAGCCTATACTCCTCAAAGACACCTTGAGCAGACCTATGCTGCAAGTGGCATGGGGGTTTGGTGGGCTTGGGCGTGGGCTTGGAGAGCAGGAGCAGCCTAATAGCTTCTGTTGAGTAAGGGTCTAAAAGTTAGCTCTTTCCCTTTCCTAATAAGAGAAAGGCTCTCTTGTGGCTCCAAGGTCTCTACGGAGTTGCTAAGAGTATCATTTTAACTTCATTGTATTACTCCTTTAGTCATGTTACCCAGTTTGACAAGACAAGCATAAAACACTAAATGCCAACTCAGATTCTTTTTAAACCTTGTCCTCAAAGGTGATGGAATTCTTTTCCATTAGATGCTGAGCGCTTACCAGGGTGGGGTTACGTCTCTCGAACACACCTGGAATCTGTGCTTTAATTTTGTATGGTCTTGGTGTTCATTTTTGTTTTGTGATTAATTATGTTGTTATCTGGAACCAATCTGGTAAAGGGCTTCCACTAATTTTATGTCCTTGATTCTCTAGAAATGGGAAGAATTTGATGAAAACTATGCATCTCTTGAAAAGGACCTGGAAATTCTTATATCTACATTGCCCTCTGTGAGTTTGGTGGAAGAAACAGAGGAAAGATTAGTGGAAAGGATTTCATTTTACCAGGTATTTGTCTTCCATTTAAGTTATCAAAGGCGTGTCCATAGCACTTTGTGTTTTACATTTGTTTTGACTAAGTGGCTTGATTTGGAAGGTTTGAATTGAAACAAAATGTTCATCATACAACTCACTGTTGAATGTATTCAGGGAGACTACAGATTTGAATGTGAACTCCTTAGCATAACCACATGTCTGGCTTGGGGGAGAGGACCTTGCTTGAGTCGTGGCTCCATCACTTATCACTTCTGTGACCTTGCTGTCCCTAAGCCTCAATTTCTTTATCTGTGGAATGCAGATAATCGAGCCAATTCTACCTGTCTCTGGAAGTGAATGCCAGTGAGCTACTAGTATGGAAATGAGCTGAAGAATGGAAAGAACTTTGTCAGCCTTCGGCCTCTAAACATATATTTCGTTTTATTCCTACAGTGAAGTCCTGACTAGACGTAGCCCATAAGACAGACAATAATCTTACCTGTCACCAGCATTATAAAAACATCTCAGGCCGGACACGATGGCTCACACCTGTAATCCTAGCACTTTGGGAGGCCAAGGCAGGTGGATTGCCTGGGCTCAGGAGTTTGAGACCAGCCTGGGCAAAATGGTGAAACCCTGTCTCTACTAAAATACAAAAAAAAAAAAAAAATTAGCTGGGCATGGCGGCATGTGCCTGTAATCCCAGTTACTTGGGAGGCTGAGGCAGGAGAATTGCTTAAACCTGGGAGGTGGAGGTTGCAGTGAGCCAAGATCATGCCATTGCGCTCCAGCCTGGGTGACAGAGCGAGACTCCATCTCAAAACAAAAAAACAAAAACCCTCAAACTTTTAAACTTTTTTGTGTAACTTTTTGCGTTGTTATCATCTGTCTCTGTGTCTCTAATTTTGGTGCGAAAGAAAAGATAAAACCTCAAAATAGTTTTCAAGTGACATTGAGAACATGACCAACAAGATAAAAACAAGTTTTAAGTCTTCTCACCAGGAACTTAAAATTCCTAGTTTTAACTTTAGGATATATGCCGTCAGAATCTGAGTTGTGCGGCTAGAGGCAGTTATGAAATATCAACTTTAAAACCTCAAAAGCACATTTATTGCCTGAATGAACTAGTTGGAAAATGAAAGCAGGAAATAATTCCAGGGTTCTCTTTTCCATGGAGGTATTTTAACCTCTATAAGGAACATTTTCCAGAGGCTGGGACACTGTATTTATACTCCCTAGATGCCTGGAAAGCTACAGTTGGTCTCATTGCCGCCTTATTAATTATATTGAGCCTAACTCTAAGGTAAATCTGAGTCCTCTGGGGTGGGTGGGAGTGGGGGTGATGAGAGTACTGTTTAGCTCTTTGTTAGTCTAGGGATACAGAAGGTATCATCTAAACAGCTGAAAGAATGCAGATGAGAACAGTATTTTAAGGCTTATTATTTTAAGCAACAGTCTAATATTAGCCAACCTAATATGAGTGTGATTGTTTTCTCCAAAAGTGACCATATCTGTTAAAATGTGTGATTCTATTACATTTGAAATATTAAAAAGAAAAAAATTGTTCTAAGACTTTTAAATAAATTTGCCAGACTAAAGAAGACATATCCTGTAAAGCCCATCTCACATATGGACTTCATAGGCCATTCTCAGTTCAGAATCAAGGAAAGGTTTGTGTGAGTCTGACAGATGTTGTCATCTTGATCAGCCGTCGTCTGTGGGGCATGGAACCTAGGAGTCAGTTGTCTGGCCTTTGAAGTCAACAAACCTGTGTTCAAATGCTGGCTCAGCCTAGTTACTCGTGCACAGACTGTATCCCATGCATACAATCGGTGAATTAGGCTGGGCGTGGTGGCTCATGCCTGTAATCCTAGCACCTTAGGAGGCCGAGGTGGGTGGATAACCTGAGGTCAGGAGTTTGAGACCAGCCTAGCCAATATGGTAAAACCCCATCTCTACTAAAAATACAAAAATTAGCTGGGTGTGGTGGCACGTGCCTATAATCCCAGCTACTTGGGAGACTTAGGCAGGAGAATCGCTGGAACCCGGGAGTCGGAGGCTGCAGTGAGCTGAGATAGCGCCACTGTACTCCAGCCTGGGTGACAGAGCGAGACTTCATCTCAAAAAAAAAAAAAAAAAAAAAAAATTGGGGGGTGAATTAAGACTTTTCAGAGATGTTTTAAAGGTGAAGAATCTAGCACTTCACTTAGAAAATTAGACTGATTTTTTTTTCTTTTAATACAGATGCTCAGACACGGGGGGGAGGGGATTACAAATGGGAGTGGTGGAAAGGGCTATGGACGTGGAATTTTTTGGTAATGATTTAAAAGGCTTAACTTAATTTGAAAATAGCAAACCTTCTGTTTTGTTAATAATTTATTTTTTAAGATTAAACAGGTGTCAGGATAAATGGCATTAGCTGAATCCAGCTGTGTTAGATAATTACCTTTAGACAGACTTCTCTTCAAAGAATTTCATTTTTCTTTCCGTGAAGTTGGATTAATGATACGCTGTTTTAATTTATTTTTCTAAAGTTTTCTTCCTTTCTCTCTACTGAATCTTTATATTCAGTAGAAGACCCTGGAAATGAATTTTTCTGCCTAGTATTCGCATCTCATGGATAATAGAGAAATACTATTTTATTTATCCTCTTCATATCTAAGTCACCATCTGAAGTGCTTTCGGGGGCAGAATAGAAATAAGGAAACCCTACTGGCTCTGCAATCAGAGGGGTGGTGGGGACTGAGCCAAGGGAAAAGGAGAGGGAGTAGGCTCTCCTAGAGCCAGCAGCTGCTGCTCAGTTACAGCCGCCCTTTGCCACATGAGATGCAGACCAACAATTGCTAGGTCTTCCAGTTTTCCCACAGACACTGGCAATCCTGATTATTAGGTAAGATTTCCTGATTTTTCAAACTGATCTTAAGGTCACACAAAACCTATCTGTGAGCTCAGCATGGCCTAATGACTGCCAGCTTGTTTTTTGTTTGTATGCAATAAGTCTATAAAGTTGATTTGGGTTGGTTGGTTGGTTTGTTTTGTTTTGTTTTGTTTTGACACAGTCTCGCTCTGTCGCTCAGGCTGGAGTGCAGTGGCACAATCTCAGCTCACTGCAGCCTCTACCTCCTGGGTTCCAGCAATTCTCCTGCCTCAGCCTCCTGGCTAGCTGGGATTACAGGTGTGCGCCACCAAGTCCCGCCTCAGCCTCCCAAGTAGCTGGGATTACAGGCATGCGCCACCACACCTAGCTAATTTTTTGTATTTTTAGTAGAGAGGAGGTTTCACCATGTTGGTCAGCCTGGTCTCGAACTGCAGACCTCAGGTGATCTGCCTGCCTCAGCCTCCCAAAGTGCTGGGATTACAGGTATGAGCCACTGCATCCAGCCAGTAAGTCTACAAAGTTGAATCTGTGCTCTAGAAATGCAAGATTGGACACCTATCATGAAAGGTAACCAATAAACCATTAATCATGCATCCAGTCAGACTATATAGTCTTGAATGTTGGGAAAGTGTTACTGTTTTATCAGTGGACACAAATGTCAGTTTTAAATGCAGTATTTGTGAATAGCTTGGCAGACTTTATTTTCTAAATAATTCATTCTATGACTTTACTTTTTATTAGCAAATAAAAAGAAACATTGGTGGAAAACACGCCCGGCTTTACCAAACTCTGAACGAAGGCAAACAGTTGGTGGCGTCTGTGAGCTGTCCTGAATTAGAGGGCCAGATCGCAAAACTGGAAGAGCAGTGGTTGTCCCTGAACAAGAAAATTGACCATGAGCTCCACAGGCTGCAAGCTCTTCTCAAGCATCTGCTCAGGTCAGCCTTTTTGGGGGTGGATTGGCTTCATATTGTGCTGTGAAGAAAGACCTCGGGGATTCTGTAGTCAACTAAATTTTACCTGCAACCCACCTTATGCTGTTTTTTCTTGGGCAGTCTAAAGCAGTTGGGTCCCTCTTCTGGGCTAAACGCGATGTAGAATCTCTGATGGTTTGCTAGACACAGTATAACATGTAATCAGTTTGCTGTGATCGTTTTTTCTTTTCTTTTCTTTTCTTTTCTTTTTTGTTTTTAAGGAGGCAAGGTCTTGCACTGTCACCCAGGCTGGAGTGCATGGAGTGCAGCAGCACTATCATAGCTCACTGCAACCTTGAACTCCTGGACTCAAGCGATCCTCCTGCCTCAGCCTCCCAAGTTGGTGTGACTACAGGCATAGGCCACCGTGCATGGCTAATTTTATAAAATTTTTTGTAGAGATGGGGTCTCACATTGTTGCCCAGGGTGGTCTCAAGCTCCTAGCCTCAAGCAGTCCTCCTGCCTCAGCTTCCCAAAGTGCTGGGATTACAGGTGTAAGCCACTGCACCCAGCTAGTTTACACATTTCTATAGAAGCTAGGAATTATGTTATAAAATAATATATAGGTTACCTTTATACCATGATATTGCTCTTTCCAAAAGTTTTAAAATTAAAAAAATTAAATGATTTTAGCTAACAGAATAGTTTGAAATAGGCTTTTGAGTTCTTTGGAGAATTTGTTGTGCTTAGTTGGTATAATCTTGAACCGTGTGAGGAAGGAGGAGAACATAGAACATTTAAACATCATTCTCATCCCTGCATCTTAATCTAAGGCAGTTTAAAAGTTACAAGAAGGGCAGAATATTGTTTGAATATTTTCACTACCTCGGGCAAATACGTTGGGTGTTCAGCCAGCAGCAGTTTGTTGTTATACAGCTTATACAAATGCTGGTTGTGTGTGTGTGTGTGTGTGTGTGTGTATGTATGGTGTGTGTGTGTGTGTGTGTGTGTGTGTGTGTGTATGTAATTTTATTTATTTTTTGAGACAGGGTCTCACTGTGTCACCCAGGCTGGAGTGCAGTGGCGTGATCGTGGCTCACTGCAGCCTTGACCTCCTGGGCTCAAGTAATCTTCCCACCTCAGCCTCCCAAGTACCTGGAACCACAGCACATGCCACCACGCCCTGCTAATTTTTGTATTTTTTGTAGAAATGGGGTTTTTCCATGTTGCCCAGGCTGGTCTCAAATTCCTGGGCTCAAGCCATCCTCCCACCTTGTTACCCCAAAGTGCTGGGATTACAGAAGTGAGCCACTGTGCCTGACCTATATTTTTAATATAAACAAATTTATAGAAGACATTTGATGGATAAAAATCTCTGTTCCTTCATTGGGTATACTTTTGTGTAGCTGTAATAAGAAATAAAGAATGCTTTAGACTTCCTCATTATTATTATTATTTTTTTTTTTATTTGAGACAGAGTCTTGCTCTGTCGCCCAGGCTGGAGTACAGTGGCGCAATCTCGGCTCACTGCAACCTCCACCTCTTGGGTTCAGGCGATTCTCCTGCCTCAGCCTCCTGAGTAGCTGGGACTACAGGCGCCTGCCACCATGCCTGGGTATTTTCTGTATTTTTTAGTAGAGACAGGGTTTTACCATGTTTTTCAGGCTGGTCTCGAACTCCTGACCTCAGGCAATCCACCTTTTTCGGCCTCCCAAAGTGCTGGGATTACAGGCATGAGCCACCACATCTGGCCTAAAATCCTCACTGTTCTTGCTGAGCTGTAATGAAGAGAGTCCTAGAAAATGCCAGGAGCATCATGGTATAAAACATGATATAATCCTTATTAACGTCATGATATTCTGAATGTTAGGACTGATCAACATAGGAGGACATACAATAAAATAAGAAAATTTGCTGGTGATGCATATCATTATCAGAATATGTTTCTAATCTGCCTTCTCTCTCACTTTGCTCCTGTTAGTTATAACAGAGATTCGGATCAGTTAACCAAGTGGTTGGAATCTTCCCAGCATACTCTGAATTACTGGAAAGAACAGTCCCTCAATGTGTCTCAGGACTTGGATACAATCAGAAGCAACATCAACAATTTTTTTGTAAGTTGTAATAGCATATGTTCAGTTAATTACTGGTCAGAAATAAATATCAAGGAAAAAGCATCAGGGTTGATGTGATAGTCTTCGTATTTATTTGTGGATAAGGGGTAAGACTTGGGCGAATGGCAGCTGTGTTCTTCAAACCTAGAACTGTTTATACTGTTCATTCGTTTATAATAAAATATGTTTTTAATTGACCCCATAAAATATATCTGAATTTAAAACTTGCGCCAGGTGCAGTGGCTCACGCCTGTAATCCCAGCACTTTGGGAGGCTGAGGCAGTGGATCAGCTGAGATCGGGATTTCGATACCAGCCTGACAAACATGGAGAAACCCTGTCTCTACTAAAAATACAGAATTAGCCGAGCATGGTGGTGCATGCCTGTAATCCCAGCTCCTCGGGAGGCTGAGGCAGGAGAATCACTTGAACCGCGGTGGGTGGAGGTTGCAATGAGCTGAGATGGCGCCATTGCACTCCAGCCTGGGCATCAAGAGTGAAACTCAGTCTCAAAAAACTTGCACTGACATAGGTCATGTTTTACAAATACAAAAAATACAAGACCCAAAAACAACTTTATAAGGTTATTAACTTATAAATGTTAACATTAATAAATGCATAGTTTTAAATTATTGTAAACAAAATTGATATTTCTACTAAAAAGCTTTTGTTCCATTGTTTTGAGGTGTTTTTTGGAAAAAAATTCAAAAATATCCCCCAAATTTTGGGGGAAATAAAAATGTATTACTCTTGTAATATAATTACAAAATGATTATTGGTCAATGCATTTATGAAACGTAGTCTTTTCTGTTAGACTTTTCCTGTTTTTTTTTTATTTTTCATACTTCGTAGCTATGATTACTAACTTTGCTATTAAAATGTAAATTTTTTCAACATACTTGAAAGAATTTCTACATAGGAAAGATTTAAACATTTTAATTACAAACTTGTTGCAAGTAATTCATTTAATGTGCACTTTGTGTTGGGTTCCATAGTTTATTGTAAAACTTACCCCATTTAAATAATGACTTATTTTTAAAAATGTTAACCCACTGGGTGATAAGCTTCTTGAGGGGTATGCATTCCATCTCTTTTGTTCCCCATCGTGTATGTAATGCCCAACAGTAGGAAAAAGGGGTGTGTGTGTGTGTGTGTATACACATTCGTATATTTACTATGTTTATTTGTTGACTCTAGCCAGTTATTCCGACTCTTACTTTCTGCTATATTTAAATTTTAAGTTTCTAAATTTTAAAACTCTCCTTTAGGAGTTTTCAAAAGAAGTTGATGAAAAATCCTCCTTGAAGACTGCCGTTATCAGTATCGGGAACCAGCTTCTTCACCTGAAAGAAACTGATACAGCTACACTGAGAGCTTCTTTAGCACAGTTTGAACAAAAATGGACAATGCTCATAACTCAACTTCCAGATATTCAAGAAAAACTTCACCAGGTAAGTCTTTAGAGCCTCAGCATTTGAATTAGCATTCACTTGTTAGCTCATAACTCTTTTAAAATTATTTCTCTGACTCAATAATTTTCATTGACACTACCTATTTTTCTCTGGCACCACTGAATATAAGTCTTAATTACTGGACCCTCCTCCAATGGGATTTTTCTTAAGAGAGAAATCAGGCTTAATTACTTTATTTCTCAGTTTATCTTTGCCACTGTGTTAGTTTATGTGAAGGTCATTGTCATTGTTTTGGGGTCGCTTATTCTAAGTTTGAATGCTGGGTTTGTTTTTTTTTTGAGTAACCTGCATAATTATATAGCAAGACCTTTTATCAAACCAGATATCATCTTTAGTGATGCTCTGATTCATTTTGTTAACTGCAGGCAATTAAATGGAAATCATTTTGTTCTTACAGCTTCAAATGGAGAAATTGCCGTCTCGTAAAGCAATCACAGAAATGATTAGCTGGATGAACAATGTGGAGCATCAAACTTCAGATGAAGACTCCGTGCATTCACCAAGTTCTGCATCTCAAGTTAAACATCTTCTTCAGAAGCACAAGGTAATTATGCAAAAGGAGCAGAAGTCTTTTCATTGAAACAAGAAGGCTAATCAGAGGGGTAATGCTGGACAAAGGGACACATAGGATATAATTTCAAAAAACTAATTCTAGGGGTAGGAAACTGGGGTGGTGGATGATTCTGGAGAGATGTTAGTAGACTTGCTTTTGTTCCACTTAAATTCCTTTTGCCAGCCCCCATCACCACAGGACAATCCAAGCAAGCTTTTAACAGACTGTGGTCTCACCTTTTTATCCCCATCCCACCACCCCCAATAACCACAGACTCTGCCTGACAGAGTGATTTTGATTCCTTAACTGTTCTTGGTGCTCTCCCTTATCATCCTGTGTACATGCTGCACCCTCTACCTGGAATGCCAGGGCCCACGTTTAACTGTATACGTCCTCTTAGTCATCTTCCATAGTCAGCTCGAGTTGTCCTTGTTTGCAAATCCACCCCTGACTCTCCCAGCCAGACTAGGTGACTTTCCTGGATTAGATGTCTCCATGATGCTATTAGTAGCTCCTATCATGCATTATTATAATTATTGGTTTATTTGCCTGTCTCCCCACCTTGACTGAGCTTCTCGAGACCAGGGGCCATCCTTCACCTTGCTAAAATATAGCACGCCTATCCCAATACCTGCCTTCCTCTAACAGGTGTTAATGAAATGTTCTTTGAGTAAGAGAATGAGTAAGAAAATATTGAGATCCTTCTACAAATAGATATAAATGTGGCCTTCTCTGTGATATTTAATTTCAAGTAGATTTAATTAACATTTCATGAGCCACATGCAAACGTGTATTGTGTGCTCAGCACTATGCTGGCCACTGGGAATACAAAGATGAGTGACAAGTGTGGTCATTGCTTTAAGACCATGCAGGCTGATGGAACTAGCTTCTGGTAGGCAGAAGATGAATGGCTTAATCACCAAGCAAGATATTAGCAGAGAATTTTGTTTTTATGTACCATCACATCCTAACTTCAGTGTGTAGTAAAATCTTCGAAAAGTCTACACGTGTATATTCTCACAGGCTCTAGCAACCTAGCACATACCACATGACTGTCACCCCCGGGTGTCTCCAAAAGAGGTGCTAGAACTTGCAGAGATAAAATCAGTAAGTGACAGGTTTGGCAGAAATGTTGTTGGCCCTGGGTGGGTTTAGGATTGCTGTACAACTTAAAGCCACCCAAACTTTCTAAAGCCACCTGAGAGGCCTTAACTATCCCCGAAGGAACAGGGAAGCTGCCTAAATGACAGAGTTCCTTAAGGTGTCCTGGGTTTTCTGAAAGAGACTTTACTTCCTATTTCCCATCTGGTTGTTTCCGTGAGCCCTCAGGATGGCCCAGAATTCCAGCACAGCTGACAGGCAGCCTCCCCCAGGAAGCTTTGTCATATCCTGGGTCGTGGTCAGGGTTCAGATGATAGCAACTGCCATACATAGTGCCCCTTTGACTTTTCAGCCTATTTGAAAGCAGTGCATCTCTGTGTAATTCCCCAAAAGAATCCCTACTCCAATAAAGCCAACTCCTGGTGTAGGTTGGGGAGGGTAGAACAGAACTCCTGACAGGTGCCCCTTGATTAATGGACGGGAGCTTGGTGCCCCCTCGAGCACATAAAGGGAAATCCATTTGATCTGACCAACATTCATGACTGCTTTGGTGTTTAACTTTGCTTATTTTAGGAGTTTAGAATGGAAATGGACTATAAACAGTGGATAGTTGACTTCGTTAACCAGTCATTACTTCAGCTAAGCACCTGTGATGTAGAAAGCAAGCGCTATGAAAGAACGGAGTTTGCAGAGCACCTGGGGGAGATGAACCGCCAGTGGCACCGTGTACATGGAATGCTGAATAGAAAGGTGTGTTCCTGCGTCACAACTGGATGTGTGGTTTGACCTTTATGAAACACACTTTCTGAAAAATCAAAAAAGACGTTCAATTAGTTGACTGATTATTAAGCCTAATAATCATCTCAACTATAGCCCTTTTATAAATCCTATGTTTTAGCATTCTCCATTGGTACCTATAAGAGAATATAAAAATAGTTCTTATATTTGAGATTTCTTAGTGGGAAATTGAGCTAGGCAAGTGAAGATGAGGAATTTTATTTAGGAACATGTCAAGTATTATGTCAGACTCCTAAATGATCAGAGATTTTACATTTTCTATGAAAGCAGATGTTCAAAAGGGGCAAAGCTATTTCAGCTTTGAAAAGGTTATAAAAAGAAAGAAAAATGCACTTGGCTTTTTGGTAGATTTTTCACTCCATGACTCTTGAAAAGATTCGGAAAACTTATTCCTGAAAAAATACTTTACATATAATCATGATGATAATTGGTGTGTTTACTGTGTAGAGAATGCATACAAATGGATTTACACAATTAAGATACAAGTACATGAATGGACAAAGGACATGAACAGACAATTCACAAAAGAGGAAATTATAGTTAGCAAATAAACATGGAAAGATATCATTAGCAGATACTCAAAATAAACACTGTGTAACATAATGCACTTAATTAGAAAAAAAATTAATCAGATAAGGACAAAAACCCAAAGCTGTCACGTTCATACATTGCTGATAATGGCTTAAGTACTTTCTTGGAAAGCATTTGGAAAATGTAAAGAACCGTAATAATAATCTTATCACTTAACCAAGCAAGTCACCTCTTACACATTTAAGTAGATAGTCCTTCAAAAAAGTAAATGATGTGCACAGAGTGTTCAATTCAGCATCGTTTACAGCTGTGAAAATGTACCATGCCTTAATTCTCACTCTAGGGGAATAGTTCATCGAATTATACTGTATTAATTTGATGAAACATTGGGGCAGCTTTTTTTTTTTTTTTTTTTTTGAGACAGAGTCTCGCCCTGTTGCCCAGGCTGGAGTGCAGTGGCGCGATCTCGGCTCACTGCAACTTCCACCTCCCAGATTCATGCAATTCTCCTGCCTCAGCCTCCCAAATAGCTGATATTACACATGCCTGCCGCCACGCCTAGCTAATTTTTGTATTTTTAGTAGAGTCAGGGTTTCACCATGTTGGTCAGGATGGTCTCGAACTCCTGACCTCCAGTGATACACCCACCTCTGCCTCCCAAAATGCTGGGATTACAGGTAAGAGCCACCACGCCTGGCCGGGCAGCCTTTTAAAATTATGTCATGACAGGCTGGGCGTGGTGGCTTATGCCTGTAATCCCAGCACTTTGGGAGGCCGAGGCGGGCAGATCACAAGGTCAGGTGTTTTCTTGACCTACTAAAAATACAGAAATTAGCTGGGCATGGCGGCACGTGCCTGTAATCCCTGCTACTAGGGAGGCTGAGGCAGGAGGATTGCTTGAACCCGGGAGGTGGAGGTTGCAGTGAGCCGAGATTGCACCATTGCACTCCAGCCTGGGTGACAGAGCGAGACTCCGTCTCAAAAAAAAAAAAAAAAAAATTATGTCATGACACAGTAGTTATAATGTATGTAAAAAAGAATATAAAAATGTGTGTATATTATGATTATGACCTAATAAAAAATTTATTATGAATGAGAATCACAGACATTAAAGACAATGATTATTTTATTGAATTGATAAATTATTTTTTATTGATATTGGTAGAAATTTTAAGCAACTCTAATGCAGAAAGTCTGAGGAAAGAAATTTTTCTTATACTTTACATATATTAATAGATGACACAATGAAAAAATATCGAATGTTGGGAACATTTTATTTTGTATACATCTGAAACTCCACAACAGCTACCTTTCTCAGCAGATTAGCTTTCACCTTAAATATGATATTTTTTTCCTAAGAGGAGCTTTAACTCTGTTTTCTGATTTTTGAATCTTTATTCAAAAGTTATCAGAGCATCTTATTACATGAAATATTAGAAATTTGAAAAGAAGCAAAATTGTTTTTTAAAAAATAACGTCATGGCATTTACCTTTTAAAACATACATTTTAACATTTTTTGTAATCTTTACATTCACTTAGATACAACATTTAGAACAACTTCTAGAAAGTATCACTGAGAGTGAAAATAAAATACAGATCTTGAACAACTGGCTGGAAGCACAAGAAGAGAGACTGAAAACTTTACAAAAACCTGAAAGTGTGATCTCAGTGCAGAAGCTGCTCCTGGACTGTCAGGTGAGGAGGGGAACAGCATCCCACCCAACCCGCGAGCTGGGGTGATTCGGTCACCTCTCTTGCCCCGAGGATAAGTTGCTGTAGTTTGTGGAAACTCTCTTCCAGCTCCCCTCTATTTACTTATTTTCTTATGTCAATTAGATAATGACCCATGGGTTTTACAAAATTGCAAAGTGCCGTTTTTTATGATAAACAGAAGAATGTACTTTCACCGTTACAGTATTGCTGCTCTTAAGAGGTTTGAGTAGTACTCTTGGGGAAAAATGTTCAAAGGGAATTTTGATTTAAATGCTTTCCAATTTTCCATTTGTTTAATCATTTTGCCTAATGTTACAAAATTACTCTAAAGGTTTCATTATTTTTAGCATTTCATTCTGTGTTTTTTCGAGGAAAATGATTTTCTTCTACCTATTGTGTATTATGCTTTAAAAAGTTCACTTGTCCCTTGGAACCTCTGCTGAATCACATTTGGGCTTGAGGGTGTTGTCCGTGGTTCAGCTATGCTTTGCCGCATCACTCAGTCTTTGCACACTGATCCTGCTTTAGCACTGCCCTTGTGGCTGCTGCCCATTCAGAGGACCTCTGCCATCGCCATCACGGCAGGCGGCACACGCTGTGCTGTTTCTGCACTTCCTGCGTGACGGCCTTACAATAGTCACTGTCAGGACTGGAAAGTCTGGCCGGACCCCATTTCTACTGAGGAGGTCACGGGATAGCACTGGACATAAATGTGAGCAGCAGCACCACCGTAAGCGGCCCTTTTCACCTGCTCGTATACTGTTCCCACCTCCCAATGAGCCATCTCCACTTTAGCCTTCTGACAGCCACCTTGGAGTCATGTGCTTCCTTACTGGAAGCCTACATTCCGCAGCCTGGTGCTGGCCTGTCCCCTAGTAGGTGGTTCTTTCCAGAGCCCAGGAGGTGTTTTCATGCGTGTCGCTACATACAGTTTCTCATTAGGTGCTCTTGACTTACTCCTTACTGTCTGGCCAGTCTGTCTCGGTCAGGCCGGCTTCCTTCAGACCACCCTCAGTGCAGGCCTGTCTCATGCAGCTGCTTCCAGCCCACTTGCCAGCCTCCTCCCTCATTTCCTTCTGATTCATTCTCCACATTGCTGCAGAGGGATATTTCTGAAATGCAAAGGGTCACAACACTCTCCACTGGAAAATCCTCCAGTGGCTCCAGATGGACCACAGAATGAAGTTCACATGTTTTAGAATGACATTCTGGTCCCTCACCTACAAAGAGTTGCAAATAGACCTAAGTCAAGTGAGTCTTACACAGTTGTTTCTCTTTTTGATAGATAATGGTAGCCACGGAACAAGGTCGAAATGGATTAAGTTTAGCTATTCTTCCCACAACCTCACTACCAAGCTGTAAATAAAATAAATTCCAGACACAATGCCACCATCTGTAGAAACATAGATTAGCAAGCAAGCACTAAAAATAGTTTATATAACTAAGTTCAGCAAAGCCTCTCTGCCCTCTTTAGCACACCAACCACCGCTTTGCATGAAAGGCAGACATAGTAATATTCCAGAAGCAAGAGTCCATTATTTCTATGGCCAACATTAGGCAACCAGAATCCTTGGAGTTTAAACTGGATACAAAAACCACATAAGGACTTACCTTAGGGATTATTGCACTAGTTGAAGGCAACAGGCTATGCCCAGTTCTTATAGCCGTTCAAGTAGGGGTGGAAATTATATCTACGGTAGTTTAGCCAATCCATGGATCTTGAGTACATGAAATTTACTAGTGAGAACCCATTTCTAATACTCATTATGTTATTTAATAAGCCATTAAGGCCGGGCGCAGTGGCTCATGTGTATAATCCCAGCACTTTGGGAGGCTGAGGTGGGAGAATTGCTTGAGTCCAGGAGCTCGAGACCAGCCTGAGCAAGACGGTGAGACCCCGTCTCTACAAAAAACTATTTAAAAATTAGCCGGGCATGGTGGTGCATGCCTGTAGTCCCAGCTACTCAAGAGGCTAAGGGAAGAATATCCTTTGAGCCCAGGAATTCAAGGTGACAGTAAACTATGATCATGCCACTGTAGTTCAGCCTGGGTGACAAAGCAAGACCCCATCTCTAATAACAATAATAATCCATTAATTTTACCAATAGAAAACCATTTCTCACATTTGCTCTGCTCATTAGAAAAATGACTAGTGTTGACTGAGACAAGGGGCTTTAAAAGAAATTTACAGACATGCCTGGCCGGCATCATCCCTCGTCAGTCCCCATTTGCCTCTGTGCCATTACATTTGCAGCTGATTGCAGAATTATTTCTACTTCCCTCCCCTCGCCCCCACCATCCACACACAGGTTCTCCTCTATGTTTGTCAGAACTCAATCAAAGCACCCTGACCCCCTCCCTCACCACGTGCCCACTGACTGTGCCTTCCTACCTACTCCCACATTTCCATTAGCTCATTTCTTCCTATTTTAATTTTTTATGCTGCTGCTTGGATGCCTCTTTGTAAAAGGCCATAAACAAGGCCAAGATGGAAGCAAATAAATAAAACAGGCTTCCCTAGCACCCCATGTAGCATCATGTGTCAGAGACTGTACTGGGCTCATCTGTCCACGGGTCTGTCGTCTACCAGATTGTGGGATTCTCAAGGCAGGCTGGCACATCAGCATGCCTGTTATACCTGTCACTGCCTGTGAAATTCATAGGTGCTTAATAGTTGCCTGAATATATCTATTAATAGACCTAAAAGGCTGCTTTTCTATAAATGTTAATTTCTCTTTTTTTTTTTTTTTTTCCACTATTCTTTGCATACAAGAACTAAAATGAGGCCAGGTGCAGTTGCTCACACCTGTAATCCCAGAAATTTGGGAGGCTAAGGCAGAAGGATCACTTGAGGCCAGGAGTTCAAAACCAGCCAGGGCAACATAAGACCCAGTCTCTACCAAAAAAAAAAAAGTTATCTGGGCATAGTGTTGCACACCTGTAATCCTAGCTACTCGGGAGCTGAGGCAGGAGGATCACTTGAGCCAGGAGTTCAAGGTTCAAGCAGTAAGCCATGATCATGCCACTGCACTCCATCCTGGATAAGACCCCATCTCTAAAAAAACAAAACAGAAAGAAAAAAAGAAAAGAAAATGATGAAAATGATTGATGTATACTTTAATGACTTATCCCAGGGCAGAATGCTTCAGTTCAGGTAAGCTTGCTAAAGTGGCTTTACTCTAGAAAAGTTAAGGACTGGAGTTGATGAAGCATGAAGACATTAGGATTGAAATATTCCGAAGGGCTTCTAAAAGCCATTGATGACTGGAAAAAGGCCACGTTTGACATATTATAATTATCAAGGAAAATTGTATAGTTGAATAGAGTGGGGAGGTTTGAGATGAGATTATTAATCCCTCAAGTTTGATGCCTCTATACTATAAGCAAGCACAGCTTCTTAAAGAAGTATGTTCGTGATAAAGTCAGAGGAATTTAGATATTTTAAAAATATTTAATGCTGGTTCTCACAGAATGGAAAAATAGGACTTGCAAATTCTACTGAATCTCCATAATTAGCAAAAGATTATTTTTAATTCCACCCTGATTTATGTGTAGCAAATTGGAAGTTAAAGTAAGACAAATTAATTTGCCGGTGAAGTGGGAGTTGGGAAACTTGAAGGGTACTGTTAGGCCTCAGTGAAGCAAGGTCAGATGACAGGACTACTGGGCTAAATCCGTATTATTCTGCAGAGCAAAAGAAACGAGCAACCCCACCGTGTGTGGTTGTTCGTGTGCTGCTATTGCCATGGCTTTTTTTTTTCTTTTCTTTTTTTTTTTTTTTTTTTTTTGATACAGGGTCTCACTCTGTCACCCAGGCTGGAGTGCAGTGTTGCAATCATAACTCACTTCAGCCTTGAGCTCCTAGGCTTAAGAGATCCTCCCACTCTGGGCGCGGTGGCTCAAAATTAGCTGGGCATGGTGGCACATGCCTGTAGCCTCAGCTACTTGGGAGACTGAGGCAGGAAAATGACTTGAATCCCGGAGGCGGAGTTTTCAGTGAGCCGAGATCATGCCTACTGCAGCATGGGTGACAGAGCAAGATTCTCTCTCAAAAAAAAAAAAAAAAAAAAAAAAAAAAAAGGATCCTCCCGCCTCAGCCTCTCAAGTAGCTGGGACTGTAGGCGTGTGCCACCACACCCAGCTAACTTTTGTATTTTTTTGTAACGGCAGAGTTTTGTCATGTTTCCCAGGCTGGTGTCAAACTCCTGGGCTCAAGTGATCCACCTGCCTTGGCCTCCCAAAGTGCTGGGATTACAGGCGTGAGCCACTGTGCCCGGCATGGCTGTTGTTTATGCTGCCATTTTTGAAGGGTGTGTGTGTGTGTGTGTGTTGTTACTTCCTTTTGTCTGCTTTGTAGTCATTTCTTACCAGTTTTCTTTACATTATAGGGGAATTATGACAGCTTATTAGTAAATAAGTGTTTTTAGAAATCTAGTTAGTCAAGCCTTTAGGAGAGACTGTTTTATAAATTCAAAGAAGGAAAGTGATTTAATATTAAAGTGTTTTCATTTATAACTTTGCAGATGAAAAAAGTTAAACCTATGATAAAAGAAACATGCTAATAAATAAGGCTGTCAGGGTGTGAGGGAGCGAGTTAGGGTGGCAGAGATGGACAGAGGTAGCAGCTGACTAAATCTCATTGGCAAAGGCTATTTCAGAGAAGTCGTTTTGTTTCCTGGGTGCCTTTGTAACCAGTCCAGAAGAATAATATTTCATAAATTCACCCACATGTTAGTATGGGTGGATTGTTACGACAGTGAGAGGTTTTCTGTTCATACGCTATATATTCATGTGGCTCTAAATTCTAAAAGCATAGAGGGTCATACAGTGGAAGATTCCTCCAGCTCCATTCTCTCATCATCCGTTCTTACTCCCAAACCTAGCTATCAGTTTCTTATGGAACAGATTTTTTTCCCTTTTTCTACTTTCCAGTCCAGAAGACCCCTGACATTCATTGGTTTAGAGTTTGTGATTTCCACCTTCCAAGAGTGACCTGAGGGCTCCTCACGTGGTAATCTGGCAGTTTTGCGGGACTGGATTTCAGTGCTCCTCTGTGAGGCTAGCACAAGGGAGCTTGTCCCTCCCAGGGTACAAGCCACCTGCTCAGCTACCCCATGCCCACGAGGCACTCATGTTTCTCTTTCCTTATGGACCATGCAGTGATTCTTACAAAGGATTTAAAAAAAAAAAAAAAAAAAAAAAAAAGCTGGGATCCTTAGGCAAAGCAATTTTCAAAAAAAAAGCTGGGATCCTTAGGCAAAGCAATTTTCAAAAAAAAAAAAAAAAGGCTGGGATCCTTAGGCAAAGCAATTTTCAAAAAATAAAAATAAAAAAAGCTGGGATCCTTATGCAAAGCAATTTTCAAGAGAGAAATAGAACATGAGCTAAGGGTCGTTATCTTGAGGCCATGCATTCAGAACACATGCATCTGGATGGGAATGTAATGCTAAAGAAAGTATGCAGAAGCGCGTCCCAAATTTGTGAATTGGGAGACTTGAGGGGAATTCAAAATGAATCCCTCTGAATGCCAAAGATCTCTTGTGTTTTCCAGTTTCTTTGTAATGAGCATGTAATGCTTTAATAATTTTTAAAAAGTTTAAACTTTTTCCAAGTTGGATTTCAACTGCAATCCTGAGAAGGACAAATAAGCAGCTCCGACCGTCCTTCCTCTGAGTAGAGTGGCACCATTGCTGCTGGCCTCATTCATCTCTGTTTTCAGACTGCTGGCCCCATGGTGTCCTTTGTAGTAGAGGGATCCTGTAGGTTTTTAAAAATGTATCTATAAAGAGTAGACCAGGTCAGGGTGCCTCTTATGAGTGAATTAATAAACTAAGAGGTAGAAAATGATTAAAGTTATTACTGAACTACCAACAGTTATATCGTCTGTCATTTATATGATGCTATATGGTTTAAAGGCACCTTCTTGCTCGTGATTTTATTTGAGTTCTTAGCTTGGCACACATGCTGTGGGTATCATCACTTTTTCCAAATGAGAAAATGGAGACTGAAAGGTTCGATGACTTATGCCTGGTCAAACAGCCAGTGCAGGGCAGACGTGGAATGGGGACCAGATCTCGGACCAGCATCCTTTCTGCTCTGCCATGATGGTTCAGACGTGTTGCCTAGATTCTCCTAAAATACAGAGTTGTGTCATATGTAATTGAACTAAGAGTATTATGATTTAAATTTCTTTGATGTAATGCTATTTAATTATATAATCTAATGACATTTTTACTTGAAAAGAGTGAACTCCTGTCTCTGACACCTTATTAATTGTTTTGTAATATTGTGCATTGAAAACCTTTTCCTCTTACTCTTCCAGGATATAGAAAATCAACTTGCAATTAAATCCAAAGCACTAGATGAGTTGAAACAAAGTTATCTGACTTTGGAGAGTGGGGCAGTGCCATTGTTAGAAGATACAGCATCCCGAATTGATGAGTTATTTCAAAAGAGAAGCAGTGTTCTCACTCAGGTACTAGAATTCATTTGAAATGTGCTATTTCTCTTCACATATTCTTTTACCTTATTTGTCGTTGTAGTTGTTTTCGTCCTTTACTCATGGAGACTCTCTATACCAAACACTGAAAAGTTGCTGAGAAAAATTGAAGTAAATTAGAAGCATTTCAAGTCCCATTTTATGCACTCAATAATTAGAGGCAAAGCCACCAATTCCAACGTCATTGACAGGCTGCAAATCCACTTGGTTATCTTTGTTTTGTCTAATGTACTCACTCAGACATAAATATCTCCATACCCCAAACCCAACAGAGTATCTGGCATTGTTTCCTGGCAAGATATACAGAAACAGTGATGAAGCAGTGTCTCCATGTACAGGGAGATGCCTCAGGGAGGAAGTGATCCTGTATCATGTAGCCTCTATGAGCTAGGAGCATAGTCAGCTCCAGGAGGACTCTAAAGTTTGGAAGAAACACTACATGGTGTTGAAGAGAGAGTATAAAGGAAGAAAGGGTGCAAGACATCTAATAATCTTACAAAAGGCATGTCAATGTCAGCATTTTACCCCTTCCAGGAGGAGAGCACCAAAAGAGAGCGAGCTCAGGCATCTCTAGACATTGCAACCTTGACATTTTCCCACAACAGAGGAAGAGAACTAAAAATACTAACCAATTATACCAATCAATTGGTATAATCTATCAATGGTATAATCTATACCATCAATTATAGATATGTCCATGTTTCCTAGAGAACCTTCATTGTGGGTTGTCACCTACTAAAATCTACTTTCAACCATTTGTACCAAGAGGGAATAGGGAATAACCTGCATGAAATCCATAGGCAACACTCAGCCTCATTCCTCAGTCCTCATTCCCCCAGGAATGTAGCAGAAAAATAGAGATGAGCTTATTCAGTCATTTGTTAAGCATACATTGTGTGAGGTACTGTGCTCACTGCCAGGGTTACAAAGGTAAACAAGAAAATAAATGAATCCTACCCTCAAAGAACTCATAGGCTAGTGGAAGAAACACATGTAAACAGATAATTACAATATAATAAAAATATAAAGAGAAAATTAAATGAAATAATGCATGTGAAAACATGCAGATAGTACTGTCATAAGGATAGACATATATATACTTGGAATGGAATTGAGAGTCCAGAAATAAGCCCTCACATTTGTAGTCAATTGATTTTCAACAAGGATCCTCAGACAATTTAATGAGGGAAAACACTTTCTTGAAAAATGGTGCTGGGACAACCATGTATCCACATGTAAAATAATGAAGTTAGACCTCTGCATTCATACAATATACAAAAATTAAAATAGATCAAAGACATAAATGCAGGCCAGACATGGTGGCTTATGCCTGTAATCCCAACACTTTGGGAGACTGAGGTGGGAGATCATTTGAGGCAAGGAATTCAAGACCAGCCTGGGCAACATAGCAAGACCCCCATTTGTATTAAAAAAAAAAAAAAAGACACAAGTATTAGAGCTAAAAGTATAAAACTTAGAAGAAAACACAGGTGTAAATCTTCATGACTTCATGGATTAGGCAGGGGTTACCTAGAATGACACCAAAATCGTAAGCTATCAAAGAAAAAAATAGATACATTGGACTTCATCAAAACTAAACACCTTGATGTTTTAAAGCACAGCATCAAAAAAGTAAAGGCAAACCACAAATTGTTAAAAAAAGTATTTATAAATCATATATTTGATAAGGGACTTACACCTAGAATATATGAAGATTTATCACAACTTGATAATAAAAGGAAAAATGACCAAATGGAAAAAATGGATACAAGCCAGGCTCAGTGGCTCACGCCTGTAATCCCAGCACTTTGGGAGGCCAAGGTGGGCAGATCGCTTGAATTCAGCAGTTTAAGACCAGCCTGGCCAACATGGCAAAACCCTATCTCTACCAAAAATAGAAAAAATTAGCTGGGTGTGGTGGTGTGTGCCTGTAGTCCAGCTACTTAGGAGGCTGAGGCACGAGGATCACCTGAGCCTGGGAGGTGGAAGGAGCAGTAAGGCAAGACTATGCCACTGCACTCCAGCCTGGGCAACACAGTGAGACCCTGTCTCAAAAAAAAAAAAAAAAAAAAGACAAATGATCTGAATAAACATTTCTGTAAAGAAGACAATACAAATGGCCGAAAAGTGCATTGAAAAGATATTCCATGTCATTAACCATCAAGGAAATGAAAATCAACACCACAAAGAAGTACCACTTCCCACCCACTAGGATAGCTGTAACAAAAAGACAGACAGTAACAAGTGTTAATGTGGATGTGGAGACGTAACCCTCACAAACTGCTGGCCGGGTTCCATGGAGTTGGAAAAGAGTCTGGCAGTTCCTCAAATGGTTAAACATAAAGTTACCATGCAACTTAGCAGTTCTACTCCTCCATAGATAGCCCAAGAGAAATGAAAACGTGTCCACGCCAAAAACTTATACGTGAATATTCATAGCATGATTCATGATAGCCAGAAAGTGTAAACAACCCAACTGTCCATCTACTAATGAATGTATAAAGAAAACGTGGTCTATCCATACAAAAGGAATGAAGTAGTACATACATATATATATATATACTACAACACTGATGATCTTGGAAACATTATGGTGAGTGAAAGACGCCAGTCACAAAAGGTCACATATTGTTTGATTCTGTTTACGTGGAATAACCAGAATGGACAATTCTATAAAGACAGAAGGCAGATTAGTGGCTGGGGAGAACGAGGAGTGACTGCTAATAGTTATGCAGTTTCTTTTCAGAGTCATGAAAATGTTCTAAAATTGATTATGGAGATTACACATTTTAAATAGATGAATCGTATGGTACATGAATTATATTTCAATAAAGTAAAAAAAAAAAAAACGCAGAAGGCGTGAGGCACAGATCATCCATCTATAAGCTGTCAAGAGTCAATGTAGGCCTGGCCCAGTGGCTCAAACCTGTAATGTCAGCACTTTGGGTGGCTGAGGTAGGAGGATCGCTTGAGGCCAGGAGTTCAAGAACAGCCTGTGCAACAGAGTGAGATCCCATCTCCACAAAAAGTAAATAAAGTTAGCCGGATGTGGTGGCATGCACCTGTAATCCCAGCTATTCGGGAGGCCGAGATGGGAGGATTACTTGAGCCCAGGGGTAAACAAGAGTCAATACAACCTAGTGTTTAAGAGCAAGGGCTTTGCAGTTTCTGCCTAAATAAGGATCCTGGCGGCACCATTTTTGATCTGTATCTTCGGTCAGGTTACTTAACCTCTCTAAGCCTCGATTTTCTGGTCTATAAAATGGGGATGATAACACCTAGTCATTTATTTCTATCTTAATACTGATGCCTATACAATGCTCAATAAATGCTGCCCTGCTGATGACCCCAGTTGGAACATTTTGAAAATATTCCTCCCGCTTGTTTTTAGTATAGTGAATTTTACTTGATGATTTTCTCATCCTTTCCCTCAAACCTCATGTACTGTGTCTTTTCCATGAAGCTTTATTATAAGGCCAGAAGGCCTTTAAGGTGCTAGAAGTTCCACCACCTTTATCTGTGGAAGCTGCAAAGGCCTTGTGCAACATGAGCCATGGCAGTTCTTGTGTTGACATGTATATATGGGCTCTGGGATGATGCGGTACTTTGTGCCAGAATTATCCCTGCCACCCAGATAGATGTGAGATCATTTCTAGCAAAAATGTACATCGATGAGGAATTCCTTCCTTGCCTTTCTTCTTTATTTTCTTTTTTCTTTCCTTTTTTTTTTTTGTGGAGACAGAGTTTTGCTCTTGTTGCCCAGGCTGGAGGGCAGTGGCATGATCTCAGCTCACTGCAACTTCCACCTTCCAGGTTCAAAAGATTCTCCTGCCTCAGCCTCCCTAGTAGCTGGGATTACAGGCGTGTGCCACCACTCCCGGCTAATTTTTGTATTATTAGTAGAGACAGGGTTTCACCATGTTGACCAGGCTGGTCTTGAACTCCTGACCTTAGGTGATCCAACCACCTTGGCCTCCCAAAGTGCTGGGATTACAGGCGTGAGCCACCACACCTGGCCGCCTTCTTTATTTTCTTAACTAAATAACTTGGTTTCTTTTCCTTAGCCATCCTGCCCTTGTAAAGACATTCAGTCCACATAGTTGCCAACATGAGACTCACATTTTAGCGTCCCACTTTGGTTTTTTATCCAGCCCTGTTTGGGGCAGAGATTGAGGAGCCTCCCTGTCACTGTGGATGTGCCAGCATTCCTTGTAGTTATTAAACAGAAAACAGGGTCTGAGTGCAGAGCTGTGTGATTGTACCCAAAACTCACATCACACTACCCATAAAGATGGCCTGTGGAGCCACTATAGTGATCACATTCCATTTCAACCCAGATCCTTTTTAAAAATTGAGATATAATTCACATACCATAAAATTCACCTTCTAAGGTATAGTTCAGTGATGTTTAGTATATTAACAGAGAT